>NC_000011.10:62706892-63009922 GCF_000001405.40 Homo sapiens | reverse complement strand
TCTGCTCAGATCCAGCTCCTCCCCCACAGTCAGCAACCTGGCAAGTGACCTCGCCACTCCAGCTTCAGTCCCCTCATCTGTAGAATGGGGATTTTAAGGAGGGTCCCTCTTGGAGGGGGCAAGAGGGCTGGAGGGCTGAGCTGGTGGAGTGCACAAGCCCAGCACTGGGTCTGGACAGGAGTGGAGGCGGTCTCCCTCCCCCTTCTGATCCCCTAAGCTTTCCTGGCAGGGGTGACCACAAATTCCTTTCTCTTGGTGCAGCAGAGAAGGTCAGGATTTTTCAGAATGAGCTTTACTAGGACATTAAGAGGAAACAAAGGCCTTTAAGTCTAGAAAGCATGGGAACACGAATTCTGGACTCTGGGCTCCCTGGAGAGGCACGTACCCCATAGTCCCCACCACTGAACCTCAGCTTGTGGGCCTCAGGGCCTGGGCCTGGCCATGGATGAGCAAGACCCATCTCTCTAAGGGCCCTGGGCTTCGTCTCTGGGCCTTGAGCCTCCCTGCCTTGTCTCCAGGGCTGCAAGAAGCCCGTCCCCCACCCTCTCCAGGGTGGAAGACTGCTCCAAGGAGGCCCCAGGTCAGCTGCTGGAGAAGCAGAGAGGCTGCCCAGTGAGGCCTCTTGTGAGCAGACTTCCACCCTGGGAGGGTCCCCTGCCGGGTCTCTGGTCAGCCGCCTCTGACCCTCCTTCATCCCAATCCCCAGTCCCCAGTTGCCCATCTCTCATCTCCAGCAGCACTTCTGCTTCACACCCCCATTTGCCCACCCTCAGCCCTGCCGGGGGCTCATCCTCCTCCATCTCTTTCCTCGCCTCCAATCTGACTCCTGGGAAAAGGCCTGAGAGCCCCACCCAAACCACTTTTCAAGCCAGCCTGATCCCTATTGACAGCCCTGACCGAGAAAGCCCCTGATTATGTGCGCAGGAGGAGGTGGGACCTTCCTGTGAGCTCTCCAGGATCAGGAACTCACCAGTGAGCACCCACTGTACGCAGGGACCTGGGCTGGTGTTTGCATCCCTTCTCTCGTGACCCTGCAAATCAGGCACTATTGTCCCCATTTTACAGAGGAATACACCGGGCTCAGATCCAGAAGGTGGCCTTCCCAGACATGATGGTGGGTCAAGCTTTTACAGAAGACGGGGGGTGTTGGGAGGTCCTGACTACAGAATCCATGCCCTTTCTACTGCATGAGCTGTCCCTGTGAGCACAGGCCTTACAATGACTTAATGGCATTAATAGTGACAATAATAATAAGACAGCTATTGTGAATTGAGTGCCTATTGTTTTCCAGGTATAAGTGCTGGGTGCTTTTCATTCCTATGTCATTCACAAGCCTGAGAAGCAGGTACTAGGTACCTGTGGGTACTGATGAAGAGGCTGAGCCACACGGAGGTTAAGTAATTGGCCCCAGAACACATAGCTCCTAAGTGGCAGAGCTGGAAACTGATGTCTTTTTGACTGTCCCCAAGATACCTGGCTCATCCTCTCTGGTCCTTTTGCCCCAGCACAGGTTCCTCTAGGGATCCAGGAATGCACATGGGCAGCAGCAATTCTCCCCTAAGCTAGACCTGACCTAGCTCCAAAAGGCCCCTGAACTAAGGCAGGCTGTTTCCTGGTTCAGCCAGCTCCCCGCACACACAGCAGGGCCCCATCCTGCTGATCATGGTCCTGATCACAAATGGCTCGTCCTGACTCTCTACAGCCCACTTTCTGCCTCATGCTCTGCAGGGGCCACCTAGCCTCACTTCTTGCTGCTCACACTTTGGATATGATGTCAGAGCAGCTTATCTGGCTCTGACCTTGACTGCCTCCTTGACCACAATCCCAGCCTATGCTGGGCTATGCTGTCTTACAGTGGCTCACAGTAACAGCTCCCGTGTATGGTGCCTTTCCTTCAGCAGCCCAGGCCTCAGAGCACGGCACGCAGGGAGGCATCAAGGAGCTGTGCTCAGGGCCAAGGGTAGCATCTTGGGTCCAGCAGACCTGAGTTTGAGTCTCTTTCTTGAAATGAATTAAGCTATGCTTGAGCAAGCCACTTACCCTCTGAGCCTCAGGTTCTTTGTCTATAAAAAGAGATAACAATAGTACCTACTTTATAAGGTTATTACGCCATTAATTGCAAAGCTTTCTCCTGAGCATCGTGCTTTTCTCTTTCTTCCCCACCACCTTCCTGATGCATCAGCCCATACAGAAAGGCATGGCAGTGAGTTTCCTACCCTTTCCTTCCAGAACCCAGCTCCCTTGGGGCTCGGCTACATTCCAAGAAAGGAAAAAGATGGTCAAGAACACTGAACTAGGCCAGGCGCAGTGGCTTATGCCTGTAATCCCAGCATTTTGGGAGGCTGAGGCAGGTGGATCACCTGAGGTCAGGAGTTTGAGACCAGCCTAGTCCAACATGGTGAAACCTCGTCTCTACTAAAAATACAAAAATTAGCCAGGCATGGTGGTGGGTGCCTGTAGTCCCAGCTACTCCGGAGGCTGAGACAGGAGAATCGCATGAACCTGGGAGGCAGAGGTTGCAGTGAGCCGAGATCGCACCACTGTACTCCAGCCTGGGAGACAGAGTAAGAAAAAAAGGAACACTGAACTAGAATACTGGGAGCAAGAACATTATGTGGAATTGCCAAAAGTTGATGAGACGGATCAGCCAAGGTCATGCCGAGGACTAAACAGAACCACCAGGAGGTTGAGTAACTGGCTCTGTTCAACCAACAAGTTGCCTTTCTTCCCTCTCTGGGCTTCCTCAGTAAAATAAGGATAATTAAATCCAAGGACTCCAAGTGGCACAGCCTATGCATGGAGACACAGTCCAGGGAAACACAAGTCACACTCAACACTTTGAGTAATAATCAAGACATCTGCTATAGGTTTTCTTAACAGGGCCTCCTCAGGGTCTTGGTACAGAAAGCATGCCAAAATTCTCCCAGCCCTGTTCACTCATTAATTATTTGTTGAGGAAACATTAACATATACTATGTAGCAACTATTCTGCTAGCTATTAGAGATAAAACCTCAAGGCTGGGCGCGGTGGCTCACGCCTGTAATCCCAGCACTTTGGGAGGCCTAGGCGGGAGGATCATGAGGTCAGGAGGTCAAAACCATGCTAGCTAACATGGTGAAATCTTGTCTCTACTAAAAAAAAAAAAAATTAGCCAGGCATGGTGGCGCATGCCTATAATCCCAGCTACTCAGGAGGCTGATGCAGGAGAATCACTTGAACCTGGGAGGTAGAGGTTACAGTGAGCTGAGATTGCACCACTGTACTCCAGCCTGAGTAACAGAGCAAGACTCTGTCTCAAAAAAAAAAAAAAAAAAAAAAAAAAAAAACTCAAATGAGACATTCTCAGTCCTCAGCAAGATTACAGAATACAGGACAGCAAACAAGTGAATAAGCAGTTAGAATGCCATGTAATAGGTGCCCTATTGGAGGTAAGAACAAGAAAGGGAAATGAGGAGCACCTTACCTACCCTGGGCGGCTAGACACTCTTATCCATTTATCGAACTGACAAACACTTATTGACCACCTGTTTGTGCCAGACGACCATAAAAGAAGTTCCTGGCTCTCCAAAAAGACGATATTGACATGAGTTTCAAAGGACTGCCAACACTACTAGAATAAGGGGATCATAACCAGCACCAAAGCAAAGAGAAATGCAATAGCATGGAGCTTCTGTAGTGTAACCTGATGGAATCCAAGGACTTGCATGGCTCAGACTACCATGGAGACACAGTCAAGGGAAACACAAGTCACACTCTTGACACCCTGAGTAATAATCAAGACATCTAGCCTAAGTTTTCTTAAAAGGGCCTTCTTAGGGTCTTTGCACAGAAAGCATGCCAAAATTCTCTCTAAATACCTTCCTCTCTCCCAGAAATTCCAGGATGCCTTTAAAAATCTCTCCCATTTGCTCCACATCTGGTTCCCTCATTGCCATGCTTGTCTAGTCCCAATCCTCTTCCAATCACCCCTTATAAAGCCAGCAGTTCCTTCAAATATTCAGGAATCGTGCCGTATATTAGTTTCCTAGGGCTACCATAACAAAGCACAACAAATTGGGTGGCTCAGAACAACAGATTTTATTGTCTCACAGATCTGGAGTCTAGAAATCCAAACTCAAGGTGTTGGTGTGTCCTCTCCAAAGGCTCTAGGGAAGAATCCTTCCTTGCCTCTGCCAGCTTCTGGTGGTTGCCGGAAACCCTTGGCATTCCCCAGCTTGTAGACGCATCAGTCCAATCTCTGCCTCTGTGGATCATAACATCCCCATGTGTCTCTCTCTTGTCTTCTTATAAGAACACGAGTCATAGTGAATTAAGAACCCACTCTACCTCAGTATAATCTCCTCATATTATAACTTAGCTAATTACATCTACAACAACTCTATTTCCAAATGAGGTCGTATTCTGATCCACGAAGAGTTAAAACTTCAATGTATTTTTTGGAGGGACACAAGTCAACCCATAACAGTTGCAGATCTCAGATCTGAGTTTCAGTCTCTGTCTTGAAATGAACCAAGCCATGCTTGGGCAAGCCACTTACCCTGTGAGATCAGATTCTTTGTCTATAAAAAGAAATAACACGAGTACCTACTTTATAAGGTTATTATGGCATTATTTGCAAAGCTTTCTCCTGATCTTCAGGGAAGATTTGTGTTGGTCTTCAGGGAAAACAGATTTGTGTTGATCTTTAGGGAAGCCATGGCCATATTTTTCTCATCAGTTCTGATGTGCTTCATTAACCATGAAATCTCTGGGAGCAATTTAGAGTGCAATTGAAGTTCAATTTTTTAAAAATATTTAACCACAAATCACTCTTCCTTCCAAGCTTCTAAATGTCATTGAAGGATGATAATCCTCCAGTAGACAATTTTTCCATAGTAGGTTTCCCAGTCTGACTGTGAAGAAAAAACACTTCTCTCCTGCTCACTGGCGTGTGGTTATATCCTCAGCACATACAGCCTAGACACTATCCATATTGACATGCACTCATTCTGGTGAAATGAGGCACATAGCATTTGGAGTGTGGGCCCTATGACCTCTCATGTAGACACTGGCAGATCTCTAACTTCTAAGGCTCTCAATCCCTCTGTTCTTTCTGTGGAATGTTCACACATTCAATTCCACAAGTATTGAGTGCCTAGTATGTATCGGATACTGTTCTTGATAATGAAAGTACAGTAGTAAACAAAACAGACTAAAAGCCTTATCTTCATCAGGCTGATATTCTTGGGAGAGAAACATGCAATAAACCAAAAAGATGGAAAATCATTCAGCATTCTGATGGTATAAGCACTACTGAGAAAATTAAGTAGGGTAGAGAGGTATAGGCTGCTGGGAGTTATAATTGTAAATAGGGAGGTCTCACTGAGAAGATAACATTTGAGCAAAGATCTGAAGGAGGTGCAAGTCAAGTAGCTATCTGGGAGAACATTCTAGAAAAAGAGAACAACATACACCAAGACTCTGAGGTAGGAGCATGCTTGAAATGTTTATGGAGCAGCAAGGCGAACAATTCAACGAGAGTGGAGTATGTGAGGGAGAGGGCAGTAGCAGGTAAGAGCAGAGAGGTGACAGGGATAAAGATGTTGGCTGATTTTCCAGGGCCTCGTAAGCCATTGTAAGGATTCAGGCATGTTCTAAACAGGTCTCAAAAGTTTATTCCAGGAATGATATTTTCTGTAAATTGCTCAATTTTCTGGTAGAAACCAGCTCATGACAGTTATTCTAAAGCCTACATGATCACAAGTATCATGGTAGAAACCAAGATCCAGCAGATCTGGTCTCAGATGGTGGAGCAGGACAGCAGCCTGAAACCTTCCAAGCAGGTCTGACAATTGACCTTCTCATGATCCAAACAGATTATTGATTTCTTAAGGCACTAATTATCATGGAGGTTGGGATAAAAATCTAATTTCCATTTGCAACTTCTTATGGGATGTATCAGGATAGGCTAGGTTATTATAACAACAATAATTCATGGCTCGAAAAATATTGAAGTGTTTCTCTTTCTCATGTAACAGTTCCAAGGTGAGTAGCATTTTAGGCCAATGGGTGGTTCTGCTTCACAGAGTCATTCAGGGACCCAGACTGACAGCAACTCTCCAGAGTTGTTCTAGTTGTCACCATTCCCACCAACAGGAGGGGAAGAAAGCATGCAAGTCCAGACTAGGGAATCCCTCTTAAGCAAATGAGGTGGAAGTAACATACATCTCTTCTACTCACATTCCATTGTCAAGAACTACATGGCCCCACTCAGTACAAGGTCATCAGGGAAATGTGCTATTTACTATGGAAGAAGGGGTGAATGAATTTAGGTGAACAGTAGGTCTCTCCTTTAGATTTTCCTAAAGGGACTTTACACAGCATGCCACAAAGTACCAGAAGTCTCTCTAGATGGCCCCTTGCACATTCCTCCACCTCACACCCCCTTGCTTCTTCCTTTACCTTTGTCCCTCCTCCATCTCCTCCCAACACACATACCATGCAGGCCCCCTTCCCAACTAAAACGGACCACCAGGCTTGCTGGCCATGCTGGGCCACTCTGAGACAGCTGTAGGACCCGGAGATTCCATCCACCACCATTCTCCCTCACTTCCAACTGAGGAAAGTGAGAAAGAGCTCCCTGGAATGTTTGGTTCTTCACCTTTTGGAATGTTTTGCTTCCAAAACATTCTTGTGAGGCATTTCTATTGAATTAAATTCTCCACTTCATCGCACAAGTAATTCAGATGGCTGGAGCAAAGGGTGCATGTTGGGGATTAGCAGATTAGACCAGACAGGTAGGCAGGGGCCAGAGCATGGAGGGCCTCATAAACCCATGTTAATGGGGCATTATCTTTACCGAAAGGGCAAGGAGAAGCCAGTGAGCACTTTAGGCAAGACAGGCACCTGATTTGAGTGGCGTTTTAGCCCTTCAGGTTATCAGGGAAAGAATGGCTAGGAAGGGATGAGGCCGAAGTCCAGTAGACCTGTCAAGAGGTTGCTGCAGCAGCCTCATCTGGGCCTCAGGTTCTTTATCTGTAAAATAGCATGATATTAGCACCTACATAATAAGGTTATTGTGAAGATTAAAGTTAAAACATGGAAAGAGCTTAGAACAGTGCCCAGTACCTAGAACACCCTCAATAAATATCAGTTGTCATTATTAATCTAAGTGCAAGATGATGAGGCCTACACTAAGGCAGTAGTATTGGAAATAGAAGAATCCAGATTCAAGAAATATCAAAAAGCTAGAATCTTGAAGATCAAGTGATTGTGGAGTAGGAGAGGGAGGAAGGAATCAAGAGGGTTATCAGCATGATCTCATTTATATATGGTATCTTTAAAAAAAAGTCCAATTCACAGAAGTAGAGAGTAGAATGATGGTTACCAAAAGCTCGGGGGGAAGGGGCTGGGGAAAGGAATGGGGAGTTACTGATCAAAGGGTACAAAGTTTCAGCTAGATGGGTGGAATACGTTTTGAGATCTGTTTCACAGCATGATGGCTACAGTCAAGAATAATGATGTATTGTTTATTTCACCATAACTAGAAGGGTGACTTTCAAAAGTATCACCACAAAAAATGTCAAGTAAATGAAGTGATGTTAATTAGCTTGATTTAATCACTTCACATTGCATACATATATCAAAACACCACATTGTTTTCATATATGTAATATAATTATGATTTGCCAATTAAAAATGATATAATTTTTTTTAAATAAAAATAAAAAAGAGGCTGGATGTGGTGACTCACATCTGTAATTCCAGTATTTTGGGAGGCCAAGACAGGCAGATCACTTGAGGCCAGGAGTTAGAGACCAGCCTGGGCAACATAGTGAGCTCCTGTCTATATACAAAATCCAAAATTAGCCAGGTGTGGTCATGCACACCTGTAGTCCCAGTTACTTAGGAGGATGGCTTTAGCCCAGGAGACTGAGGCTTCATTGAGCCATGATCATGCCACTGTAGTCAGCCTGGGTGACAGAGTGAGACCCTGTCTCAAAAAAAAATTAATTTAATTAATTAATTAATTAAAAAGAGAAGGTTACCAGTCCCTGAGATTGGGACTTTAATGAGAAGTGGGGTGATAAGTCCCATTGAATCTGGGATGTGCCTGTGACTCTATCCAGGCAGAGTTCTCAAGTGGGACCACTGAATCTACTCCTCTGTGGGTCAGAAGATAGGTTGGGCTGGAGTTGTAGATTTGGAATCTTCAGTATAAAATAGGAATTGAAGCCGCAGGAACAGATGGCATCGCCTGGGGAAAGTGGAGAGAGAGGAGGATTCAGGAAGAGCCCTGGGAAAGCTTCAAGGACTAGGCAGAGAGAAACGAGCTGTGAAGGAGACGAGGAGTGCAGAACAGCAGGAAGCCTGACGGAGGGCGAGATCAGCAGCATCCACATCTGCCAGAGGGCAAGCCAGGCCAGGATTAGGGACGTTCCATTGTGCGCCGTAAAAATGAAACTTCAGTGACCTTGATAAGCACAGATTCAGTGGATGGGTTGGGGGCAGAAGTGAGACATGAAAAGGAGATGAGGATGGAGTGACAGCAAGTACAGCTCCTCGTTCAAAGGATTTGGCTTTGAAGGGAAGAGAGAAATGGAGTGAATGAGGAAAGGAAAGAGGTTTTAAGATGGAGAGATTTGGACACACCTAAATACTGATGAGGAGGAGCAGAGAGAGAGAGAGACTGGATCTGCAGGATGAAGAGAGGTGGCAAGGATAGAGGAACGTCCCTGTAGAGGAGAGAAGGCAAGGTCAAGGGGGTACGCAGAGGGACTGGCCTGGGCTATGTGAGGGGCAGGGAGGAGGCAAACAGGGAAGCAGGCAACTTGGAGAGGAGGAAGCAGTTGAGGCCAGACCTGGATGTGGTAGCTGAGTGGACTTTGAGAGCCATATGACAGGCCACACATGCCTGAGGGATGCAGGTCAGGGGCCGAAGAGCCACAGACAAACCCAAGGAGCTCCGAGCCGGGCTGAAAAAGGAAACGGTCCTTGGGAGGTAGGGGCAAAGTCAGGGCGCTGGGAGAGGAAGCCCACATGTATGAGGCCACAGGCTGAGCATGGCTGAGCAGGCTGTCTACACTGAGTTAGGCTAGCCCTACCTTTCTCTTGTGCAGTGGGACTTGGTGTGCAACTCCAACAAACTGAAGGAGATGGCCCAGTCTATCTTCATGGCAGGTATACTGATTGGAGGGCTCGTGCTTGGAGACCTGTCTGACAGGTGAGACATGGGGGCACAGCCCATGGAAGCATGACCCATGGGGACAACCCTTCCCTACTCTGCTCCACCCGTGCACCCGCAAAGAGGCAAAGAGCTGGGGGAGGGTGGGATGGCTCTTGCTGTGTGGCCTTGGGCAAACCTCACTACCTTTCTGGACCACAGCCTTCTCTCCACCCCAAAGCCCTTACAACTGGAATCTTCCAGCCTTCCTTTTTTTTTTTTTTTTTTTTCTCTTAAGACGGAGTCTCACTCTTATTGCCCAGGCTGGAGTGCGATGGCACAATCTCAGCTCACTGCAACCTCCACCTCCCGGATTCAAGTGATTCTCCTGCCTCAGCCACCCGAGTAGCTGGGATTACAGGCGTGTGTCACCACGCCTGGCTAATTTTTGTATTTTTAGTAGAGACGAGGTTTCACCATGTTGGTCAGGCTGGTCTCAAACTCCTGACCTCAAGTGACCCTCCCATCTTGGCCTCCCAAAGTGCCGGGATTACAGGCATGAACCACCGTGTCTGGCCTCCAGCCTTCCCTTCTTCCAGGGGAAAAAACCTCCAGGTTTTGGGACACAGCGTAGTGGCTGTGTAGCAGTGGAGGCAGAGGAGATGGACTGCTTAGAGATGGGCGGTCCTTTGACCCCTGCTCAGTCAGCTAAGCTGAGGCGGATGTAGAGGAGATCACTCATTAACTCAAACCTCTAATTGCAAACTTGTCAAAAATAGCAATTACCAAGAAAGCTGTGTCTGGGGAGGGAGCTTTATGTGCCCAACAGGGAAAGGTTGGGGGTCGGATTCAGCCCTTTGCCCCACAGCATGCAGAGTCACTCCTCTTGGCAGGCACACTGTGGCTAACCTGGCCCCTCCTCTCCTTCGAGCTACAGGTTTGGCCGCAGGCCCATCCTGACCTGCAGCTACCTGCTGCTGGCAGCCAGCGGCTCCGGTGCAGCCTTCAGCCCCACCTTCCCCATCTACATGGTCTTCCGCTTCCTGTGTGGCTTTGGCATCTCAGGCATTACCCTGAGCACCGTCATCTTGAGTGAGCTGCAGTGGGGCATGGAGCTGGGCTTTGGGGAGCACCATCCAGAAGCCAAAAGAGAATGGGGTCTGGGTCTGGCTCAACCACAGGCTCCCTGTGACCTTGGTCAAGGTGCCACCCCCTCTCAGGACCTCAGAGGCCTCACTTAAATTTAAAAATGACAACAAGCATAGTAATAGCAGCTGTCAATACTGAGGACTTACCCTGGACCTGACACTCTGCTAGGTACACAATCTCATTCAATACCACTTGCAAGTAAGTGACACTATTATTCCCATTTTACAGATCAGGAAACTGAGGCAGAACAAGGAAAGTCACTTGCCACTGGAGAAGCAGTGGTTAAGAGCATGAGTTTGGAAACAGACACACCTAGGTTTGAGTCCTATCGCCTTGAGCCTCAGCTGTGGCATCTGTAAAATGGGGATGATGAACTTAGGGTCAGCATCAGAACAGCAGGAAGACCCAACGGAGGGCGATATCAACAGCATCCGTGGGGAGGATGTCAGTAGCCGTGGGGATGCAGAAGCTGGTGCCCCTTCACGCGGAGGTGCCTGGGACCTAGCAGAACACTAATCTGGTGCTTGGACTCCTCCCACAGATGTGGAATGGGTGCCTACCCGGATGCGGGCCATCATGTCGACAGCACTCGGGTACTGCTACACCTTTGGCCAGTTCATTCTGCCCGGCCTGGCCTACGCCATCCCCCAGTGGCGTTGGCTGCAGTTAACTGTGTCCATTCCCTTCTTCGTCTTCTTCCTATCATCCTGGTATGTGGCCCTCTCCTCTTCATCTGTTTCCTTAGGTGCCCCAGGGCCAAACAGGGGAGCCCATACCTGCCCAGGCTGGCCAACTCTGTGTCCCCGGGCACCCAGTCCCAGAGTCAGGGAAGGGCACTCCAGGGAGGAGGAACTACATAAACAAATGCATGCTGCAGGAGAGAGCAGGGATGGGGGCACGTGGGGAAGGAGGGCCTGCCTGCAGCTGAAGAAGAGGGTAAGTGGAGGTGGACGGGATGGAGACTGGCTGGGAGAGCACAGAAAGCTGGGGGGCCTGGACTTCATATGGAGGGAGGTAGAAAGCCACAGAAAGAGTCTATGGTGCTACAGGCCTGATCAAGTTTCCATTTGTGAAATAATAGCCCAGAAGGACAGACCCAACTGAGTGGGGACAATAGACAGATGGGAGGGGATGGTGCTGGGAGGAAGATTCGGGGAGACTAATCTGGGATATATCTTGAAGGAAGAATCTGGAGAATTGGGGACTGCTGGAGTCGAAGTACAAAGGAAAGTTTAAAGAGAAGCCTGAGCCTGGGAACCTGGGAAAATGGAGGTGCCTGGGTCAGAGACCCAGAGTGGGCAGAGAGCTCATTACCAACATGTTGAACCCGAGGCCACACTGAAAGACAGGAAATGGGTCTTTAGAAGGTAGTCAGAGCTGGCCGGGCACGGTGGCTCACACCTGTAATCCTAGCACTTTGGGAGGCCAAGGCAGGGAGATCACTTGAGGTCAGGAGTTTGAGACCAGCCTGGCCAACATGGTGAAACCCCATCTCTACTAAAAATACAAAAATTAGCCGTGCATGGTGGCGCATGCCTGTAATCCCAGCTACTCAGGAGGCCGAGGCAGGAGAATCACTTGAACCTGAGAGGTGAAGGTTGCAGGGAGCCAAGGTCACGCCACTGCACTCCAGCCTGGGCAACAAAAGCAAAACTTCGTCTCAAAAAAAAAGGTAGTCAGAGCCAAAGAGCAGGAAATCCCACAGGCGCTCAGGAAAAGAAGTGAAGTCTTGGAGCGACCTTTTATTGAGCATCTGCTATGTGCACAGCCCGTTTTGGGCATCAACCTACGTCGTCTCTGATCCTCATGGCTTCTCTGTGTGAGGGAGACATTATTGTCCCCATTTTGCAGATGAGGAAACTGAGGCTCAGAGATGTGAAGCAGTTCCTCAAAGTTACACAAAAAGATGCAAAGCTGGGATGGAACCTCAGCTCGGAAATGAGAATAGCAGCTCCCAGAGGGGATGGGCAACCTAGGCGTGAGAGCACTCAGAGTCAGGAGGCAAAATAAGGGTGGGCGATCAGCAGAGCACAGTTGAGAGCTTGGGCCAGTTCACTGTGTGACTTGGGGCAAGTCTCATGCCCTCTGAGCATCAAGATTTTTCTAGGTGGCTGGGTGCAGTGGCTCACGGCTGTAATCCCAGCACTTTGGGAGGCTGAGGGGCGGATCGCGGGGTCAGGAGTTTCAGACCAGCCTGGCCAACACAGTGAAACCCCGTCTCTACTAAAAACACAAAAAATTAGCCGGGTGTGGTGATGCGTGCCTGTAATCCCAGCTACTTGGGAGGCTGAGGCAGGAAAATCACTTGAACCCGGGAGGTGGAGGTTGCAGTGAGCAGAGATCATGCCATTGCACTCCAGCCCAGGCGATAGTGCGAGGCTCCATTTCAAAAACAGGAAAAAAAAGAAAAATATTTTTCTAGGTAAAATGAAGATAATGTTGCCTGTCACCCAGAGTTTCATGGGCCTGGTACACAGGAAGGCTCACTAACTGTAAGCCATTCCTGCCATAATTCTCGGGAAGAGGAGGATAGAGTGCCAGGCCCTTGCCATGGTTTTGGGAGGAAGTCACTGATAATCTTGGTAAGAGCAGGCTCAGAAGACCATCAGGGCAGGAGGAGTGATGGGCCCAGGAAGCTGCCACCATCAGCTGGGGCAGTGGCCTGAGGCCAGGCAACCAATGTCCACTCCCTGAGGGCCTCACCGGATCCAGGTCACCCACAGGGGCTACAGCTAAAGCTGATCCTGCCTTGGACCAGACTTCTCCAAACACCACTCCTTTCTCCCCACATCTCAACCTCTTCCTTTCCTCTTATCCTGGTGACCCTCAGGAACTGCTCAGAATGAGCCAATCTCAAAAGCATAGCCTGGGGGCAAGGGAGAGTGGGGGTGACTGCCTATTTGCCAATCCCAAGACCCCATGCTGTGCTCACTCCCTCCCCACAACTCCCCCAGCAGAGTTAGTCCTTTGCAGGGAGAATCTGAAGGTCCCAAAGCCTAGTCCCTGACCTCACCTTAGCCTCCATCCCCCTCCCAAGCTGCCCTGTGGCTGCAGCCCTGCCCTTTCTTCTCCAGAGAGACTGGGAATGCAGCCCAAGGAAGGCTGGGGAGGTGGATGTGCAGGACCCTCCAGCAGCAGTCCAGCCTTGAACATGCCATCCCCTCCCCCAGCCCCACCTGCCTTGGCCTAGAGCCTGGGGCTCCTAGTTAAGGAAGACACCCAACAATAACAAGTGGCCCAGGTCGGGGGCAGAGGAAAGTGTCTTCTGGAAGGGGAAGAAGAGAACACTGGAATTTGTGCTGGCTGCAGGCAGCCCAGGGGCAGAGTTTGTCCAAGTTTAAATTCCATGAAATCTGCAGTGAGATAGCTCAGGTTTCTGGTCCTCCTACCCCTTGGCCCTGGCTGTTGATGTTCTTCCAGCCTCTCAAAAGGGGCTCTGGAGTGGGAGGAGCCACTGTGACTGGTCTCTGGCCCCCAGGTGGACACCAGAGTCCATACGCTGGTTGGTCTTGTCTGGAAAGTCCTCGAAGGCCCTGAAGATACTCCGGCGGGTGGCTGTCTTCAATGGCAAGAAGGAAGAGGGAGAAAGGCTCAGCTTGGAGGTAGGGGCTGAGGACTATAGTCTGGGAGCAGAACCCCTGTGCTCCACTCTTGGGCTGGCCCCTCCCCTTGCCTCTGTTCCCCTGGCTCACAGCCTATACCACATCTGATTCCCTGAGCTCCTCTAGAGGCACCACGCCTGCATCTCCCTCTCTTCGTCCTGCCCACTAGCTGGTCATTAATGGCACCCCTCCCCCTCCTCTGCCCGAAGGAGCTCAAACTCAACCTGCAGAAGGAGATCTCCTTGGCCAAGGCCAAGTACACCGCAAGTGACCTGTTCCGGATACCCATGCTGCGCCGCATGACCTTCTGTCTTTCCCTGGCCTGGTAACCCCCCTCTCCCTGCCCACACCCTGCCAAGGAAGGGGTGATAGACAAGGCCTCCAGTAGGCTCACTTAAGGGCAAGGCCTAGGGCATCTGAAAGAGAAGTCAGAGAATCCCCTCTCCTGGGCCACCACAGCCCAGCCCCAACCCCAGAAATCTGCTGCATTCCTGCCCCACACCCAGGTCCAGCCATCAGGGTCTGCTTCCCTCTGGGGTCACAATGCCCCACCCCTCACCCACAGGACAAATGTTCCAGGCCCCTTCCCCAGCTCACATCCCTGCCGCTCAGTGTCCCCATGCTCTCCCTCTCTGTCACTGCCCCCCTCTGGGTCAGCTCTGCCCTCTGGAACCCCACAGAGCAAGGCTAGACCAATGGGTTTCAGACTCGAAGACAAAAATTATGTTTATCTCAAGTTTTCTCCTCTGTCTGACTTTCTCCTGCTCCCTGAAAGCCCTTTCTGTGACCTGGTTTCTGCTTCCCATCCTGGCCATTTCTTTGTGAATAGGATTCAATTTGTCCAGGAACCCTTCAAAGGGATCCCACAGTTCAGAGAGAGGAAGGGAAACATCTGACCCAGGCATACAGCTCAATGCTCACCTCGCCAGTCTGGATGTTAAACTGCTGCCCAACCAGGAGAGATCATTTACTGCCTCCTTTGGTCTCCGAGATTCCCTCCAGTCCTGATCTTCTCTAGAGTCAGTTATTGGCACCTTTGCCACCACACCCTGGACCATGCCCACGTCAGACATGACCAGTCAATCACAGCACTTTCTCCCTGAGCCCAGACACGATCTCAGAAACCTCAAAAGGACACTCAAGCAGCCCCTATCATCAGTTGCAGTTGGCACAAGAAGTGAAGCTATTCATCATCCTGGTGACCCAATGACCAGCATGGGGAGTGGCCTCTGCCTGGCTGCAGGTGCTAACCAATCCTTCTCTGCCTCTCAGGTTTGCTACCGGTTTTGCCTACTATAGTTTGGCTATGGGTGTGGAAGAATTTGGAGTCAACCTCTACATCCTCCAGATCATCTTTGGTGGGGTCGATGTCCCAGCCAAGTTCATCACCATCCTCTCCTTAAGCTACCTGGGCCGGCATACCACTCAGGCCGCTGCCCTGCTCCTGGCAGGAGGGGCCATCTTGGCTCTCACCTTTGTGCCCTTGGGTGAGAGACTGGGGCTACCCCAGAACCCTCTGGAAGAGGCTGCCAGGTTGGGTGCCAGGGACTTCACTGCTGGCTCTGCCTCTAAGTCACTGTGTTACCTTGAGCAGGTCCCTGCACTCTCTGGGGCTCAGGGTCTCTCTTCTAGAAAATAACGCAATTGGGCTAGATGACATGAAAGCTCCTTTCCAGATCTGACTTGGACTGGGCAAAAAGTATGGTGGTATCTGGATAGTGTGAAAATTTTTGAGGTATTGAGAGTGTCCTGAGTGACATCACTGTAGAGATAAGCTGAGATGGTAAAACGACAGAGCTCATGCTCAAGAAAGACCCCACAACCTACTCCATCATGACCTTGGAAAAGCTACGTTTATTTTATATGGGTGTTAGTTGGTTGATAACACCTATACCCTTCCAAAAGAACTTGAGGTATTTTAAGACAAGAACAAGAACATATACAACAAAATATAAATGGAAATAGAGGATCAGAGGCAGGGGAAAACACAAACATAGCAGGACACAGGCATGCAAAGCATTACTCAGCTTTAAGTTTGGATCTGAGCTTCTTGGAAGCCAAAGCAAAAAGGGAGACAAGATCAGCTAAGGAGTGAGAACTCTTAGGTGCTCCTGAACTCCAAGGCCCACCACATTTTCTTCCCTCTGCAGACTTGCAGACCGTGAGGACAGTATTGGCTGTGTTTGGGAAGGGATGCCTATCCAGCTCCTTCAGCTGCCTCTTCCTCTACACAAGTGAATTATACCCCACAGTCATCAGGTAGGTGCTGGACCTGGGGCCAGGCCCAGCCAGAGGACACAGGTCAGGTGGGACTGTGGCATTGTCCTGTCCTCTACCCAGGGGAGCCATCCTTTATGAACCCCACACACAGGCTACCAATCCCTACTCTGAACCCTCGCAGGCAAACAGGTATGGGCGTAAGTAACCTGTGGACCCGCGTGGGAAGCATGGTGTCCCCGCTGGTGAAAATCACGGGTGAGGTACAGCCCTTCATCCCCAATATCATCTACGGGATCACCGCCCTCCTCGGGGGCAGTGCTGCCCTCTTCCTGCCTGAGACCCTGAATCAGCCCTTGCCAGAGACTATCGAAGACCTGGAAAACTGGTCAGTCACTGCCTCTGGCCCCATCAGTGCTCCTCCCTGGGGAAGCAGGTCTGGGCCCAGGGCTTTTCCTTAGCTCTCTGTCCCTAGGTCCCTGCGGGCAAAGAAGCCAAAGCAGGAGCCAGAGGTGGAAAAGGCCTCCCAGAGGATCCCTCTACAGCCTCACGGACCAGGCCTGGGCTCCAGCTGAGGACAACGGAACCCCCTTTCCCTGCCCTCCAGAGACTGATCCTAGCCAGGCACCTTAGGAGTATAGGGAGGCCCCATATAGGTCCATCCTCCTAGGATGAAGCCTTCTGAGAGCTTGGTGAAGGTGTCTCCATCACCACCACCAGAGCCTCCTGCCCAGCCCTGGCCAGTTCAAAGGTTCAGCCATCCCTGCCCTTGTTCTCCCTGCAACCCAGGCCCTGCCATTCTTCTGTCTAGCCCTTCCCCACTGGCCACCTTCCCCCACTGTCCCGGTCCTCTTCCCCTGAGGTCCCCTGATATCCCCTGGCTCAGTCCTAACAAGACTGAGTCTTAACAAGATGAGAAGTCCTCCCCTTCTTGCCTCCCACACTTTTCTTTGATGGGAGGTTTCAATAAACAGCGATAAGAACTCTAGCCATGATGTTCAGGAATGGGGGTGGGATGGGAGCTGGCCACCGTGTGGACACGTGAGCATGCACATCTGTCCATCCACACTTCATGTACGACAGGCCTGTGTACAGGCACCACAGGTACATGCAAGCTGGACTGATGTGAACATGAGCAAGCACATGTGAGTGCTCTGAGGTGTGTACACCACGCCTGTGCATGAAAATACATGTGTGTGTCTACACGTCCCAGCATGCATATGAGCAGATGACTGACCAAGCCCAGAGTGGCTGCAGACAGAAGCCAGAGCCCCTCCAATCCTGATTTCTTTCCCCTGATCACCCCAAATCTCTGATCTATGTCTCAGCCCCATGCCCAGCAGATAGTTTTTCTCGTGTTAACTGAGAAAACTGCAATGGTAGCTGACCGCTGTCAATATCAGAAAACTGCAATGGTAGCTGACCGCTGTCAATATCTGCTGCCATGTTCCCGGTTCCCTCCAGCCACAGCAGAACAGCCAATCCCTCCACCAGCAGCCATCCCTTTCCCTCTGGGGTCTCTGCCCATTCCCTCTGTCTTGGCTGCCGCCCATCACCAGTTAAACAAGCTTAGGCTTCTCCCAACTTAACAAAAATCAACACAAACACATGCCAGGATGTTGTATCTCCTTCCAAGGGCCACACTGGCTCTTTCTCCCCTTCGAAGCCAGACTTCATAAAGGAGCTGTCTGCCTCCCCTGTATCCACCTTCTAGCCTCATACATCTCCCCCACTGCACTCCGGCTCCTACCCCTTCCCTCCCTGGAACCGCTTTCACCAAGGACGCTCATCCCCTCCCTGTGCTGGATCCATAAGTCACTCTTCAGCCCTCCTCTTACTGGCCTTTTGGCAAATTTGGTCCTACTGGTCACTCTCTTCTTCCTTAGTTTCTGAGAGGCCACGTGTTTGCAGCTCCCCCCCACACACTGGCTACTCCTTCTCAGGCCCCTCTGCGGTATCCTATAAATGCTGCAGTGTTCACTTTGCCTATCCTGCCCCCACCCCTTTTCTAAGGATCTGCATCCCCGGAATCTGCCAACTGAACAGTTCCATAATCTGCCATCTCTGGTGGTGACCAACTAGACCACAGGGCACTCCAGATCCAAATCTCATTTATCACATACTCTCTCCTGGGCTAGGATTTGAGATCTTAAGAGGTTCTTATCCATCTCTTTGTCCTTGCCCTGGGAAGGCAGGTTAGCATGAGGCTAGGCTGGCCCAGATGCAGATAGAGCAGAGAAAGCCAGTTGCAGCAAGAGAATAAGGCAGACACACAGAGAAAAAGAGAACAAGAGACCACATGGGCCCAGATAAAAAGAGCTGGTGAGGCGACTTCCACTGGTTCTTAATGAATTCCAGGTCTCGGTTCCTCATCAGCCCTGGATGCGCTTTTTACCCCGGGGTTCTATTAAATATCCCTGAATTCTCCAAATAAATTCCCCTTTCTGTTTAAGCTAACTTGATGGGCTGCTCCTTGTAACCAAAGAGCTCCAAAAGCAGCTCCTCTCGCTCTACCATCTCTTCAACACTGATTTGCCCCAGGAATCTTTCCTAGGAACTCTTCCTGTAACATTCTTCCCCAGCACTGTCCAGTGGAAATAGAATGCAAGCCACATATGTAACTCCAAATCATCTAGTAGCCATTTTTAAAAAGCTAAAAGAAAACAGGTGAAATTAATTTTGAATATATTATGTACATAATATAATAATATTTGACCCACTATATTCAAATATTGCATTTCAGGATTAATCAATATTAACATTATTAATTAGATATTTTATAACCTTAAATTCAGACTAAGTCTTCAAATTCTGGTGTGTATGTTCCACTAGCAGCATATTTCAGTTTGGACTAGCTCAATTCAAGCACTCAGTAGTGGCTACTGGCTACCACCTTGGACAACTCAGACATACTGCAGGGCTTTAATTATCAGCCACAGAGCTAATTACTCTCAAATCTGTATTTAGATATTTGAGAGACAGCTTAATAAATGTGAAAGGGATGGTATTGTACCCCTGCGTCAACCTTCTGGTGACTTCCCACTGGGATAAAATCTAAAGTCTTTCACAAGGCCTGCCATGACCAGGCCCAACCTGCCTCAACAGCTTTGGTTTTTAACACTCTACCTCGTACCCAGAAATCCAGCCTCAACTGATCTTTTTCAGATCCTAGACTGCCCCTGCTCTTCACCATGCCCAGCACTTGGCTTCTCCCCATCCAACTCTACAGCACTTGGCTCATGCCAACTCATCCTTAAGGCCTAGCTTGGATGGATTCCTCTGAAAAGCCTTCTGTGACCACCCCTCAACTGCCCCAGAGCCTGGGTTGAGCACCCTGCTTATCAGACAATGAACTGTGATCACAGTTGTGTCTTAGTGGGTGTTTCCCTGGAAGCAGACTCAAGACAAGAATTTAAGTCCAAGTACCATAGATTATTTGGCAGGAGATCCTAGAAAGCACAAGTAGGGGAGTTAGGCGGTAAGTCAGGGAAGAGAATCAAGAGGCAAGAGGAAAGAGAATGAGAAGGGAAGAAGGTTCTCCCATCCTAGCCCATCTGTCATCCAGCCATGTGGGAAGCTGCTGGGACTGGCCATTTATGATCATGTTGGATGCAGGACTCCCCCCTTGCCAACCTGTAGATAACCTGGGGCTGGCGCCTAGGACCAGCCTTGTGCTACACTGCCCCCTGAGATCTGGCCCTTATGCTGAGAGTGCTATGGGGTTGGATGGGGAGAAGCCACCTAGTTTCTATCTTGGAACCTGGTTTCTACCTATAGAGTTTCTACTGTGGAGCCTAGGATCAGCTGACAACAGAGCCAGCAATGCTTCCCCTTAGTTTGACTGGGTCTCGACCTGGAGGGAGAAGGACTAGGCTCAGGGAGGAATACTGACCCCACTATGCCCCCATCTTTCAGTTGTCCGGAATTCCGAGTGGCTGCCAGGATGTCCTGGCCATGACTATTCCTGTGCTTCAGGGTGCTTATTGCAAGGACACACATGAAGGGAAGGGAAGACACCCAAGAAAATACTTTCCAGGTACATGGTCAGGACTTATGGTGAACTGAGATGTTGTTCAGGACAAACTGGCCACTCACAAGACCCGTTCTTCTTGCAATCCCCAAATCCCCATTCTGGATTCCTCCTTCTCTCCATTGCTGCTTATTCCTCTACAACCCCAGCTCCGCTTGCTTTTTCTACTCCCTCCCTTCTGTCTCTAAGCAGGGACTCCACCTGGCTCGGTACATGGAGATCCAATATGGAGCACCACTTTTGGGCAGAGTCCTCATGCTGCGTCAACTCATAGGTCACTGGCCTCATGTCCAGCCTTTATATGGAAGTCTTTGGATGAATTTCTAATTTCTGCACCATCCGTCAGCCAGGATAGTCAGGCCACAAGGCACAAAGCTCACAGTGTATCTCAGAATTCCTTACTCAGAATGTTGCGAGGGGCCTGGCAGACACTTGGAATCTGCTGGACCCTCCCCAAGTCAATCGTTTCAAACCCATGCTTAGGACATGTGATCTAAGTAAGAGTGTTTTATATGATCTGTAAATTATGTATTTGAAAAATCTCACAAAAGAATAAAAACAAAAATCACAGGTAGTCCCACACTTTAAATCCCAATTATAAAATGGAATAAAGTTATACAAAATCAGGACTTAATCCCAGAAAATCTGGGATATGTGATGGCTGCTGGCATGGTAGGAAGAACAATGGAGTCCAAAGAGTTGAGTTCCAGACTTGTTTGCTGTGTGATCATGGACAAATCCTTTGCCTGCTCTGGGCCTTGGTCTCCTTATGTGTACAATGAGACGTTTTTACCTGAGTGATGGCATTCAACTTAGATGGCATGTGGTTCTATGGCTCTGGGCCAATCAGAGATTCCCATATTTGACCCTTTCTCAGTGAGCATGACCAGAATTTAACTCTATATTCCAGTCAGCACAAGGAAGTCCCATTGTGAGGTTTTAGTGGCCCAGAAGGTTCCCCTAAGGGACAGTTCCTGGCTCTGAAAATCACTTGCTATGAGAGTATGCCCATCCAGAAACTCTCCATGAGCCAGGAGGCTGCTGGGGAATCCCTTGCCACTCAGATGATCCCAAGACCCAAACACAATTCCGGGCCCAGAGTCTGCAATGGAGTCTTTTCTAGACTCAGCCAGGCTCGGAGCTCGTCAGGCATTCAGGAGGGAGCTCTTCTCCAATGTGGGGTTGGCACAGGCTTAGAGAGGGAGGGTGCTTGTAGGGGCCCACTATCCCCTGCTGCCCTCAGCACTCCACCCACTCCCCCATGAGGGCACCAGGTCCTGGCAGGAGACTGGCCCCGCAGTCCCCAAGCTGTTTGTCCAGCTGTCCTCGCATCCCCAGACCACAGGACTCTTATGTATCTTGGCCTGGAGAATGTTGTCAGGCATCTGGACACCCACTGGGTCCCAGCCCAGAACCAACAACGGGTGGGAGGGGGAAGGCTGGGCTGAGTTACATACCTTTCTGGGCCTCCCCTTTTCTCTTTTGTACATATGAGCCCAGATAATTTCCAAAACCCTTTGGGCTGGGCAGTCTACACCTCAACAGCAGCAGTTAAGAACTCATCTTTGAAGTTAGACAGAATGGGTTTGAACCAATCAAAGATTTCATGGATCTCAGAGTCCTGATGAATGATAAATACCCTCCCAGCTTCATGCACAAGGCTGCAGTTTGCACGAACTGTACAACATTCACAAGGCATCTCGACCTCTAACAAGAGAAGTTGGACATCAGACTACATCCCTTCAACAGCAAGACGGAGATTTCTGCCCAGAAGAAGTGAGAAACATCCTTTCTTCTCATGACCCTTGGCATTGGCTCATTTGTATAGGGCCTGGAGTGCTTTCTGTAAAATGATGGAACCCTAATCATCCGTCGTGTTTAGACACATGCCAAGAGAATGATGAAGCTAGGTGGGGGGCAGTCAGCAGGAGCCAGATTACCTAGAGGGATAGTTAGGGACCCAAAATGGAAACACACCATAAAGGGCAAGGAAGAGTCCAGCATGGTAAGCCAAGCTCAACAGTCAAGTGAGGATATAGTGGAGAAGGGTGTTAGAGCAGACACAGGAAGATCAGTTTCCTGATTCAGCCACCCCAGTGGTGGAAGTGGCTGGGTGGGCCCAGGCGGGGAAAGAGCTGCAGGTCTTTGGAGGCCAGGCTATCCAGCTGTCCTCCAGCAGAACAAGGAGGAGGAGAATGTCTCTTCCTGGGGGTTCGTGGAAATATTTTGATAGGAGTCATCTTTCCTTGGCCAAGCAGGTATAGGATTGATTACTACACACACAAACTCTGCAACATCTTTTTTTTTTTTTCTTTTTTAATGGAGTCTCGCTCTGTCACCCAGGCTGGAGTGCAGTGGCGTGATCTTGGCTCACTGCTACCTCCACCTCCCAGGTTCAAGCAATTCTCCCACCTCAGCTTCTTGGAGCAGCAGGGATTACAGATGCGCACCACCTAATTTTTGTATTTTTAGTACAGACGGGATTTCACCATGTTAGTCAGGACGGTCTCAAACTCCTGACCTTGTGATCTGCCTGCCTCAGCCTCCCAAAGTGCTGGGATTACAGGCATGAGCCACCGCGCCCAGCCTGCAACATCTTTTAAGGTAGCGTTTCCCAATCTCAGCACCACTGACATTTGGGGGTCTAGATAATTCTTCATTGTGGGGGCCTGTCCTGTGCATTGCAGGATATTCAGCAGCATATCTCTACCCTCTAAAAGCCAGTAGCACCACCACCATCCTGAGTCATGACAACCAAAAATATCTCCAGACATTGCCAAGTGTCCCCTGGGGGGCAAAATCACCGCCAGTCAAAAATCACCGTTCTTAGGATAAGATATACTTAGGCATATTTTCTTTCTAAAATCAATGTGATAGTCCCACCTTTTCACCAGAAACAAATAAGAAGAGCCAGTAACCACTGAATTACAGGGCATATGAGCTACTTTAAGCTTCTTACCTATATTAGTTCATTTAATGCTCCAAAAACTCAAGGCAGCCAACATAGCTATTATCCCCATCTTGCAAATGAGGACACTGAGGTACAGAGGAGTTTAGTCACTTGCCCCTAGTTCCACAGCCAGTAAGTGTGGAGTGAGGATGTGGGTCCAAGTAGACTGACTCCAGAGTCCATGTTTTATATAATATGAAGTGCATAAGTTAATAACAAGAAGCTGCCATCTACTCTCTCTCACTGTCCTCAATCTGGGATCCAACCAACTGGATCCCATGGAAACCCATCAAATCAGAGCTCCACACTTCCCTGATCACATGTAACTCAGGAGCCAAAACTCTGTTGGAGGAATTCACGTGATTGTCTTAGAGTTGTGGCTAAAAACACAGTGAGTTCATGCTCATTGTTTTAAAAAATAACACTATGGCTGGGTGCGGTAGGTCACTCCTGTAATCTCAGCCATTTGGAAGGCTGAGGCAGGTGGATTGCTTGAGCCCAGGAGTTCAAGACCAGCCTGGGCAACATAGCAAAACCACATCTCTTAAAAATAAATAAATACATGTGTGCTGGTGCACACATGTAGTTCTAGCTACTCAGGAGGCTGAACTGGGAAGATAATCTGAGCCTGGAGAGGTCAAGGCTGCAGTGTGCCAAGATTGTGCCACTACACTCCAGGCTGGATGACAGAGTGAGACCCTATCTCAAAAATAAATTAAAGAGGCCAGGCATGGTGTCTCACGCCTATAATCCCAGCACTTTGGGAGGCTGAGATGGGCAGATCACCTGAAGTCAGGAGTTCGAGACCAGCCTGGCCAACATGGTGACACCCCATCTCTACTAAAAATAACAAAAATTAGCCAGGCGTGGTAGCACATGCCCATAATCCCAGCTACTCGGGAGGTTGAGGCATGATAATCACTTGAACCTGGGAGGCAGAGGTTGCAGTGAGCTGAGATTGCACCATTGCACTCCAGCCTGGGCAACAGAGTGAGACTGTGTCTCAAAAAGAAAGAGAAGAGAGGAGAAGAGAAGAGAAGAGGGGAGGAGAGGGGAGGGGAGCGAAGGGGAGGTGACAAAGGAGGGGAGGGGAGGGGAGAAGAGAAGAAAACAAGAAGAAAAGAAAAGAAAAAAGACACTATGGACAGAAGACAATATGACTAAGGGAAAAATCTGACCCTTGGAAGGGTCAGAAGAATCACTGGAAGAATCACCCGACATTGTGTATGACGTTGGTCTTAGGTCCCACTCCAAGAGCGGCCTCTGACTTCTGTTGTTTCTTCCAAATGAATAAAACCATGGTTCTATAAGATGTGAGCTGTCCCCAGAAGAACAAAGACTGGGGTTGTCACATTTAGCAAATAAAGATACAGGGTGCCCAGTCAAATTTGCATTTCAAATCAATGAAGAATTGCTTAGTATAAGTATGTCTCATGCAATATTAGAGACATACTCATACTTTTAAAAACTCTTCATTGACCTAAAATGCAAATTTGACTGGGCACCCTGTAATTTCCCTGGCAACCCTTCCCAAAAGCAGACTATTTGGATCTCATCCACTAAAAAGGGCAGAAACTCCTCAAGAGGCCACCACACTTCCCAGAGCCCAGTCTCCTTCCTAAAAGGAAGACAAATAGGTCCAATAGATCCCACTCTGGCCCCCCCTGCCCCCAGATGCCCCCCTAATACACCCCTCTCCCTGCTCCTATTCAGTCCACCCTCTCCTGCCCTTTATAACCACTTGGAGAAATTCCACTGACACAAGGAATCCTTGGAGGGTTAATCCTTCTGATACCAAGTCACACTTTAACTCATTCCCTCCAGGCCAAGGATTAAAAACTGCCCATGCAAGGGTCAGGTCTCCAGCAGACCCTGAAAGCTGAGCTGCCCTGACCCCCAAAGTGAGGAGAAGCTGCAAGGGAAAAGGGAGGGACAGATCAGGGAGACCGGGGAAGAAGGAGGAGCAGCCAAGGAGGCTGCTGTCCCCCCACAGAGCAGCTCGGACTCAGCTCCCGGAGCAACCCAGCTGCGGAGGCAACGGCAGTGCTGCTCCTCCAGCGAAGGACAGCAGGCAGGCAGACAGACAGAGGTCCTGGGACTGGAAGGCCTCAGCCCCCAGCCACTGGGCTGGGCCTGGCCCAATGGCCTTTAATGACCTCCTGCAGCAGGTGGGGGGTGTCGGCCGCTTCCAGCAGATCCAGGTCACCCTGGTGGTCCTCCCCCTGCTCCTGATGGCTTCTCACAACACCCTGCAGAACTTCACTGCTGCCATCCCTACCCACCACTGCCGCCCGCCTGCCGATGCCAACCTCAGCAAGAACGGGGGGCTGGAGGTCTGGCTGCCCCGGGACAGGCAGGGGCAGCCTGAGTCCTGCCTCCGCTTCACCTCCCCGCAGTGGGGACTGCCCTTTCTCAATGGCACAGAAGCCAATGGCACAGGGGCCACAGAGCCCTGCACCGATGGCTGGATCTATGACAACAGCACCTTCCCATCTACCATCGTGACTGAGGTGAGCACCTGGGGCTCCCCATCCAGGGGCCAAGATGGGAAGATGGGGGCCTTTGTTAAAAAAAAAAAAAAAGTACATGGAGAAATTAACTGCTGAGTTTTTTAACTGCTGAGTTAAAAAGAAAAATGCTCTCAGCTGTCAGGACCAGAGAGGCAAAGGGCAAAGTGCCGGAGGAAGAGGGTGACATGGACCCCAGAGGACCAGCTGAAGTGGGGGAAGGGGATTCTCTGAAGCCAGGCTCATCTCTGCCTGACCCTTGCTCCTCTCCCCACAGTGGGACCTTGTGTGCTCTCACAGGGCCCTACGCCAGCTGGCCCAGTCCTTGTACATGGTGGGGGTGCTGCTCGGAGCCATGGTGTTCGGCTACCTTGCAGACAGGTCAGTCCTGGGTAGGGTCAAGGGGCTGGGCTGGGCTGGGATTAGGGGCTCAGCTGGGCTCAGGGTGTCTAGGTGGGAGCTTGGCATTGCCAGCCGGCGCTGGTTTGAGGATCTACAGCACCAGCCTCATACTTCAGAGGTCCTCAAAAGGCCCCAGCCCAGGCATCATCCAGGGTGAGCCCTCCTCTCCTGGCTCAGCCTGACCCCCATCAGTCTCCAGGGCCCTGCTACAAGTCTCCCCTCCTCCCACAGGCTAGGCCGCCGGAAGGTACTCATCTTGAACTACCTGCAGACAGCTGTGTCAGGGACCTGCGCAGCCTTCGCACCCAACTTCCCCATCTACTGCGCCTTCCGGCTCCTCTCGGGCATGGCTCTGGCTGGCATCTCCCTCAACTGCATGACACTGAGTGAGAGATTCTTACCAGCCCACTCCCCTCCGGCCACCCAGCCCAGCAACCCCTTTCCAGCCTCCCCTCCCAGCCTGCCCCTCCTGAGCCCTGCCTGCCCTCCAGCCTCTCTCGGGTCTCACCTTCCTGCCAATAGAACAACCTTTTCTCAGGCTCATGCCGCCCTGACCCCTCATTTAAAAACAGGATTGCGGGCCAGGCGCAGTGGCTCACACCTGTAATCCCAGCACTTTCGGAGGCCGAGGCGGGCAGATCACGAGGTCAGGAGATCGAGACCATCCTGGCTAACATGGTGAAACCCCGTCTCTACTAAAAATACAAAAAATTAGCCAGGTGTGATGGCAGGCGCCTGTAGTCCCAGCTACTCGGGAGGCTGAGGCAGGAGAATGGCGTGAACCCGGGAGGCGGAGCTTTCAGTGAGCGGAGATTGCGCCACTGCACTCCAGCCTGGGCAATAGAGCGAGACTCTGTCTCAAAAAAAAAAAAAAAGCAGGATTGCAAACTCCATTGTTAGAGCCAGCAGATCATGTAAGACGGCCAGGTGCAGGAGGCATTAGGGAATGGTGAGAACTGTATTCAAAGGAGAGACACCTTCATCCAGAGACACTACAGGCATGCAGCTGCTCCAGGCAGGAGATCCTAGGGCTGTCATAGCTTCCCCCTCCTCTTTGATTAATGTAAAATAACCCAGTTTTTTTTCATGTTTGCAATTAACTCTAATAATAAACATAGGATGAGGCAGCATCGTGCAGACAAGACACATTTGTGGACTGAGTGTGGTCTCTCCATGGGCCATTGATGAGCATCCTCTGATGGATCAACCCCCGCTTACCCCATGTTTCCCAAATGAGGAATCCAAGGCCAAGAAGAAGGGAAAGGATTTACCCAAGGGCATTCCTCAACCACAGAAGGGAATCCAGGGATTTGGGATTCTCTGGACTAGAGGAATTAACCGGGACTGGGCTAGAGCCTGGGCAAGACACCTAAGAAATCCAACCCCCAAGTCCAGCCTAAGTATCCAAGTCCCTGTCCCAGCAGCCCAATGGGGAGCCCACCTGGACAGGAGGTAGGCCTCTCCAGACCACACCAGAGAGGTGGTCCCACTCCTACTTCAAGACTCCAGGATGGAGAAAAGCCACTGCCTCCTCCAAGATGCTCTGGCCACTGAGAGTGGAATCCAGCCCATAGCTGAGGAAGACCAGAGGAATGGTTGCTGCTGAAGACAGACCAAGTGGCCAGAGGTGCTCTCAATGGAGAAGGAACTCTAGCCAGGAGAATAGGTTGAGGAGGAGCAGAAAAAAAAAAAAAATCAAGAGTGTGGAGGGGGCAGTTCCCAGATATTCTGAACCCAGCTCCTCATCCATACCTCCACTGAAATTCCCCCACTCCCATCACCCTGGCACTCAACTTACTCGATGCATTTTCCACTGAGCCTTGGGACAGGCCAAGGTTTGGATGGAGGGAGGGGCCTTTACTAGCCCAGCAGCCCAGGTAGTTGCAGCATCCTGTCTTAACCCTCTTTCCAGATGTGGAGTGGATGCCCATTCACACACGGGCCTGCGTGGGCACCTTGATTGGCTATGTCTACAGCCTGGGCCAGTTCCTCCTGGCTGGTGTGGCCTACGCTGTGCCCCACTGGCGCCACCTGCAGCTACTGGTCTCTGCGCCTTTTTTTGCCTTCTTCATCTACTCCTGGTGCGTGGGGCCTAGGGTTGGAGGTGGTTGCCACAGGAGCCCAGAGGCTGCAAGGGACAGGACATCTCCCAGAGCTCAGCACACATCCCATCCCACAAATGTAGAGAAGGTCAAACCCAGTCCAATGCCTCTGTGTGACAGATAGGGAAACCAAGGCTGTGGGGAGAAGGCTTTGCCCCAGGATATCCAATTCTCTGGCTTCCCCCACTCCGTTCTCCAGCCTGCCTGCTCTGCTCCCCCTACCCGCAACCAAGAGCTGAGCTTCTGGATTGGGGAATATGTCATTACCAAGCTGGGCACTGCCTCGTGGTCCTAGAGAGAGGGATTTGGCAAGGCCCCTGGGTTCCCAACCTTAAATAAAATCCCATCGCAGACCCCTAGAAAGCCCAGCCCCAGCCCCCCACCCAGCTGACTGGAACTGAAGCCATGCTGACACCCACCCCCACCCCCGCTCCCAGGTTCTTCATTGAGTCGGCCCGCTGGCACTCCTCCTCCGGGAGGCTGGACCTCACCCTGAGGGCCCTGCAGAGAGTCGCCCGGATCAATGGGAAGCGGGAAGAAGGAGCCAAATTGAGTATGGAGGTGAGATCCCCTGAGACTTCCCATGATAACCTCCCAGGGCTTCACCCCCAAACCCCAAACCCAGGACCCAGGGCCCAGGGAACTCCTCTAAGTAAGGGATTAGGCTGGGAGGAGCTCCTTGGGAGGATCCCGGGCCCTGAGCTCTGCCGGTCCCAGCAGGTACTCCGGGCCAGTCTGCAGAAGGAGCTGACCATGGGCAAAGGCCAGGCATCGGCCATGGAGCTGCTGCGCTGCCCCACCCTCCGCCACCTCTTCCTCTGCCTCTCCATGCTGTGGTAGGCCCAGAAAGACAGACAGACTGAGACAAAAGGCTGGCTGGGGCAGGAGGAGACACAATGGGTGAAAGAGGCCAGAGAAGAGGGCAGGAAGGTCAGCAGACCTGCTGTGAGAAGCAGTAACCCCACACTAGGGATCATCCTTAGGAACCAGATGCCCCCAGCCTTGACTCAGTCCCAGTCTCCACACGGGACACCAGTCTCCCCATCTTGTCCTTTCACTAGCCCTGTTCCAATGTGGAGACACCTCATCAGGACCAGTGGGCTCCAGAGTCAATAGACTTACATCATGAAGGCAGAGACCAGTCTGGCTTGCAAAATATTCATAGATTTTACTGGCCTGATGGTGCCTGCCAGAAACACAGGCACAGGCAACAAGATGACTAAAACTCATCTCCAAAGAACACTTTGGCCAAGGCCAAAGAAAATCTTCCTTTCCCTTTGCAACACTCCCCATTATCCTTCCTTCCCATCACCATAGCAATCCCATGACAGTTAAGGGAAACATAGTCAGAAGGAACAATCCTGCCAATGAATTATTTGCTTCCAATTTGGGATTTATTCTCAGTCATGGGCTCTAGCCAATAATCTTGAGCTTCGTTTTTTGGGCTCTTGACATCTTAAAAAGCACAACACTCATCCCAGGACCATGGACAGGTCCCAGAAGGCTCTCTCTACTCTCCCAGCTGCCTTGGCCCTGAAGATGGCTTGGGTATGCACCTGCCCTCCCTCAGTCCAGCATCAATTGATAAGATGAAAACTAAACCTATGTAAATCCTACAGAGCAACTAAGTGAAAATTCCCCCAATTAACTGCAACCCTAGTTATCAGAAGATTGGCAAATTTGGAGTATTACAGGACTACCTCAATACTTAAACTCTGCAGTTTAATGATATGGTTAAATGAAGAAATATTAGCCAAGGCAGATTCCAGCTCCTTAAGCAGGGTACCCAATGCAGTTCCCCCACTGTTTTGAAAGAGCACCCCACTTTAAGCCTTCCTAACAAACTCCATACTCCTCTCTTCTCTCTGCTAGGTTTGCCACTAGCTTTGCATACTATGGGCTGGTCATGGACCTGCAGGGCTTTGGAGTCAGCATCTACCTAATCCAGGTGATCTTTGGTGCTGTGGACCTGCCTGCCAAGCTTGTGGGCTTCCTTGTCATCAACTCCCTGGGTCGCCGGCCTGCCCAGATGGCTGCACTGCTGCTGGCAGGCATCTGCATCCTGCTCAATGGGGTGATACCCCAGGGTGAGCACCCACGAGCACCTTGGCCCCTTCTCCTCAGCCCCATCCCCACACATAACCCAATATCTCAGAAGGGAGGGGGCCAATTCCTCCTAGCCTCCACTCCCAAGCTCCTGCTATCCCCCCTTCTTTCTCTCTAGACCAGTCCATTGTCCGAACCTCTCTTGCTGTGCTGGGGAAGGGTTGTCTGGCTGCCTCCTTCAACTGCATCTTCCTGTATACTGGGGAACTGTATCCCACAATGATCCGGTGAGTGGGAGCCTAATGGGAGAATGACAGCCTTTTCCTGGGGAAAGACATTCTTCTGTGCACAGGTCAGACCCCAGAGCTAAATCAAGTACATCCCAGCCCAAAGGCCCCTCCCAACACTCATCATTGCAAGGCACATAGTAGCCACTGAGTACACACCTCATGGCCTAGCTAACACAGGTGTTACTGTCCTCTAAGCCCTTACGGGACCCTAGAAGATCTCAAAAGTAGCCACCAACTGGGGCAGGGTAAGGAACCAAGAAGACACATCTCAGAGACAACAAATTGAAGTCTTCCTTTAATCTCCAAAACACAAATTAGAAGCTGCCACCACATCTACATTCCATCTATAAACCAAGTGATATATCTGAAAGCAAAGGCCACAAACATGAAAGCAATTTCCTATCTCAAGATTCACTCCTGATAATATCCCAGCAATAGGAATAAATATAGTATTGCTTATTTGAGTCCTAAGATGGAGGGCAGTATTTTTGCATTAAGAAACAAGAATGGGGGCCCGGCACGGTGGCTCATGCCTGTAATCCCAGCACCTTGGGAGGCCAAGGCAGGTGGATCACAAGGTCAAGAGATCAAGACCGGCCGGGCACGGTGGCTCACGCCTGTAATCCCAGCACTTTGGGAGGCCGAGGCAGGCAGATCACGAGGTCAGGAGATCGAGACCATCCTGGCTAACAAGGTGAAACCCCGTCTCTACTAAAAATACAAAAATTAGCTAGGCGTGGTGGCAGGCGCCTGTAGTCCCAGCTACTTGGGAGGCTGAGGCAGGAGAATGGCGTGAACCCGGGAGGCGGAGCTTGCAGTGAGCCAAGATGGCACCACTGCACTCCAGCCTGGGCGACAGAGCAAGACTCCATCTCAAAAAAAAAAAAAAAAAAAGAGATCAAGACCATCCTGCAAGACCATCCTGGCTAACCAACATGGTGAAACTCCGTCTGTACTAAAAATACAAAAATTAGCTGGGCATAGTGGCACACACCTGTAGTCCCAGCTACTCAGGAGGCTGAGGCAGGAGAATAGCTTGAACCTGGGAGGCGGAGGTTGCAATAAGCTGACATCGCGCCACTGCACTCCAGCCCCAGCAAGAGAGTGAGACTCTGTCTCAAAAAAATAAAATAAAATAAAATAAAATAAAATAAAATAAAATAAAATAAAATAAACAAGAATGGGATGCAAAATTTACATGAGATAACAAAGAAATGTCAGGCTTCCCTGGGCTACTTGGAGTGGGCCTGTAAGGTCTGCAAAGTGGAACCCTGAGGGTCATGGTCCTGTGCCCTTACCAGATTTCAGATGAAAGAGCAATAATCCGAAGCACTCACTATGTACCAGGCAGTGTCTTAAACTTTTCACAAATATTAATTCATTTAATCTGCATAACAAGCCATTGTGGTAGGCACTATCATTATTCCCATTTACAAACGTGAAAGCTGAGGCAAAGAGAGGTTAAGTGACTTCTCCAAGATCATGCAGCTAACAAATGGTGAAGCATGCATTTGAACCCCAAGCAGTATGTCTCCTGAGTCAATGTTTTTAACCTCTTCTCTCATGAAGAATGTTCTTAACATGCAGATTCCAGCTCCCTCCCCCTAGGGATTCTAATCCAATAGGTGTATGTTGGCTTGTTGCAACTATAACACAATTCCTCCAGGTGATCTGAGAACCATAGGTGTACCACAACTGAATCATTTGACAGCTGCAGAAACTGAAGCCCACGGAGGGAAAGGGGCTTGCCCAAAGTCACACAGCAAGTTAAGGGCAAAGGCAAAATTCAATCTTAAGTCTCCTTATTCTCTGGCCAGAACCCTTTCCAACTTCTCTTTTTCAAAAGATCACCAACAGCTGTGGTGGGGGAGGACCATTTGAGCCCAGGAGTTTAAGACCAGCCCTGGCAACACAGAGACCCTATCTCTACAAGAAAAAAAAAAATCGCCAAATTGGTTTGCTAATCAAATGGGGAAGAGAGGAGGTACCGGGAGTGTCCTGGGGGCTGAGCCTGAGCTGCCACCCTCCAAATGGGACCAGCATCTGGGCATTCATGCTGGAACTCTAACCAACACCCATCTGCTGCGGGCCCTGCAGGCAGACAGGCATGGGAATGGGCAGCACCATGGCCCGAGTGGGCAGCATCGTGAGCCCACTGGTGAGCATGACTGCCGAGCTCTACCCCTCCATGCCTCTCTTCATCTACGGTGCTGTTCCTGTGGCCGCCAGCGCTGTCACTGTCCTCCTGCCAGAGACCCTGGGCCAGCCACTGCCAGACACGGTGCAGGACCTGGAGAGCAGGTGGGCCCCCACTCAGAAAGAAGCAGGGATATATCCCAGGTAACACATGCAGGGTGGGGTGGTATTGAGACTCAAGCCCAGGCTTCCTCTTCTAGCCCAAAGCTCTGTGTCCCTTTGTCCCCAATTGCCTGAGCTTCTCCTAGAATCCTTCCTGGGGATCCCAGCTCCAGGGAGCAGTAGGTATTTGGGGCAGAGAGCAGGTGTCCAGGCATAGCTGAGCGGAGACCCCCTGGGAGCCTCCATATCCCGGCCCTGGCCTGGAGGCTGCATACCCAGAGTGCCATTCTTCTGCCGCCCTGCAGGAAAGGGAAACAGACGCGACAGCAACAAGAGCACCAGAAGTATATGGTCCCACTGCAGGCCTCAGCACAAGAGAAGAATGGACTCTGAGGACTGAGAAGGGGCCTTACAGAACCCTAAAGGGAGGGAAGGTCCTACAGGTCTCCGGCCACCCACACAAGGAGGAGGAAGAGGAAATGGTGACCCAAGTGTGGGGGTTGTGGTTCAGGAAAGCATCTTCCCAGGGGTCCACCTCCCTTTATAAACCCCACCAGAACCACATCATTAAAAGGTTTGACTGCGCACCATCTCTCTGTGTCTCTCTTGTCTCAAAAGGAATGGCCACTCCATTTTAGTCAGCTTCCAGCCCAAGAGGCCATACAGTCCCCTCCCACCCACTCCATCCCCGGGACTTTACAAACCATCCCAGAAAATTAGAAAAGACTCTTGCCTTTGCCCCTTTCTATCCCTCCCTCTTCCCTCCCCCATCCTCTAACCTATTCAAATATTTCTGTGAGATTTAGCTAAATATCTAATGCTCCTCCCTTCCCTGTCAGGCTGGAAACTGACAAGGGCTGAAATGACAGGCTGAAATGAAAGCAGCCAATCAGAGGCTTTGTTTCAAGCTCCTCCCACTCTGAGAGCAGATGGGAACCTCTGACAGCAAAGGAGAAGAAAAAGGACAATAGCTGGCCAGGTGTGGTGGCTCACACCTGTAATCCCAGCACGTTGGGAGGCCGAGGCGGGTGGATCACTTGAGCCAGGAGTTCAAGACCAGCCTGGGCAACATAGCGAGACGCTGCCTCTATTTAAAAAAAAAAAAAAAAAAAAAAAGACAACAGCTATGACTTCAGGATGTTGGCCCCTCTAGCAGCATGCTCAGGATGATGGAATCTCTAGATTCCAGCAGGGTCTGGACTCAAAACCCGCTCTAGATTAGCCTGCTAGCTAACCTAATCCTGCCTGCTGCACTACCTGAGCTCTCTTGGTTGTTCTGCCTCCTGTAGGCTCTGGGCTGGTGGAGGGAAGAGAAGAGGGAAGGGGGAGTGGGGAACATACCCAGTGAGACCCAGCACTGAATGCTAACTATGTGCCAGGCACTGTCCTAAGCCATTTGCCTATATTAACTCATTTACTCCTCCCTGTAACCCTTGGAGATTACTACAATTATTCCCTATTTTACAGATAAGAAAATCAAGACACAGAGAGGTTAAGTAACCTGTCCAGTTCACACAGCTGGTAAATTGTGGAGTCAGGATGAGAATCCAGACAATCTGGCACCAGGATATGTGTGCCTGACCCCTCTGCTGCCAGGAGCTGTGAGGCATTGAAACTTTAGCCTCTTTCACCCCCAGGACCCAGCTTCTCCTCCTTCCTTCTGGGCTGAAAAGAAAAGGACGAGAAGGGGAGGAAGGGAGATGATCATGGGAGGAACCATGTGAAAGGAGTTGGGGGGAAGGCAATTTAAGGGTTACAGTCAGGAAAAGACCAGGATGTCCAGCATCTGTGTCCTCAAAATAGCTCACTTCAGGGAAGCCTGGGGCAGCCCGAGAAGGGCAGCCCGAGAAATGCAGCCCTGTTCACACCTACAGGTGGCAGGAGTGAGGCCTGCCGCACCCTGCCATAAATGCTCGCTGGCACACTGCCTGGAACCCTATCCCCAGCAGCCAGCCTGGCCCGCGAGCCAGCCCCTTATCCCCCAGGGGAAAGTCTACATTCATTACTTGAGCTGTACACACTGCCTTCCAGGTGGGACCCTGGCCAGGGGCTCAGGTTGACTTAGGGCAATCTGGAAAGAGAGGTTGGCCTGAAGATCCCCTGAAAAAAAACCACACAGCCCGGGGAGAGCTCACAGCAACTCAGACAACAGGACTCTCAGGGCAAATCTGGGCACAGCAGAAATCACCACAACCCACCTCACCTCCTGGAACATCTGAAGCCTTGGTGTTCCCCCTTGGTGCTGAAACTCCTCATGCTCCCATTGGTTGCTTGTGGGTCATCAGCCCCAGTCATCCTGCAGTTTCTCAGGCAGCACTGCCCTCATGGATGAGCCTCGTGGAGTGTCTGGACTGAGACCGGGAGTCGAGACACATGGATTTAGCCCTGCTTCTGCAGATCCCGGGTTTTGAGACCAGTGACTTGGCCTACCACTGGCTCCAGACCCTGCCAGCAACTCTGACATGCCCTGGCTCCTCCTGCAAGTCTCTCATCTCTGTGCTCAGATCACCTGGTATCTGCAGATGCCTCAGCAAGGCTGCCCAGAGCCAGCTGTAGCCTGCCCCAGCTGCACCCCAACTGGTAAAAGTCCTGGGTGCTGATTCAGCCAGCTCAGACCATTCACACAGAATCCATTCCCCTAGCTCCTGGCCTGGGACTTCCTATACTCATCCTGTGCCCTTGACAAAAGAGAACCCTACCTTCCTCCCACTTCTAAGTCACCAGTAAGTGACTTCTGACCTTGCCTCCCCAAGGAGTCAGCCCCAAACACAGGCTCAGATCCCATCCTCTAGCCTTGGCCCTGAGGCTGAGTTGGGACACTGTCATGCCCCACCAGAGTGGCCTCAGATGCTCTCCCCCTTTTTTTTTTTTCCTGAGACAGTGTCTTTCTCTGTTGCCCAGGCTGGAGTGCAGTGACACGATCTCAGCTCACTGCAACCTCCGCCTCCCGGGTTCAAGGAATTCTCACTGCAATGTCAGCCTCCCAAGTAGCTGGGATTATAGGTGCATACCACCACACCTGGCTAATTTTTCTATTTTTAGTAGAGACAGGGTTTCACCATGTTAGCCAGGCTGGTCTTGAACTCCTGACTTCAAGTGATCCGTTCGCCTCAGCCTCCCAAAGTGCTGAGATTACAGGCATGAGCCACTGCACCTGGCCTATCTCCAGTTTTGACCACAGGTCCTATCCTCAGCCAGCTTGGCAGGGCCTTGTAGCCACCCTCAGTTTCCTGGCCAGGATGGCACACTCAGGAGGATCCTCAACTGCCTGGTCCTGTAGAGTGCCACATTCTCAGGGCTCCATGCCATCATCCCAGGTCCCACCTTGACAGCCCCAGTTTCACACCACTCCAAGCCCCTCCCTTAGGCTCTTCTCTCCCCTTTCCTGGGAGTTTGCATGACCCATTTGGGTCACATATAGAGCAGATGCCCAAATAGCTAAATTTCATATCATGTGGGAAGCTGAATAATGGTCCCCAAATATGCCCACATCCTAATCTCTGGAACCTGTATGTTACCTTACATGGTAAAAGCGATTTTGCAGTTGTGATTAAACTAAGGATTTTGAGATCAGGGGTGGGTTATCCTGGATTATCTGGGTGGACCCGATGTGGTCACAACAGTACTTATAGGAGAAAGGCAGGAGATCAGAGTGGGTAGTAGATGAGACAACAGAAGCAAGAGGGTGGAGTGAAGCAAGAAAGGACCAAAAAGAATTTTTAAAAAACACATTCAAGTCAAAACAGAGACCATAAACCTCAATTCATTCAATAACTTATCATTCAAACCACTAAGTAAACGCATTTGGTGTTGTCAAAAAAAAAAAAAAAAAAAAAGAAGGAACCACCAGCCAAAGAATGCAAATGGCCTCTAAAAGGCAAGGAAATGGATTCTCCCCTAAAGCCTGCAGAAGAAACGCAGCTGGGTCGACATATTGATTTTTTTTTCTTTTTTTTTTTTTTTTGAGGCGGAGTCTCACTCTGTCACCCAGGCCGGAGTGCAGGGGCGCAATCTCGGCTCACTGCAACCTCCACCTCCTGGGTTCAAGCAATTCTCCTGCCTCAGCCTCCCGAGTAGCTGGGATTACAGGCACGTATCACCATGCCCAGCTACTTTTTGTATTTTTTGTAGAAATGGGGTTTCGCCATGTTGGCCAGGCTGCCTTCCGAGTTCAAGTGATTCTCCCACCTCAGCCTCCCAAATAGCTGGGACTACAGGCGTGCACCATCATGCCCCGCTAATTTTTGTATTTTTAGTAGAGACAGGGTTTCACCATGTTGGACAGGCTGGTCTCGAACTCCTGACCCTAGGTGATCCGCCTGCCTTGCCCTCCCAAACTGCTAGAATTACAGGCGTGAGCTACCACGCCCTGCTGACATATTGATTTTAGACATCTGGCCTCCAGAATTACAAGAGAACAAATCTGTACTGTTTTAAGCCACTAAATTTGTGGCAGTTTGTTAACAACAGCAATATGAAACTGATATGCATCCCTTGTTCTTAGATTCCTCCAGGGAGGCCTCTGGAGATTTTCTTTTTCCCATGCACTATAATTTTTGTAGGGATGGGTTGTAATGTCTGGATCATCACAGGCCTCACCTCTTCCTACTGTCTTATAGCTTGTCGGATTCACAGAGTCTAAATTAGCCACTAGCCCTTGTAGACACTTAAGTTTGGGACTCCTAGACTGCTCTGTGCTACACTCCCACCACTACCATTCCTTGTGTTTAAAAATTGTGAAAGGAAAATTGTGTCATAGGTGCAGGAAGCAAAAGGAAAACACTGACTGGGTAGACTCCATTGCCCCACTGCACCTCCTCTTTCAAGAAAACCATTTGGATGTTCTCTGAGATGTGACTGTCTCCATGTGGTTCATGTCATAGTCATAGAACAGCGGAAGACTCTACTGCAAAAATGCTGTAGTAATGACCGGGTGCGGTGGCTCATGCCTGTAATCCCAGCACTTTGGGAAGTTGAGGCAGGCGAATCACCTGAGGTCAGAAGTTCAAGACCATCCTGGCCAACGTGGTGAAACCCCATCTCTACTAAAAGTACAAAAATTAGCTGGGTGTGGTGGTGGTTGCCTGTAATCTCAGCTACTCAGGAGGCTGAGGCAGGAGAAGCTTGAACCTGGGAGGTGAAGGTTGCAGTGAGCCGAGATCGTGCCACTGCACTCCAGCCTGGGCAACAAGAGCGAGACTCCTCTCAAAAAAAAAAATTCTGCAGTAATAAGCTAGATGAACTTGAGGCTCAGTTCCCTGACCCATTCTAGTGAGGTCTGCTCCTCCTAAACCCCTCCCCCGATAGAATCCTGCACCCCAGTAGCAATAGTAAGTGCCATGTGAACCACACCCATAGAAGAGACCAAGCAGCCTGTAAGGGCTGAATGTAGGGTTTAGATGTAGGTGGCGGACAACGTTGAGTCTGGATGGATGTCCAGAACTGTGGCAGCCATCCTGTAACCCAGAGGGAAACCGGAGCATGGACTAAGGCAACCAATGAGGATATTGTAATGGAAAGATGGAACTAATCTGGGGTTTGATGATTTAACCCCACCAATTTAATCAATACTGGCACCACCTACCTCTGCTCTGATTGTTAAGGGTAACAATTTAAGTCCTCCTTATACTTTAAGCCGGTGTGAGTTCGTTTTTCTATGATTTGTGGTCAAAGATATCTTATATTTTTACAGCTTTATTGAAATACAACAGACAGATAATTAGTTGCTCAGGTGGTGGTGGTGTTGGTATTGTTGAGACAGGCTCTCGCTCTTGGCCCCAGGCTGGAGTGCAGTGGTGAGATCACAGCTCACTGCAGCCTTAACCTTCTGGGCTCAAGCAATTATCCCATGTCAGCCTCCTGAACAGCTGGGACTACAGGCAAGGGCCACCACTCCTAGCTAATGTTTGTATTTTTTTGAAGAGACAGGGTCTCCCTATGATGCCCAGGCAGAGTCGCTCATATTTACAGTGTAAAATCGGATGAGTTTCAACACATGCATACATCCATGAAACCATCACTACAATCAAGACAATGAACATATCCATCACCACCAAAAGTTTTCTCATGCTCCTTCTAGACATAGGTTTCTACTTCTCTTGAACCAGATTCTCTTGCCCAGATTAGTTTCATCTTTCCATTATATTATCCTTAAATATCAAGGAGTGGAATGGCTGAGTACTATGTAACGTGTATGTTTAACTTTTTAAGAAACAGCCAAACAGCCGGGTTTGGTGGCTCATGCCTATAATCCCAGTAACTCAAGAGGCTGACGCAGGAGGACCCCTTGACCCCAAGAGTTCAAGACCAGCCTGGACAACATAGCAAGACCCTGTCTCTAAAAAATAAAAATAAATAAACAATTTTAAACCATGTTTTTAGTAGAGACAGGGTCTCGCCATGTTACCCAGGCTGATGTCAAACTCCTGGCCCCAAGTGCTGGGGTTGTAGGCATGAGCTAACACACCAGCCAAAATTTTACAAAAAGAAATAGCCAAACAATTTTCTTAACATTTTATATTCCCACCAGCTGTATATGAGAGATCCAGTTGTTCCACATCTTTGTCAAAACTTGGTATGATTGCTTTTTTTGTTGTTGTTTTTTGAGATGGAGTCTCTCTCCGTAGCCCAGGCTGGAGTGCAGTGGTGCGATCTCTGCTCACTGCAACCTCCACCTCTTGGATTCAAGCAATTCTCCTGCCTCAGCCTCCTGAGTAGCTGGGATTACAGGTGCGCACCACCACACCCAGCTAATTTTTTTGTATTTTTAATAGAGATGAGGTTTTGCCGTGTTGGCCAGGCTGATCTCGAACTCCTGACCTCAAATGATCCACCTGCCTCAGCCTCTCAAAGTGCTGGGATTACAGGCATGAGTCACCATGCCTGGTCTGACTGCTGTTTTTAACTTAAGCCATTCTAGTGAATGTGTACTGGTATCTTATTGTAGTTTTAATTTACATTTCTCTGAAGACTAATGATCTAAAGCAACTGTTCACTTGCTTATTTCCATCTAGACCTCTTCTTTGGTGAGGTGTCTGTTAAAAAAATTGCACATTTTAAAATTTTGATTGTTTGTTTCATATTGTTGAGTTGGAAACTTTTTATATATTTCAAAAACAAGCCCCTTGCCAGATATGTGTTTTGCAAACGTTTTCTCCATGTTTACAGCTTGCCTTTTCAGTTTTATAACAGTGACTTCAAAGAACAAAGTTTTTAAACTGTGATGAAGTCCAGTTTACTGATTTTATAGTTAATGCTTTTTGAGTCTTATTTTTTTTTAATCTTTGCCAAACCCAAGGACACTGAATTTTTCTCCTTTTTTTAATAGAAGTTTTATAGTTTTAACTTTTATATTTAGGGTCTATGATCCAATCTGAGTTATTTCTGTAAATAACATGAGGTAAACAGATTGTGGTTCATTGCTTTTTGCATATGGATATCCAATTGTTCCAGCACCATTTGTTGAAAGATTTTCTTTTCCTCATTGAATTGTCTAAACATCTTGGTTAGAGATCAGTTGGCTACATACGTATGGCTCTATTTCTGAACTCTATTTTGTTCCATTGATCTATTTGTCTTTACATAAATCCCACACTGTCATAATTGATGTAACTTTGTAGTTAGCCTTGAACTCAGACGGTGTAGATTCTCTAACTTTGTTCAACTTTTTCAAAGTTGTTTTGGCTAGTCTGGATGCTTTGCATTTCCATATAAAATTTAAAATCAACTTGTACATTTCTACCAAGAAAACTTCTGTGATTTTTATTTGTATTATGTTGAATCATAAATCATCTTGGGAAAAACTGACGTCTTAATAATATTGAGTGTCCCAATCCATGATATAGTTCTCCATTTATCTAGGTCTTCGCAATGATGTTTTGTATTTTCATTGTGTAGGTTTTGTACATCTTTTGTCAAATTTATCCCTACAGATTTCATATTTTTATACTATGTTAAAAGAAAAACTTCAGACAAAATAAATGTAACAGATTTTATTTGAGCATTAAAGCATTAATGAATGGGGCAGCACTCAAAATCAGAAGAGGTTCATGTAGCTGCACTTAAGCACTACAAGCAGATCTTCATAGTCTGAACACAGAAGTAAAGAAATAAATTGGCTACAGGTAGGCATTTGTTTTGTTTTGTTTTCTTTGTAGACACAGGGTTTCACCATCTTGACCAGGCTGGTCTCGAGCCCCTGGCTTCAAGTGACTCCCCTACCTTGGCCTCCCAAAGTGCTGAGATTACAGGCATGAGCCACCATGCTCAGCCACTATTTGTCTTATTTGGGTATGATCTGGTGGAAAGTTCCTAGTTATATAACTAACGGCTAACTGGCTATTTGTGATTGGCTGAAGCTTGGTATCTGGTTTGGTTTTGGTTTTTCAAAATTAATTAGTTACAAAGAATGCCACTAGGTTAAGTTTCAGTTTGCTTGTATAAGGGTTCTGGATACAGAAACAATTCCAGGTTAATAACTTCCTGCTTATTTTGCTTTAACAGCTATTATGAATGGTATTCTTATTTCAATTACCAATTGTTTGTTGCTAGTATATAGAAATACCACTGGTTTTTTAATATATCCTACTTGCATCCTGAAAACTCACTAAAATCACTTATTAGTCTCAATAGCTGTTTTGTAGATTCCTCAGGATCTTTGGTACAATCATGCTGTTTGCAAATAAAGGTATATTTTTTTTTCTTCCTTTCTGGAATTATTTTATTTCTTTTTGTTGCTTTATTACATTGCCTAGAATCTCCAGTACACTGTTAAATAAAAGTGGTGAGAGTGAATATCTTTGTCTCTGAACTTAGGGGAAAAACATTGTCTTTCACAATTTAGTATAACGTTACCTATATTTTTTCCATAGTTGTCTTTTATCAATTATTTTTTGAGATGGGATCCTTCTGTGTTGCCCAGGCTGGTCTTGAACTCCTGGGCTCAAGGGATCCTCTTTCCTCAACCTCCTGAGTAGCTGGGACTACAGGCATGTACCACCACACCCAGCTTATCTATTTTGAGAAGTTCCCTTTATGCCTAGTTTGCTGAGAAGTTTTATCATGAATGGATATTGAGTGTTATCGAATGCTTTTTCTGCATCTATTGAGATGATTATATGGTTTTTCTTTTTTAGTCTATTAGTATGGTGAATTATATTAACTGATTTTTTTAATGTTAAACAAATCTTGCATTTCTGGAATAAACCCCACTTGGTCAAGAAGTATTATCCTTTTTATAATTTTTGTTAAATTTGATAAAATTATATTAAGAATTTTACATCTATGTTCATGAGAGATACCTGTCTCTAGTTTCCCTTTTTGTAATGTTTTGTCTGGTTTTAGTATCAGGGTAATTTCGGCCTCATAGAATGAGTTGTGAAGTCTTTCCTACTTTTCACCTTTCTGTAGGTGTTTGTGTAGAGTTGGTATTATTTCTTCCTTAAATGTTTGACAGAATTAATCAGTTAAGTCATCTGTTCCTGGAATCTTCTTTGTGGGGTGGTTTTTAAGTATAAATTTAATTTCATTTAACATTTCTTGTAGTGCAGAAATGTTGCTGCTGTGTTTTTTCAACTTTTGTATGCCTGAAAAGGCACTGATTCTATTATCATTTTTGAAAGATATTTTTACTGGTAGAGGGTTTTAGGTTGACAGATTTTCTCTTTCAGCTTTTAAAGGTATTTCTCCATTGTCTTCTGGCTTACATCACTTTTGACAAGAAATCTGCTGCTATTCTTATATTTTTTGCTTTACATGAATGTGTCTTTTTTTCCTCCAGCTGTTTGCAAGCAGGATTTTATCTTTATCCCTGGTTCTAAGCATTTGATTATGATGCACCTTGCAGTTTTTATAACATCATCATATCCGAGTTAATTTACCTTCTTGGATCTGGGACCTATAGTTTTTATTTTGAACTTTTTTGTTTGTTAGGTTGGTTTGTTGTTTTGTTTGTTAGGTTGGTTGAGACAGTGTCTTCCCCAGGCTGGAGTGCAGTGGCACAATCTTGGCTCACTGCAACCTCTGCCTCCTAGGTTCAAGTGATTCTCCTGCCTCAGCTTCCCAAGTAGCTGGGACTACAGGCGTGCACCACCACACCCAGCTAATTTTTGTATTTTTCAGTAGAGACGGCTTTCACTATATATCGGCCAGGCTAGTCTCGAACTCCTGACCTCAGGTGATCTGCCCTCCTAGGCCTCCCAAAGTACTGGGATTACAGGCGTGAGCCATCACACCCGGCCTATTTTTGAACTTTTTTCTGGGTCACAATAAGTTACTTTTCAAGGCTTGCTTTTAGGTTTTGTTAGGTGAGAGCAGAGATGCTGCTAATTTTTCCTCTCAAGTGATCTTTCTGAGTTCTCTACCCAGTGCCCTGAATGCTATGAGTTTTATCTTCACTGTGGCTGGTGGGAAGATAAACTGTTCCTGGCCTGTGTGAACTCTGTGAATCATCTAGGTTCTTTCACCAAATGTATGCATCAACCACTACTCACCTGAAGATTCTATTAATAACAAAACCCCCTACAAATCTCCAGTGTTCTATGCAGCTCTCTCCTCTCCAGTCCTCTGCCCTGTGAACTCTTGCCACCTGGGTCTCCCCAGACTCCCAACTTTGTTTCCTCAACCCAGGGAGACTTCTGGGCTCTAAGTAGATCCCCTCTCCCTGTTCTGCAGCCTGCAAATTTTCTCCAGGAAGTAAACTGGTTCATAAGGCTCATTCTGTTTGCTTGCCTCTCTCAGGAACAACTGTTCTGAACTGCTTATTGTCCAATGTCTAAAAACAGTTATCATACAAACCTAATTTGTCAGGTTTTTTTATTAGTTAAAGGCAGGAGAGCATTTACTATTTACTAATCCCTGTTCCTCCATCTTGGTTGGAAGCAGAATCCTAACAACTGATATATTATTGTAGTCTCATGACTTCTTGCCGAATACATTTCCATAAACAGAAATGATTGAAGACATTAAAGACAATATTTTCTTATTTCTATGCATAGCATAACGACGGCATTGCAACATAACTAAAGAAGAAGACATCACTCAGAAATCCTTCACTTGGTTCCAGCTGTCAGAGGCATTCAAACCAGAGCAACTCCATCTTTAATAGGGGCTAGGTCAAATAAGGCTGAGACCTACTGGGTCGCATTCCCAGAAGGTTAGGCATTCTTAATCACAGGATGAGATAGAAGTTCGGCAGGATTGGTAGCACAAGATACAGGTCATAAAGACCCTGCTGATAAAATAGGATGCAGTAAAGAAGCCCACCAAAACCCACCAAAGCCCAGATGGCAATGAAAGTGACCTCTGGTCATCCTCACTGTCCATTATATGCTAACTAACTATAATGCATTAGGACGCTGAAAGACACTCCCACCAGCACCATCACAGTTTACAAATGCCATGGCAACATCCAGACGGTACCCTATATAGTCCAAAAAGGGGAGGAACCCTCAGTTCTGGGAATTGCCTGCCCCTTTCCTAGAAAACTCATGAGTAATCCACCCCTTGTTTAGCATATAATCAAGAAATAACCCTAAAAATAGCCAACCAGTAGCCCTCAGGGCTGCTCTGCCTGTGGAGTAGCCATTCATTTGTTTGCTTATTTCTCTAATAAAATTGCTTTCACTTTATCCTATGAACTCACCTGAAATTCTTTCTTATGTAAGGTCCAAGAACGCTCTTTTGGAGTCTGGATCAGGACCCCTTTCCAGTAACACAGCTACGTGGAGGATGAGGTGGCAGGATGGCTTGAGCTCAGGAGGTCAAGGCTTCAGTGAGTTGTGATCATGCCACTGCACTCCAGCCTGGGTGATAGAGTGAGACCCTGTCTCAAAAAAAGAAAATGCATCTCTTCTGCACCACGTATGGAACCAATTGAGAGACACAGCTGTCAAATACCTTACCATGTGGCCAAAAACAATAAAAAGCACATGCTCTCTGAAGGTAAAAAGGGCCCAAAAGAAAAGAAGAAGAAAGTAGCTATACATGCTCTATTCCTTCTCCCAGATTCACCAATCAAATAACCCACTCCTTATTCCATAAGGAAACAAGAAGCCAGAAGAATGGAAGTTTCTCCCTCTACTCGCTACCCAGCATCCCCCTTTAGAGAGGAAGAAAGACACTTTCAATTATACAAGGAACACTGTTGTTTTAAATGCATTCAGAATGGAAAAGGAAAAGTTCCAGTCATCAGGAAATAATAAACTTCCAAAACAACTCTCCCATTGTAAAAAAAAAAAAAACTAGAAAACTGGGCCCAGCACGGTGGCTCATGCCTGTAATCCCAGCACTTTAGGAGGCCAAGGCAGGCGGATCATGTGGTCAGGAGTTCGAGACCAGCCTGGCCAACATAGTGAAACCCCATCTCTACTAAAAATAAAAAATAAAAATAAAAAAATTAGCCGGGTGTGGTGGCAGGCACCTGTAATCCCAGCTACTTGGGAGGCTGAGGCAAGGAGAATCGCTTGAACCCAGGGGGCAGAGGTTGCAGTGAGCCGGGATCATGCCACTGCACTCCAGCCTGGCAACAGAGTGAGACTCCATCTCAAAAAAAAAAAAAAAAAAAAATCCTAGAAAACTGAAGGAAATGTGAAAAATAACAATGTTCAGACATTGGACAACAGGCAGCGCAGGACTGTAATTTCTGTGAGAAGGGAAACAGATTATTTAAGGCCTACTATTAGGTTGATGCAAAAGTAATTGTGGTTTTTGTCATTACCTTTAATTGCAAAACCTGCAATTACTTTTGCACCAACTTTTATCACCCAGGCCTTCTTCCTGGGAGCAACTTCTGGACTGCAGTGTGGAGATGTGGAATCCAAACAGAGCCAGCAACCTCACTGAGCTGAGGAGAATAAAAGAGAAGTTCAGGATGGCCAAGGCAGCTAGATTTCTCAGGAGAGGAGAGAGCTATGCAAACAAATCTGCAGAATATAAAAAGTACTCCTACAACTCAATAAAAAGAAGTCAAACACCCCAATTCAAACATAGGCAAAAAAAAATTACACATACGCTTCACCACGGTAGATATATGAATAGCCAATAAGCACATGAAAAAATGCTCAACATCATTAGTCATCAGGAAAATGCAAGTTAGACCACAATGAGATGTCCCTTCATATTCATATAAATGGCTAAAATGAAAAGACTGGACATATCAAGATGTCGGCAAGAATGTGGAATAACTGGAACTCTCATCCATTGCTGGTAGAAATGTAAAATTTGGAAACACTTTGGAAAACAATTTGACAGTTTCTGATAAAGTTAAATATATGACCTAGTAATTCCACTTCTAGGTATTTACCCAAGAGATATGAAAGTACATGTCCCCTCACTATACACAAATGTTCATGGCAGCTTTCTTTATAATAGCCAAAAACTGGAAACAACACAAATGTTCATCAACAGGTGAATGAATAAGCAAACTGTGGTTATACACATAATGGAATACTATTCAGTATTAAAAAGGAATGGGGCCAGGCGCGGTGGCTCACGACTGTAATCCCAGCACTTTGGGAGGCCGAGATGGGCGGATCATGAGGTCAAGAGATTGAGACCATCCTGGCCAACATGGTGAAACCCCGTCTCTACTAAAAATACAAAAATTAGCTGGGCTTGGTGGCGCACACCTGTAGTCTCAGCTACTCGGGAGGCTGAGGCAGGAGAATCTCTTGAACCCGGGAGGTGGAGGTTGCAGTGAGTGGAGATCACGCCACTACACTCCAGCCTGGCAACAGAGTGAGACTGCATCTCAAAAAAAAAAAAAGGAATGAACTACTGGCACACTACAAGGTGGATGAATCTCAAAAACATTTTGCTGAGCAAAAGAAGCCAGACACAAAAGAGGATATACTGTATGATATCATTCATTTGAAACTCCAGAAAAGACAAATCCATTGCCTAGGGTAGAAGATGAGACTTGGCTAGGATACAGTACTAGGGAATTGCTGGGGTGGGAGAGGCAGGAGATGAAAATGTTCTATATAGTGGTTACATGGTATAAAAATTTATCAGAGCTGCCTGTAATCACAGCACTTTGGGAGGCCGAGGCAGGTGAATCACCTGAGGTCAGGAGCTTGAGACCAGCCTGGCCAACATGGTGAAACCCCGTCTCTACTAAAAATACAAAAATTAGCCGGGCGTCGTAGTTCACACCTGTAGTACCAGCTACTCAGGAGGCTGAAGCATGAGTATCTCTTGAACCCAGGAGGCGGACGTTGCAGTGAGCTGAGATGGCACCAATGCACTCCAGCCTGGGCAACACAACGAGACTCTGTCTTTAAAAAAAAAAAAAATTGTCAGAGCTTGTAAAAATGTACCCCCAAAATTGATGCATTTTATTGCATATACTAAACCCTAATAAAGTTTTATTCAGGTGCATGAACCATGTTCAACTAATCAGTACTCCCACCTAGGGCCTTGACTCTTGCGATAGAACACAAAGCTGCAGGAACATTTGGGAAATGACACACAATAGCAATGACTGTGAGAGTCCAGGGAGGAGTGGAAATCTCCAGGGAATACTCCAGTGGCATCCTAGCCAAACTGTTTCCTGGCCTCCCTCAGCTCCTGCCCATTTCTGAGCCAGATTCTCATCAATTCCGTGAGCAGCCCATTATCCTTCCAGTGATTTTTCTACAGCTTACATTAGCCACAGTCTGTTTTTGTTGTTTACACCCAACAACCCTGACTAATACAGCCATTCTATCACTCAGCCTAAGAGGCTTCCCTGGCTTCAGTTTCCCTGTGCTTCTGGGTTATGGCTCTTTTTTTTTTTTTTTTTTTTTTTTTTTGAGACGGAGTTTTGCTCTAGTTGCCCAGGCTGGAGTGCAATGGCGCGATCTCAGCTCACCACAACCTCCACCTCCCAGGTTCAAGCAATTCTCCTGCCTCAGCCTCCCAAGTAGTTGGGATTATAGGCATGGGCCACCACGCCTGGCTAATTTTGTATTTTTAGTAGAGACGAGGTTTCTCCATGTTGGTCAGGCTGGTCTCAAACTCCCGACCTCAGGTGATCCACCCACCTCGGCCTCCCAAAATGCTGGGATTACAGGCATGAGCCATTGCGCCGGACTTTTTTTTTTTTTTTTTTTTTGAGAGGGAGTCTCCACTGTTGCCCAGGTTGGAGTGCAGTGGCACCATCTCAGCTCACTGCAACCTCTGCCTCCTGAGTTCAAGCAATTCTCCTGCCTCAGCCTTCTAAGTAGCTGGGATTACAGGTGCCCGCCACCACGCCCGGCTAATTTTTTGTATTTTTAGTAGAGACAGGGTTTCACTATGTTGGCCAGGCTGGTCTCGAACTCCTGACCTCGTGATCCACCCACCTCGGCCTCCCAAAGTGCTGGGATTACAGGCGTGAGCCACCGCGCCCAGCCCAGGTTATGGCTCTTATGATGGAAGTATTAGCCAGGACTCTTTCAGATGTAAGTGACACAAAACTAACTGGCTTAAGCCCCCGCTCCAAAAAGAAAAAAAGCAGATAGCAGATTTGCTGGCTTCCATGATTCAGGCACCTGACATCATCATGGATCCAGGTTCTTTTCAACCCTCTCCTCAGCAGGTCAACAACTCCCCTCATGACAGCAAGAGGGCTGCAGTGGCTACAGGCATCACCCCCTCACACAGCATCCAAAGGCAGAAAAGGAAGTTACTCCTCACATATCTGTTTGGAAGAGCAAGACATCTCTTTTGAAGACCTTTCCCAAAAGCCACCTCCCCCACAATGGGCTTCCTGCCACATTTCTTGGCTAGAATTGTGTTACATTACAGATATAAGTGACAGCCTTGGGCTGCCATAACAAAATACCACGGCTGGGTGGCTTAACAACAGAAATTTATTTTCTCACAGCTCTGGAGGCTAGAAGTCCACAATCAAGCTGTCATCAGGTTTGGTTTCTCCTGAGGCCTCTCTTTGGCTTGCAGATGGCCGCCTTCCCACCATGTCCTCACATGGCCCTTCCTCTGGGCACGTGCGTCCCACCCTGCTGTCTCTCTCTCCTCTTGTAAGGACACCAGTCACACTGGATTAGGGCCCCACCCCATGACCTCATTTAACCTTCATTACCTCCTTAAAGGTCCTATTTCCAAATATAGTCACACTGGGGGTTAGGGCTTCAACATATGAATGAGGGGGACACAATTCAGTCCATAACAGGGGCCAAGATGTCAGAACACCTGGATTCGCCTGGGCCCTGTGCATGGTGCAGACCCCAGTATGCCCAGACCCTTGAAGAATGTTAAAGCACCTGATGGCTGTTTATCACGTCACATACACTGGTACAATTCTGGAAAGGGGAAAAAAATTGGGGGTGAACTACAGAAGATATTATGAGAAAAGAGACCCTACTGACACAAACTTCTAACAAAGAATTCCTCCTTCAAGTGAAGGTTGAGCTGTGTCCTGGCCCTCGTCTAGGGCCGAAGGCCCAGGCTCCGGGATTCACGCAGAGGTGATGCTCACAGGTTAAGGGATGCCAAAGCCCACGTACCACGGCATTTCTGCATGGGCTCTTCAGAGTCTCCCCAGTTCAGTCTGGCTGAGAGTGAGGTAGGACCTGGCCCTGAGAAAGGAGAGCTCAGCTCAGGCTTCATGCTCACACCAGCTTGGGCCCCCCTTCACACTTGGTGCTTTCCCTTCCTCCCCACCTGTTCCAGTGTAGTGAAGAGACTCAAACATGTCCCTCCTTCACAGGAAGGTACTTTCCTCTGCCAAATCCAACTTTACTTGCCCATTTGACCTCCTGGAACAAACCATTGACCTGATGAGTCTTATAATTAAATATCTGACTCTTGAGTCAGTTTAACTTGGTGCTTTAAAAGAAGTTATAAAAACTACTGGGCCAGGCACGGTGGCTCACGCCCGTCATCCCAGCACTTTGGGAGGCCGAGCCAGGCGGATCACCTGAGGTCAGGATTTCGAGACCAGCCTGGCCAACGTGGTGAAACCCCGTCTCTACTAAGAATACAAAAATTAGCCAGGCATGGTGGCAGGCACCTGTAAATCCCAGCTACTTGGGAGGCTGAGACAGGAGAATCACTTGAACCCAGGAGGCGGAGGTTGCAGTGAGCCAAGATCATGCCATTGCACTCCAGCCTGCGTGACAAGAGTGAAACTCCATCCCAAAAAAAAAAAACAAAACAAAAAACAAAACAAACAAACAAAAACAAACTACTGCTGGCCATTAGGAGGCCTAGGGCTACAGCAGACCCAGGAACTGATAAGTGCAGGAGACAAAGGCAGCCCCTCTCCTCCCCTCTCCTCCTCCTCCACTGGAAGAAAGGAAACAGGTTGCTTGATTTGCAGACCCAGCCCCCAGCCACTTGACCAGGCCTAGTTCCATGGCCTTCAATGACCTCATGCAGAAAATGGGGGGTGTCAGCTACTTCCAGCAGATCCAAGTCACCCTGGTGGTCCTCCCAGTGCTCCTCCTGTGTTTGCACACCACTCTGCAAAACTTCACTGCCACTGCCTCTCCCCACCCAACCCCTGCTGCCCCCACCTGCCAACGCCAACCTCAGCAAGGACAGGTGGCTGGAGGCTTGGCTGCCCCAAGACTGGCAGGTGTGGCCTCAGTCCTGCCTCCACTTCACCTCCTCCCAGTGGGGACCACCTTTTCCTAATGACACAGATGCCAACAACATGGGGCCACAGAGCCCTGCACCAATGGCTGGATTTATGACAACAGCACTTTCCCAATGACCACTGTGACTGAAATGAGGATAGCTGGGCCCTCTGCCCCCTTCCAACCCCTGTGCCCTCATCTTACCATCCCACCTACAGACGCAGACTGTGCAACCTTGACCCAACTTTGTCTGAATTTGGGAAGACCCTGGAGCTTCGAAAAGTTTTACCCAGAACGGAGCTAGGGAGCTTCCTGGCAGAGAAGACATGGAGTCCTTGCATAGAGCTGCTCCCTGCCTCCCAGCCCCCACCAGAGAGAGACACTGCTACAGGAATTGAATGGTCTACTTCATTTTCTCAAAATGTCAAAAAACCCTGAGGGATAAAACAATCCCATAAGGTGAAGAGGTGATACAGAGAAAGGGAGAGAGGAGGAGTGCAGGTGGTGAGGGCAAAGGGGACATTCCTGAGCAGGGAATTCTGGACTCAGAGTCTTAGAAACAGAAACAGTTTGCTGACTTCATCTAGAAATAGATCTTAGCAGCTGGGGCCAGGAGATGGAGAGCAGCCAAGGAACTAAGACGGGAAAGAGAAGATGGTTATGGGGCGGGGTTGGCGGGGGGAGGGTCCTTTCATCTCTAGTGATTTAATGCCCCTCCCCGTAAACATACACACACACACACACGTGCAATTGTAGTCACCCTGGCCTGCTGAGTGGTTCATCAGGCTGCATTCTGTACTTAGTAGCTGTCACATTGATCATGTTCTTAACATCTGTTCTAGTCAATGGTCTTTTGGTCATAAAGAAGAGAAACCCCGTCGAATCAGCTCTTGGGAAAAGAGGGCATGACTGCAAGGATACAGAGATTACAGGGAATTCAAGAACAGGAAACAAAGTGTGTTCAGGCCTCAGGGAAACTGAAACCAGGAAATGGAGCACGAGAGGCATCTCTGTACACTGACTCCATTCCTCTCTCCTACTTAAATCCATTTCATCTGTGTGCTCTTCTTAAGGGATGACTACCAGTCCCAGCTCTGATTCATTATTTCTCAGATTTAGAGCCCATCAGCAACCAGAAGATTTCTCTGTATCTTAATTCACATTCCTAGAACAGGCTCTGATTGGCTTAGTGCCTCATATTGATGCGCCTCCCCCTCCCCACTTAAGTCAGGTGTCCACACTTCACCTTATCAGTGTGCCAACGGGGAGTGCAGTGAGATTTTGCCGGCCCATTGTCCATTAGTCACAGCCGTGCAAAGAAAAGATGCCCTTGGTTGGGTGCAGTGGGTCACACCTGTAATCCCAGCACTTTGAGAGGCCGAGGCAGGCGGATCACCTGAGGTCGGGAGTTCGAGACCAGCCTGACCAACATGGAGAAACCCCATCTCTACTAAAAATATAAAATTAGCCAGGCGTGGTGGCGCATGCCTGTAATCCCAGCTACTCGGGAGGCAGAAGCAGGAGAATCACTTGAACCCAGGAGGCGGAGGTTGCAGTGAGCCGAGATCGCACCATTGCACTAGAGCCTAGGCAACAAGAGCGAAACTTCGTCCCAAAAAAAAGAAGAAAGAGGCTGGGCGCGGTGGCTCACGCCTGTAATCCCAGCACTTTCGGAGGCCGAGGCGGTTGGATCACGAGGTCAGGAGATTAAGACCATCCTGGCTAACACGGTGAAACCCCGTCTCTACTAAAAATACAAAAAATTAGCCGGGTGTGGTGGCAGGCGCCTGTAGTCCCAGCTACTCGGGAGGCTGAGGCAGGAGAATGGTGTGAACCCAGGAGGCCGAGCTTGCAGTGAGCCGAGATCGCGCCACTGCACTCCAGCCTGGGAGAAAGAGCGAGACTCCGTCTCAAAAAAAAAAAAAGAAGAAAGAAAAGATTCCCTGAGAAGGGCTGCAGTCAGGCATAGCCCCACCAAACCTGCCTCATGCAGCAACTCTCTGAAACTGGTAAAAGTAGTTAAGCAATATTCCTACTAGAAAGACCCAAGACACAGAAGCAGAAGGTAACCAATATGGCTAGTCTTCCTCTGATGCATGTAGGCATCATATGCAATCCCCTCCATGCATAGTTATGGACACTTTCTTCATTATTTGCTAGCCTCAACCCAAGTTCTTAGATATCCTTGTCCACCACCTTAACTTGTATGTTATCCTCCCAATTCAGCTTCCCTATTTCGCTTCTGAAACTCTACTCTCTGTGTTCCAAAGCCAACAATACTCCAGGAACTATCAACCTACCTGTTGCTCTTCTGTTCAAAACAGCAGGCAGTTCCATCCAAAAGCCTAGATTCCTTGCTGTCCAGAGAACCTGGGTGAGTGAGCATCTTGGATTTCCTTCTAAATGGGGACTCGGTAGTAATCTCCTTACCATCAGGTTATCTCAATAGGCACTGTGGATGGGACCATCATCCACTACCACATATGGGCATGGGGCACTAAAAGGCCTATTTTATGAGCACAGCCAAGATGCCTCTTCCTTGGGCCAATAATGTCAAAGCCTATGGCTGCATCAGGAGAACATCTCATTAGGAGGATGGTTAGCTTGCATGCATAACCTAAGGTGAAGCTGGATTGTTAAGCAAATGAAATGGCTCATAAGCCAACAGGGGTTACTTAAGAACAAGACATTCAGGCTGGGCACAGTGGCTCACACCTATAATCCTAGCACTTTGGGAGGCCAAGGCGGGTGAACTGCCTGGGCTCAGGAGTTCGAGACCAGCCTGGGCAACATGGTGAAACCCTGTCTCTACTAAAATACAAAAAATTAGCCTGGTGTGGCGGTGTGTGCCTGTAATCCCAGCTACTCGGGAGGCTGAGGCAGGAGAATCACTTGAACCTGGGAGGCAGAGGTTGCAGTGAGCCAAGATCGCACCATTGCACTCCAGCCTGGGCAACTATAGCAAGACTCCATCTCAACCAAAAAAAAAAGACATTTTATCATTTCATTGCAATGAAGACACCCCTGCCCCAAGGCAATGTGGCTATAACTGGTAAGCACAATACAGGTAGGTCACCAGAGAAAGACAAGCCCCAGGATGCCCCTCAGGAGGAACTCCTGAAGAACCCAGTCTCCCAAAGGGATACTTCAGCACTCTGAATGCAAAGCAAAAAATTAATAAATATACATGCAGGTCATGGGTTTTAATAAAAAGGCTAGCCAGGTGTAATGGCTTACTTACATAATCCCAGCACTCCGGGAGGTTGAGGTGGGAGGATCGCTTGAGCCCAGGAGTTTGAGACCAGCCTGAGCAACATAGTGAGACTCTATCTCTATTAAAAAAAAAAAAATTAATTAGCTGAGAGTGGTGGTTCATGCCTGTAGTCCTAGTTACTAGAGAGGCTGAAGTAGGAGGATTGCTTGAACCCAGAAGTTCAGGGCTGCAGTGAGCTTGTTACTACAGCAACGTCAGTTCTTGCCTCCTCAGAAGAATTCGACTGAGGGACACAAGGCAGAAGAGACCGAGGCAAGTTTTAGAGCAGGAGTGAAAGTTTTTTTTAAAGCCTTAGAGTAGGAATGAAAAGAAAATAAAACACACTTGGAAGAGGACCAAGCAGACACCTTGGAGGTCAAGTGTCCCCTTTGACATGGGACTTGGGGTCTTATATGCTGGCCTACTTCTGGCGTCTTGCATCCCTTTTCCAGTGGAATGCCCCCAGAAGTTTATATACCAGTTAAACTCCGCCATTTTGCCTCTTAATGCGCACGCTTGAACTCACTCGCCCAACTCCTGAGATCTTGTTGAGAAGCTGCCAATCACCAGTTACAGGTGTTTTTAATCTTTTGTGAAACTGCCTTTCCCTGGCGATAACTGCAACCAATTATTACTTTAGAGAGGCAGTGTGACAACTGCCTGATCATCACCTGATGGTCGCCTGACATTGCTGGTAGGGTGGGGGGACCCCTCTCCTGCCCCACTCATGCCTGGCTAGCTACCTACAGTAACAAGCTATGATCGTGCCACTGCATTCCAACCTGGGTGACAGAGATATCCTATCTCAAAACAACAACAGCAGCAACAACAAAACCCTGCCTGACCCCTCCTGTTATTTTATTTTGAATTAAATACCCTGGGTGATATGGTTTGGCTGTGTCCCCACTTAAATCTCACCTTGAATTGTAATAATCCCCATGTGGCAAGGGCAGGGCCAGGTGGAGATAATTGAATCATGGGGCAGTTCCCCCCCCATACTTTTTCTTATGGTAGTGAATAAGTCTCACGAGATCTGATGGTTTTATAAATGGGAGTTCCCCTGCACAAGCTAATTAAATTTTTTTTAAATAGAGATAGGGTCTCACTATGTTGCCCAGGCTGCCTGCTACCACGTAAGATATGGCTTTGCTCCTTCTTCACCTTCCACCATGATTGTGAGGCCTCCCCAGCCATGTGAAGCTGTGAGTCCATTAAACCTCTTTTTCTTTATAAATTACCCAGTCTCAAGTATGTCTTTATTAGCAGTGTGAGAACAGACTAATACACTGGGCAATAACTAGCGACATCTATCTGAACCTATATTCATTAGGACTCTTGTTTGCAAGTGGCTGTAATTCAATTCTAGCTAACTTGAGCATAAAGGGGTTGTGTAAAGGCTCCCATTACCAAAGCAAAGATGGATGATAGAGGTGAAGCTGGCTCTAGGGACACTGGGAACCAGGGTCATGTCATCAGAATTCTTGTGTGCTCTCATCTTTGCTTGTCTTTCCATGCTGGGCATGTCTGTTGTGCACGGGATCCTTCACACAGTGGCCACTTACCATTCTGGGCTCACCCCTAGTAACCTCGAAACCAGAGAGAGAAAATAAACGTTTCTATCTCCCACCTCCAACTTTGAAATATCTCCCACCTCCAACTTTGAAACACTGATTGGCTGGCCTGAGTCATGTGCCTACACATTAGTCCAATGACTGTAGGGCAGGGGGCGTGAGTTATTATGAATGACCCAGCCTAAGTCTCCTGTTCACTCCCGCATTGCAGATGGATAACAAGCACCATTTCACCTCTCTGCTTCCTGGTTCCACTGTCATTTGTTTTCTCTTTTCCTCCTTTTCTTTCCTCTGAGGCCAGTCTCATAGCATCTGTCACTGATCACCGCCTTTATCAAGTTAGCAGTGCAGGGCTGCCCTGGGCAGTAATTCTCAGTCTCCCTCAAATCCACCACTGTCTCTTCTTAGGTTTTGGTTCCTGTTAGCGATAAAGTAATTCTCTATACTTGAGGCCCAGGAATACACAGAAATATGAGATCCTCAGGGGTTTCAGGTGTACATGAAGAGAACTCAAATGGTGAAAACCATAATAACCCGAAGGTGGTACAAGCCCCCATGCAACTATTGCTTTTGCAGATGAGAAGCACCTTAGAGCAAACCAGAGGTTGAGAGATTCTTGCTAAGTAATTTTTATGCATCAGTCAATTGTTAATCTGGACTACATGTAGAATTTCATTGTTAAACTGCATATAGATTTTTCTTTGCACTCCTCTGACTTCTTGCCTCTTTCCTACATTCTCTTGCTTCTTATCTTCTCATTCCTCAGTTCCTGTCCAGGCTGTCCTCATCCCACTCACCATGACGTGTCCCACAGGCATCTCCACAGCCATACTCCATTCATGTATTTCTATTAAAGTGCTGTCAAATCAACTCCCAGTTTTCTTTGATATTACCCCAGAATCTCTTTCAAATAAAAGTTATGTGGCCGGGCACGGTGGCTCACCCCTATAATCCCAACACTTTGGGAGGCCGAAGTGGCTGGATCACCTGAGGTCAGGAGTTTGAGATCAGCCTGGCCAACATGGCAAAACTCCGTCTCTACTAAAAGTACAAAAATTAGCCAGGCATGGTGGCAAGCACCTGTAATCCCAGCTACTTGGGAGGCTGAGGCAGGAGAATCACTTGAACCAAGGAGATAGAGGTTGCAGTGAGCCAAGACCACGCCATTGCACTCCAGCCTGGGCAACAAGAGTGAAACTCCATCTCAAAATAGCAGTTATGAGAATAAAGTAGGGAAAAAGGCCATTCCTGTTTGGAGAAGGTGTTCAAATGCCAGTATCTCAAATTTTACATCATGTGATATTTGCATCCACAAGATACTAAAAATACCACAGTAATAATTACATTCACAAATAAGGATTTCTTGCCGACAAAATCAACATTATCAAGTAACTATGCTTGAAGGATGAATTCATTTGGATATATATTAACACATTTTAGAGCCATGCCCTAATCATTCTGGTCATTCCAGTCCCTTTTCCTTTTTTCTGTTAACAAAAGAAATGACAGTTTAAAAATCCATTCAAAAATCCATATATTTAATACAAAAATGAGTTCTTAATTTTAAAGAAAATGCCACAACTATTTGTCATTTTAACTTAATTTTAATGGTACCTCCTTCAGCACTATGGATTTTCTACAGGGTATGGAGCTGTTTTACTCCAGTTACAAAGGAAGTACTTTCAAATCAAGAATTTTTTCTTATCTTAATTTAAAAGAACAACAAAATTATTCATCAATAAAAAGAAATGGGGGCCGGGTGTGGTGGCTCACACCTGTAATCCCAGCACTTTGGGAGGCCTAGGTGGGCAGATCACCTGAGGTCGGGAGTTCAAGACCAGCCTGACCAACTTGGAGAAACCCTGTCTCTACTAAAAGTACAAAATTAGCCAGGTGTAGTGGTGCATGCCTGTAATCCCAGCTACTCAGGAAGCTGAGGCAGGAGAATCGCTTGAACCCGGGAGGTGAAGGTTGCGGTGTGTCAAGATCACACCATTTTACTCCAGCCTGGGCAACAAAAGCAAAACTCCGTCTAAAAAAAAAAAAAAAAAAAGAAAAGAAAAGAAAAAAAAAAGAAATGAGCTATCAAGCCATGAAAAATCTTGAGGGAAACTTAAATGTACATCACCAAGTGAAAAAAGCCAATCTGAAAAGGCTATAGCCTGCATGGGTCCAAGTATATGACATTTTGCTTTTTTGTTGTTTTCAGGGGGGCAGGAGTTGTTTGTTTTGAGACAGGGTCTCACTCTCTCCCCTAGGCTGGCATGCAGTAGGACGATAATAGCTCACCGTAACCTCAAACTCCCAGGCTCAAATGATCCTCCTGCCTCAGCTTCCCAAGTAGCTAGCACTACAAGCATGCACCACCACACCTGGCTAATTTTTTTTTCACTTTTTGTAGAGATGCGATCTCACTATGCTGCCCAGGCTGGTCTCAAACTCTTGGAGTCAAGCCATCCTCCCACCTCAGCCTCCCAAAGTGCTAGGATTACAAATGTGAGCCCCTACACCAGGCCCAACTGAAAAAGGCAAAACTATGGAGACAGTAAAAGGGTCAGTGATCACCAGAGTTCAGAGGGGACAAAGAGACAAATAGAACACAGAGGATTTTGTAGGGCAGTGAAACTACTGTATGATACTGTGATGGTGGATACATGTCATTATTCATTTGTCAAAACATGTAGAATGGGCGGGGTGCAGTGGCTCACGCCTGTAATCCCAGCGCTTTGGAAGGCCAAAGCGGGTGGATCACAAGGTCAGGAGTTCGAGACCAGCCTGGTCAACAAGGTGAAATCCCATCTCTACTAAAAATACAAAAATTAGCCGGGAGTGGTGGCACGCACCTGTAGTCCCAGCTGCCCGGGAGGCTGAAGCAGGAGAATTGCTTGAGATATATATATATATATACATATATATATATATATATATATATATATATATATACACACACATATATATATATATATACACATATATATATATATATACACACATATATATATATGTATATATATACACATATATATATACATACATATATACACACATATATATATACATACATATATACACACATATATATACATACATATATACACACATATATATATACATACATATATATATACACACATACATACATATATATATATACATACATACATATATGTATGTATGTGTGTGTGTGTATATATATATATATATATATATATATATATATATATATAATGTACAACACCAGGAGTGAACCCTAATGTAAACTCTGGACTTAGAGTTCAATGTATTCATCAGTTGTAACAAATACCACTCTGGTAGGGGTGTTGATAATGGAGGAGTGTGTGTATGTAGGGACAGGGAATATATTAGAAATCTCTGTAACTTCCACCCAATTTTGCTGTGAACCTGAAACTGCTCTAAAAAATAAAATCTACTTTAAGAAAGAACAACAGACTGGGTGCGGTGGCTCACGCCTGTAATCCCAGCACTTTGGGAGGCTGAGATGGGTGGATCACTTGACATCAGGACTTCAAGACCAGCCTAGCCAACATGGTGAAACCCCGTCTCTACTAAAAATACAAATATTCGCCAGGCATGGTGGCGTGCACCTGTAGTCCCAGCTACTCAGGAGGCTGAGGCAGGAGAATCGCTTGAACCCGGGAGGCGGAGGTTGCAGTGAGCTGAGATCATGCCACGGCACTCCAATCTGGGCAACAGAGCAAGCTGTCTCAAAAAAAAAAAAAAAAAAGAACAAGAAAATTTACGTTATTGGTTTAGTGCCAATTGTTGTTTATTCAGGGTTACAGATAACCATAACTCTCAAATATGCTTATGCAAAAATGAAAAGTTAATGGAAGGATGCAAGAGTATTTCACAGAACACGGGGTCAGGAATTTGAGCCCAGCCTTGTGAAGGACTAAGACCACTCAACTTGACTCTCCATCTACCCTCTGGCACTGACTGAATCCTGGTCCTGACTTCTCTCTAACTGGATTACTTCATTTTACCCTCCCCTCTCACCATGACCTCCTCTTCCTCCTCCTCCCTCTCTCCTGTTTTCTCAACTCTACTTTCACATTGGCCCAAACTTTGGGTCCCACTCCAACGTTGGGTGTCCTTACAAATCCCACTTCTCTGAGCCATATTTCCTTTTTTTTTTTTTTTTTGACACGGAGTCTTGCTTTGTCTCCCAGGTTAGAGTGCAGTGGCACGATCTTGGCTCACTGCAACCTCCACCTCCTGGGTTCAAGCGATTCTCCTGTCTCAGCCTCCCAAGTAGCTGGGATTACAGGTGCCCACCACCATGTCTGGCTAATTTTTGTATTTTTAGTAGAGACGGTGTTTCATCATGTTGGCCAGGCTGGTCTCAAACTCCTGATCTTAGATGATCCGCCTGCCTTGACCTCCCAAAGTGCTGGGATTACAGGAGTGAGCCACCGCGCCTGGCCCATATTTCCAAATTCATAATATAGACTCTCGTTAGCTCAGTCTAGCCCTGGGGTCAGGTGTCCTCAGTTGTGTTGGGAAGAGACAGGCTCAGGAGGTAAAATAAGACTTCAGGAGGCCCGAGGAGGATGAGGGGTTAGTGCTCAGAATAGGAGAATACACTGAGCAGGCAGCCCAAAAGCCATCTTTTCCATACTGTAAAATAACTTGGCCAGGCTCAGTGGCTCATGCCTATAATCCTAACACTTTGGGAGGCCAAGGTGGGTGGATCACTTAAATAATCCAGTTGTAAGTGAGCTGTGGTCCCAGCTACTCAGGAGGTTGAAGTGGAGGATCACTTGAGCCTGGGAGGCAGAGGTTACGGTGAGCTGAGATCGCACCACTGCACTCTAGCCTGGGCAACAGAGTCAGACCCTGGAAAAAAAAAAGAAAAGAAAAGAAGAAAGAAAGGAAAGAAAAGAAAAGAAAGAAAATAGTAACTTGAATAATTCTCACCAGGAAATAATGAGAAAGATTGTGAAGCAGGGGAGGAAGCCGCTCCTTATGTGCTAATCCCAATGTAAGATCCTCCTCCCCACCAGGAGAGACAGATTATTTTCCCCAGGCCTTGTGTGGGTGCCCATCATGCCTGGCCAAGCCTGCCTGAGGTCTCCCAAGAAGACAGTGGCAATCCTTGGATTAGAACCCAGGACTCCTGGCCAGGTGTGGTGGCTCATGCCTGTAATCCCAGCAATTTGGGAGGCTGAGGCAGATGGATCACTTGAGCTCAGGAGTTCCAGACCAGCCTGGCCAACATGACAAAACCCTGTCTCTACTAAAAACACACACACAAAAAATTAGCTGGATGTCGTGGCTCGCACCTGTAGTCCCAGCTACTTGGGAGGCTGAGGTGGGAGGATGGCTTAAGCCTGGGAGTCAGAGGTTGCAGTGAGCCAAGATCACGGCACTGCACTCCAGCCTGAGCAACAGAGGAAGACCCTGTCAAAAAAAAAAAAAAAAAAAGGAACCCAGGACTCCCAATTCCCACCCCAGAATTTTTTCCATCCCTCCAAGGTGCTTTCCTGCTCATCTGTGCCCTCCTCAAGCAGCCACACTCTGCCAACCCAGGCTGAAGTCATGCCTGCCCTGCTGCCATCCCCATCCACAGGTTTGTCATCCAATCTGCCCGCTAGCACTCCCTCGGTGGAAGGCTGGACCTCCCCCTGACGGCCCCACAGACAGTGGCCCAGATCAGTAAAAAGCAGGAAGTAGACACCAAGCTGAGTATGGAGGTGAGAACCCCGAGACCTGTGTGACACCCCTCCAGGGCTCTGCCTGCCCCCACCTTCACCCTAGAATCCAGCACATCATGCTTCCCAGGGCAGGGACTGAGGTAAAGGGCCCCTGGGGAAACCCAGGCCCTGAGCTCCATCTACCCAGGCAGGTGCTCCAAGCCAATCTGCAGAAGGCCATGACCACAGGCCAAGCCCATCACTCAGTGCTGCAGTTGTACGCTACCCTGCTGTTTGCTGCCTCTTCCTCTTCCTCTGTGTTTTGGGTTACATTTAGAAAGGCCTTCCTCTCCCCGTAAGTATAAAACTATTCGCCTAGATTTTCTTCAAGCACAAATGTATTTGTTTGAGCTTTCATGTTGTATCATAGTTTCATCTGAAATTTAGTTTAACATAGGGTAGGAAGTAGAATTCTATTTTTTTCTATTAGAAATTCTATTAGAATTATAGTAGAATTCTATTTTTTCTCCAGCCTGGGCAAAAAGAGTGAAACTCCATATCAAAAAAAAAAATGGATTAGTGGTTGCTTGGGATTGGGTAGGGGATAGAGATGAATGTTTGGGGATTGAAAGCTAAAGGATACCGATTTTCTGTTTGAGGGGATGAAAGTGTTCTAAAATTACCATGGTGATGGTTGTACATATCTATGAGTATACCAAATATCATTCGATTGTATACTCGAAATGGATGGCTTGTATGGTATGTGAATTACATATAAATAAGGCTGTTACAAAATAAAGTGTTCACTGTTATTTGAAATTCAAAAATATTAAATTCATCAGCATAGACTTGTTCATAGATTTTTTCTGCATCTTTTTAATGACTCTGCGTCTTTAGTTCTGTTTCTTTTTTATTCATAATATTTGCTTATGTCCTCTATCCTTCATTTTTTGATTATTGTTACCGAAGATTTGTCCATTTCATTGATATTATTAAAGACTAACTTTTTGTTTTGTTGAGCTTCTATATTGTATCTTAGTTTTCCATTTAATTTATTTATGGTATTATCGTTATTGTTGATATTGTTGTTGTTGTTTTACAACTAAGGTAAATTGTCCCAAATGAACTTAATGAATAGTCCCACCTTTCCTGGCTGGTGTGAAACACCACGCTTATCACATACTATTTCTGGACTATTTCATCCCATTGATTTGTCTGTCTATTCTGGTGCCAATAGTGTTCTGTTTAATTCTTAATTATAGTGTGGCGCATAAATGATTGTCTTCTTGTGGACAGCTTCTCACTGTGCCCTTCACCAGGGCTGAGGCAGGACACAGAACACATCACATCTCAGAGCAAAGCTTCCCCACAAAGTGTCACTAAACATTGTCGATTTTTCCAAGACTCCATGGGGAGATAAAGGAGATGCTTATATCACATACCACACAGCATAAAAAACTTAATAGGCATTTCTGTCCTCCTTCAAATCCTTCCTTGGCTAACAGCTGTACATGCTTCCTCCCTCTCCTGACTCTTCTCCCATTTAATCTCTGAGGTCTCCTCCACTGTCCTAAAAATTCATGTCTAGCTGTAAACTTGTATTCGTCACTCAGCAAAGCAAAACTCCTGCCGTTAAATAAATCTTTACTTCTTAGAATTTATCAGTTCATCAGATCAGTTGTTACTTGAGCTATCCAGTGGGGAGGGACAGACACACGCACACACACACATACACACACAAAACTTCCCAGTACAATCAACTTATAAATGCAAGCATCCACCAAAAGCTGATCTCTTAGGTCGGGGAATTAGGAGGGGAAAAGGGAGACCTATTGCTAAGCAAAAAATATTATTTTTTCCCAGATAATTTTTTTGGGGGGACAGTCTCCCTCTGTTACCCAGGCTGGAGTACAATCAAGCAATTTCAGCTCACTGTGGCTTCTGCCTCCTGGACTCAAGTAATTCTCGTGTCTCACCCTCCTGAATGGCTGGGATTACAGGCATGTTCCACCATGCCCAGCTAATTTTCCCTTTTGTAGTTTTAGTAGAGACAGGGTTTTGCCATGTTGGCCAGGCTGGTCTTGAACTCCTGGCCTCAAGCAGTCCACCTGCCTCAGCCTCCCAAAGTGCTGGGAGTACAGGCATTAGCCACCACACCTGCCCTTTCCCAGATAATTTTTAAATGTTACCTAATTTCTGGCCAGGTGCCGTGGCTCGTGCCTCTAATTCCAGCATTTTGGGAGGCCAAGAAAGGCAGATCACTTGAGCTCAGGAGTTTGAGACCAGCGTGGCCAGCATGGTGAAACCCTGTCTCTACTAAAAATACAAAAATCAGCCAGGCACAGTGGCACACACCTGTAATTCTAGCTACTCAGAAGGCTGAGGCAAGAGAATCACTTGAACCCGGGAGGCGGAGGTTGCAGTGAGCCGAGATCGTGCCACTGCACTCCAGCCTGGGTAACAGAGTGAGACGGTCTCAATAAAGAAACAAATGAATAGAATTAAGGGAAGATTTTCTTATCTGCAATTGAAAGATTAAAAACTCCACTCACACACAGCACAGGGCTAATGTAAGGTCTAAAGGAGAGAAGAGATGTGAGAGTAGTTTGCCAGCTGCAATTGCTATGTAGATGTGTCATGGCTCCTACCCAGAGTACATCCTCTCTGCTCCTGCCCCAGGTCTGTAATAGTCTTCAGCTCCTGCCCCAGGTCTGTAATCGTCTTCAGCTCCTACAGTTCAGTCATAAGTCTGCAAAGTTTGGAAATCAATATCTACCTGATCCAAGTATTCTTTGCAACTGTGAATCCACTATTTTATTTGCTGGGCTTTTTGGTCACCAGATTTCTGGGCCGCAGGCCTACCCAAATGGCCTCCTTGCTGCTTTCAGAGATCTATATTCTGGCTTGTGCAATGGTGCTCCTGAGTAAGCATCTGCCGCACCTCTGCTCCTGTCCTAATTCTTTCCCAGACCCAGACCCAAATCTGCCCCAGGCCAGCTACCTAGAAGGGTGGAAAAGACCCAAGATTCCTTCAAACTTTTCCTAGCACCTTGCCATCATCTTTGTTCCCTTCCATATCAGTTATTCCTCTGCATTACAACGGTCATGTTAAGAAAAGACTATGCTACTGGATCTACGAACTGCATCTTCATCTATGCAAGAGAACTATGCCTATAATAATATAGTGAGTGAGGTTTTGGGGAGGGATCCTGGGATAGGACAATCAGGCCCTAGAGCAGATTTCAAGTTGGAAAGGGCACAAAGGTCAATCAACTATTTTTTAAGGCAAGAAAAGAGGACAAAAACATGAAAATCAAGGTAAATAAAAGACAAAAGGTAAGATGGTATCAATAACTCCAAACATCTCAGTCACCGCAATAAATGTAAATGAATTAAATTTACCAATTCAACGGCAAAGATACTCCAGGTAACATTTTTTTTAAATCTAGTTCATGCGGCCGGGCGCAGTGGCTCATGCCTGTAATCCCAACACTTTGGGAGGCCAAGGCGGGCGGATCACGAGATCAGGAGATCAAGACCATCCTGGCTAACACAGTGAAACCCCGTCTCTACTAAAAACATACAAAAAAAAATTAGCCGGGCATGATGGCAGGCTCCTGTAGTCCCAGCTACTCGGGAGGCTGAGGCAGGAGAATGGTGTGAACCCGGGAGGCGGAGCTTGCAGTGAGCGGAGATCGTGCCACTGCACTCCAGCCCAGGCAACACAGCGAGACTCCGTCTCAAAAAAAAAAAAAAAAAAAATCTAGTTCATGCTATTTACAAGAAACTCATCTAAAGTTTTGTATATATAAATGTTAAATGTAGAGAGATGGAAAAAGATATAGCAGACAAATATTAACCAGAAGAAAGCTGATTAGCCACACTAATAGTAGTCCAAATAAACTTTAAGACCAAAAAAAAGATGCAATGGTTAAGAATCTGGCTCTGGAGCCAAAGTTTTTGGTCCAAATGCTCAGTTACCTTAGTTGTAAAACAACAACATCAACAATAACAATAATACCATAAATAAATTAAATAGAAAACTAAGATATAATATAGAAGCTCAACAAAACAAAAAGTTGGTCTTTAATAATATCAATGAAATGGACAAATCTTGGGTAACAATAATCAAAAAATGAAGGATAGAGGACATAAGCAAATATTATGAATAAAAAAACAGAACTAAAGACTTAGAGTCATTAAAAAGATGCAAAAAATCTATGAACAAGTCTATGCTGATGAATTTAATATTTTTGAATTTCAAATAACAGTGAATAATTTATTTCATAACAGCTTTATTTATGTGTAATTCACATACCATACAAGTTATCCATTTCGAGTATACAATTGAATGGTATTTAGTATGCTCATAGATATGTACAACTGTCACCACAGTAAATTTTAGAACACTTTCATCCCCTCAAACAGAAAATCTGTATCCTTTAGTTTTCAATCCCCAAACATTCATCTCTATCCCCTACCCAATCCTAAGCAACCAGTAATCCTTTTTTTTTTTTTTTTTTTTTTTTTTTTGATATGGAGTTTCACTCTTTTCGCCCAGGCTGGAGTGCAATGGCATGATCTGAGCTCACTGCAACCTCCGCCTCCTGGGTTCAAGCGATTCCCCTGCCTCAGCCTCCCAAGTAGCTGGGATACAGGCACCTGCCACCATGCCTGGCTAATTTTGTATTTTTAGTAGAGACGGGGTTTCACCATGTTGGCCAGGCTGGTCTCGAACTCCTGACCTCAGGTGATCCATCCACCTCAGCCTCCCAAAGTGCTGGGATTACAGGCATGAGCCACCGTGCCTGGCCCCACTAACCCATTTTCTATCTCTATAGATTTGTCTTTTTTGGACATTTCATATAAATGGAATCATATACTATGTAGTCTTTTATGACTGGCCTCTTTTAGCATAATGTTTCAAAGTTCATTCATGTTGTAGCATGTATCAGTACTTCATTCAATTTTATAACTGAGTAATATTCCATTATGTGGAAATACCAATTTTGTTCATCCATTTATCAGTTGATAAACATCTGAGCTGTTTATACCTTTTAGCTATTATAAATAATGCTGCTATGAACATTTCTGTACACGTTTTTGCATAGGCATATGTTTTCATTTCTCTTAGGTATAGATTGAAGTGAAATTACTGAGTCCATTGGGTAACAGTATCTTTAACTTTTTGAGAAACTGCCAGACTGTTTTCCAAAGTGGCTACCCACAATCAGCATGTATGAGGGTTCTATATCCTGACCAACACTCATTACTATCTGATGTTTTTATTATAGCCATTCCTAGTGGGTGTGAGGTAGTATTTTTTTCTTCTAATTTTTATTTCAGGTTTGGGGGTTCATGTGCAGGTTTGCTATATAGGTAAATTGCATGGCACTGGGGTTTGGTGTACAAATGATTTTGTCACCCGGATAGTGAGCACAGTACCTGATAGGGTCGAATTTTTTTTTTTTCTTTTTTGAGATGGAGTCTTGCTCTGTTGCCCAGTCTGGAGTGCAGTGGCACGATCTCAGCTCACTGTAACCTCTGCCTCCTGGGTTCAAGCAATTCTCCTACCTCAGCCTCCTGAGTAGCTGGGATTACAGGTGCACACCACCACACCCAGCTAATTTTTGTATTTTTAGTAGAGACGGGGTTTTGCCATGTTTGCCAGGCTTGTCTTAAACTCCTGACCTCAGGTGATCTGCGCACCTCAGCCTTCCAAAGTGCTGGGATTACAGGCGTGAGCCACCACACCCGGCCTATAAATTCAATGCAATTCTGATCAAAATCCCATTGGCCATACTCAAGAAACTGGCTAAGCAAATTCTAAAATTTACATAAAAGTGCTAAGGGCCAAGTGGAACTAAGATGCTCTTTTTAGAAAGAACAAGGAAGAAAAAATTGCCCTACCAGAAGTTAGTACATATTATAAACTCTTACTTTATCACTGTAGTGATTAAGACAGTAGATGATGGTGCAGGAAAAACAAAATAGGCCAGTGGAGAAGATCAAACCCAAAAACAGACCCACACATAGAAGAAACTTGAGGCCAGGCGCTGTGGCTCACGCCTGTAATCCCAGCACTTTGGGAGGCCAAGGTGGGTGGATCACAAGGTCAGGAGTTCGAGAACAGCCTGGCCAACATAGTGAAAACCCGTCTCTACTAAAAATACAAAAAAAAAAAAATTAGCTGGGCGTGGTGGTGGGCGCTTGTAATCGCAGCTACTCGGGAGGCTGAGGCAGGAGAATTGCTTGAACCTGGCAGGTGGAGGTGGCAGTGAGCTGAGATCAGATCAGCACTCCAGCCTGGGTGACAGAGCAGGACTCCATCTCAGAAAAAGATTAAAAAAAAAAAAAAAGGAACTTGGGAAGTGACAGAGGAGGCACTGCAGATCACTAGCTAAAACACGGGCTATTCAATAAGTAGTACCAGGATGTGTATTTACCCACATAGGAAAGAAATAAAATGCAATCCATATTCCAACCTTAAACACAAATGAATTCCTGCTGAAGGGAGGAGAATTTAAGACATAAAAAGTGGTAGCAAAAAAAAAAATTGATAAATTTTTCTACTTTAAAGTGTTTTAATTTGGGTCATCTGTTTTACTATATATAAGGTGAAAAGAGTAAAAGACAGAATTTCCAAGGATTTGTATTCAGAATTTATAAAGAATTTCTGGAAATTGATTAGAAAAAGGATTTCTATTTCCATTAAAATAACAAAATTACACCGAAAATCATCCCAAAAAAAGGTATATTTTTAAATAACCTTAAAAGCACCAAGGAGCTAGAAAGATAGTAAGGAAAAGATAACCTTAAAAGCACCAAAAAGCAGCCGGGCGTGGTGGCTCATGCCTGTAATCCCAGCACTTTGGGAGGCCGAGGTGGGCAGATCACAAGGTCAGGAGCTCGAGACCAGCCTGGCCAACATGGTGAAACCCCGTCTCTACTAAAAATACAAAAATTAGCTGGGTGTGGTGGCATGCGCCTGTAATCCCAGCTACTCAAGGCAGGAGAATCGCTTCAACCCGAGAAGTGGAGGTTGCAATGAGCCGAGATTGCACCACTATACTCCAGCCTGGGTGACAGAGCAAGACTCCATCTCAAAAAAAAAAAAAAAAAAAAAAAAAAAAAGCACCAAAGAGCTAGAAAGATAGTAAGGAAAATGGGGCCGGGTGTGGCAGGTCACACCTGTAATGCCTTTGGGAGGCAGAGGTGGGCAAACTGCTTGAGCCCAGGAGTTCAAGACCAACATGGCGAAAACCCATCTCTACAAAAAATACAGAAATTAGCTAGGTGTGATGGCATGTGGCTGTAGTCCCAGCTACTCAGGAAGTTGAGGAGCGAAGGATCACTTGACCCCAGAAGGTTGAGGCTGCAGTGAACCAAGATCATGCCACTGTACTCCAGCTGGAGCAACAGAGTGAAACTTTGTCTCAGAAAAAAAAAAAAAGAAAGAAGATAGTAAGGAAAATCTAGGCCAATCATCTAAGGAAAAGTGCAAACCCAGAGAGGTAAGCAGAGCATCTGAACACAAAACCAAACACTATATATAATGAGAAAATGTATATGCATTCTCTTCAGCATCAGAATCAACTATTTAACACAGTATTCGGGGGCCTGACCAATACCACTCTAGTAGGAAAGAAAAAGATATAAGAAAATTAAAAATTAAAAAAGAAAAGTTAAAAATCTCATTACTTAGAATATGTTCTAAAAATCTCATTACTTGGAATATGTTCATCTACCTAGATAAATGAACAAAATCAACAAACAATTAAAACTAATAAGAGAGTTCTGCAAGGATGCTAGATACAAAATCAAATTACCAAAATATCAATAGCAATAGCTTAGAATCAATAATCTAGAAAATATTGTTTTGAAAAGTAAGACACCACTCAGAATAGCACCAAAAGATATATCTCATTAGGGAATTAACAAAGGACACCCTGTTAAATTTGTTTGCAGCTTTTCTTGATGCAAGAAGAAACAGAATTGAGAAGAGAGCTTGGAGATAGACATGTAAATATGTAAATTTGATTATATCAAAAAGGATTTCTGCTTACTGAAGGACACAATGGACAAATTTAACAGATAGATGACAGATTGAGAGGAGAGATTTGCAACTCTTTTTTTTTTTTTTTTTTTTTTTCGAGACAAGGTCTGGCTCTATTGCCCAGGGTGGAGTGTAGTGGTGCAATCTCGGCTCACGGCAACTTCCACCACCCGGGCTCAAGCCATCCTCCCACCTCTGCCTCCTGAGTAGCTGGGACTATAGGCGCTTACCACCACGCCCAGCTAATTTTTGTATTTTTTGTAGAGACAGGGTTTTGCCATGCTGCCCAGGCTGGTCTCAAACTCGTGAGCTCAAACGATCCACCCGTCTTGGCCTCCTGAAGTGCTGAGATTACAGGTATGAGCCTCTGCGCCTTTAACACTGACAAGACTCCTTCGACAAGAAAAAGAAAGGAACACTAGTAGTAGACACATGGGCAAAGAAAATGAATAGACATTTTACAGAGAAAGAAATCCAGAAGATTAATCACCACGTGAAAAATGAGATAGTGGCTGGGTGCGGTGGCTCACGCCTGTAATCCCGGCACTTTAGGAGGCTGAGGCGGGCGAATCACGAGGTCAAGAGATTGAGACCATCCTGGCCAACATAGTGAAACCGCATCTCTACTAAAAATACAAAAATTAGCTGGGCATGGTGGCACATGCCTGTAGTCCCAGCTACACAGGAGGCTGAGGCAGGAGAATCGCCTGAACCCGGGAGGCAGAGGTTGCAGTGAACCGAGATCGCACGACTGCACTCCAGCCTGGTGACAAAGCAAGACTCCATCTCAAAAAAAAAAAGAAAAAGAAAAAGAAAAATGAGATAGCACTTTACAGCCATTAAACTGGCAGCATTAGAAAGCCAGGTAATGGCAGGTGTTACAGGCCATGTTAGAATACAGGACCCCTATATCCTCACGTCTCAAATGCACTGCTGGTGGGAGTGAAATTGGTACCACCATTCTGGAAAGCAATTGGCAGCATTCACACCCACGAACACACACACACACACACACACACACACACACACACACCAGTAATTCCCTTCTTGGGCCTGTATCTCAGAGAACTTCTCACAAAGGCCCTTATGGAGACGTGTACAAGGACATTCACTGCAGTATTGTTTGAGGTCATGGGTGTTGGCAACAATCTAGATCCCCATAGCCGGGGGAATGAGTGTTTAGGTAAAATGTGGAGACCGGCACACCATGGCATAGTATGCAGCAGCAGGTAAACACCATAAAATCTCTTTAAAACAAAGTGCTGAATGGAATGAAAAATAGAATAAGATCTATTGCCTATACCACTTAGGCAAATTAAAATATTTGCACACAAAACAATATACATTTTTTTTTTGAGACGGAGTCTTGCTGGTTGCCCAGGCTGGAGTGCAGTAGCGTGATCTCGGTTCACTGCAACCTCTGCCCCCCAGGTTCAAGTGATTCTCCTGCCTCAGCCTCCTGAGTAGCTGGGATTACAGGCACACACCACCATACCCAGCTAATTTTTGTATTTTTAGTAGAGACGGGGTTTCACCATGTTAGCCAGGCTGGTCTCGAACTCCTGACCTCAAGTGTTCCGCCCATCTCGGCCTCCCAAAGTGCTGGGATTACAGGCATGAGCCACCGAGCCCAGCCAACAGTACACATTTTACAAGAACATATACAAATAAAAGAGTGCACATCAAACACAAGACACTAGTTGACTTTGGCAGGAAGGGAATTAGAAGTGGGTAATGGTGATAAAGGGGAATAAACATTAAAGGGTAAAACAAGGGGCCATTGCAAAGACAAAAATAGAGGGTCATGAAATGAGGAGTATGATTAATTCAACCCTCTGCACCTGACGTTAAAAGAGAACTGCAGAGAAGGAACCATCAGATAGCTAGTTTAGATAAAATGATCAGAGCAATCAGGAAAGTCTCCTCAGTAAAGATCAAAAGTAAAAACCAAGTTAAAGATCAAGTCTGGGCTGGGCACGGTGGCTGACATCTGTAATCCCAGCACTTTGGGAGGCCGAGACAGGCAGATCACTTCAGTCCAGGAGTTTGAGACCAGCCCGGCCAACATGTCAAAACCCCGTCTCTACTAAAAATACGAAAATTAGCCAGGCATGGCGGCGGGTGCCTGTAATCCCAGCTACATGGGAGGCTGAGGCAGGGAGAATTGCTTGAACCCAGGAGGTGCAGGTTGCAGTGAGCCGAGATCGCACCACTGCACTCCAGCCTGGGTGACAGAGCAAGCCGTCGACTCCCAAAAAAAAAGACCAAGTCTGATGGTTTTAATGTGTAAACAAAGGGACAGGGCACAAGATAAGAGAAGAGGCAGGCAGAGACCAGTCATATAAGGACTTATAAGAAGGTCAGATTGGCCGGGCGTGGTGGCTTATGCCTGTAATCCCAGCACTTTGGGAGGCTGAGGTGGGTGGATCACTTGAGGTCAGGAGTTCAAGACCAGCCTGACCAGTATGGTGAAACCCTGTCTCTACTAAAAATACAAAAATTGGCTGGGCATGGGGGCTCACGCCTGTAATCCCAGCACTTTGGGAGGCCAAGGCGGGCAGATCACGAGGTCAGGAGATCGAGACCATCCTGGCTAACACGGTGAAACCCCATCTCTACTAAAAATACAAAAAAAAATTAGCCAGGCGTAGTGGTGGGCACCTATAGTCCCAGCTACTCAGGAGGCTGAGGCAGGAGAATGGTGTGAACCCAGAAGGCGGAGCTTGCAGTGAGCTGAGATCACACCACTGCACTCCAGCCTGGGCAACAGAGCGAGACTTCATCTCAAAAAAAAAAAAAAAAATTAGCCAGGCATGGTGGCGCATGCCTGTAATCCCAGCTACTCGGGAGGCTGAGGCAGGAGAATTGCATGAACCCAGGAGATGGAGGTTGCAGTGAGCCAAGATCACACCACTGCACTCCAACCTGGGTGACAAAGCAAGACTCCATCTCAAAAAAAAAAAAAAGAAGGTCAGATTGTATTCTAGTAATACAATGGGACATCACTGGATGGTTTTAAGCAGAGGGTGAAATGATCTGAATTATGGTTTTAATTTTTAAGAGAACACTTTGGCTTCTGCATAGAGAATGGGGTGGGGCCAGGGAGTCAGGGTCAAGGCCAACAGTAGAAATGGGAAGAACTGTCAGGAGGCTACTGCAATAGTACAGGCAAGAGGTGAAAATCACTTGAAGTGACATGTTTGTGTTAGTTGATTTTCATGCTGCTGATAAAGACATAGCCAAGACTGGGCAATTTACAAAAGAAAGAGGTTTAATGGACTTACAGTTACACATGGCTGGGGAGGCCTCATAATCATCGTGGAAGGCAAGGAAGAGCAAGTCATGTCTTACATGGATGACAGCAGTCAAAAAGAGAGCTTGTGCAGGGAAACTCATGTTTTTAAAACCATCAGATCTGGTAAGGCTTATTCACTCTCATAAAGACAGCACAGGAAAGACCCGCCCCCATGATTCAATTACCTCCCACTGGGTTCCTCCCATGACACATGGGAATTATGAGAGTTACAATTCAAGATGAGATTTGGGTGGGGACATACCCAAACCATATCAGTGGTGGACAGAGGTTGTAGAGATAGAGAGAAGGGAACTAACCCTGTGTGAGTTTGGGAGGAACAGCTATCCAAATTTCTATTTTGGATGTAGAAAAATAAGGGAACAGGAGGCATCAAGGATAATTCCTAGATACTTGAGCTTGAGCAAGTAGGTGGTTAGAAGTGCCATTTACTAAGATGGGGAAGTCTGGGGGAGGAGCAAGCTTGGAGGAAGAAATAAAGAGTTCCTTGACCATATAAAATTTGAGAGGCCTTTTAGACATCCAAATGAAGATGTAGAGTAGCTTGATATGTAGCCTGGAGCTGGAGAGACAGGTTGGTTGAGAATTTGTTCACAGTCACACAGTAAATTCAGATTAGAACTGGAACCTAGACTTCTCAGGTCCAAAATCATTTGCTCCCCCTTTCGTTTTAGCTAAATTAAATGCAATCATTTGACCCTGTAGCAAATGTGAAAAGAGGAAGCCAGGGTGGCAGGCAGTGTAAGGGCACCCACAAGTCCCACGGTCCTCACCAAGGTGCTCCTCCTTCCCATAGGCAGAGGGGTCTGAGCATGACAACAACTGTGACCAATGGTGGCACCATCCTAAGCCTACTGGTGGACATGGCTGCTGAGTTCTACCCTTCTCTGCCTCTATTTATCTATAGTGTGGTCCCTGTGGCTGCCAGTATCATCACTGTCCTCCTGCCAGAGACCCTTGGCCAGCCACTGCCCAACATGGTGAAAAGGTGAAGGACCTGGAGAGAAGGTGGGCTGCACCCTCCCCCAAGCTTCTTTTGTCATAAAAGGCCAGACCACAGGAGAGCAGGGACTTAGCCAGGGTCATGCAGCTGGTCCCTGATGGAGTCAAGGCTGAAATCCAGGCCCCCTGAATCCTATTCTCACACATTGGCTGAGTCCCAGGAAACCTCCCTGAGACTCTCAGCTCTTGGAAATAGTGGGTGGCTTTGGATATAAAGTAGGACAACTGAGCACAGACACCTAAAAAGAAACCCCCAACTCTACTCCTGAACGCTGCTTCTCCTTCCCTCCCAGGTGGAAAGAGAAACTGGGGCAGCAGCAACAGGAACAGCAGATGGTCCCACTCCAAGCCTCCTGAGGACTGAGAAGGAGCAGAGGGTGGAGAGGAGGAGCCCTGTATCTCTTGGATATCCATGCCAGGAGGTGGATGCAGAAATGGCAGCCAGTAGAGGGCAGGGCCTGTAAGGTCTCAGAGAAATGCTTCCCATGGGCCCTACACTCCTGGCCAGACCCACCCAAGACCACTTTATTAAAAGTAACTATGGAGCCAGGCCTCTAGTCCCAGCTACTTGGGAGGCTGAGACAGGAGGATCTCTTGGGCCCAGGAGTTCTAAGCACTATGCTGATGGGGTGTCTGCACTAAGCTCGGCATGATGACCTCCTCCAAGCAGGGGACCACCAGGTTGCCTAAGGAGGGATGAACTGCCCCAGGTCAGAAACAGAGCTGATCAGTAGTGGGATCACACCTGTGAACAGCCACTGCTCTCCAGCATGGGCAGCACAGCAAGACCCTGTCTCTTAAAAAAAAAAAAAAATGCACAATTTATCCCATTGTTCCCCTCCGGCCCATACATAGTGGCCACTTCACATTAGTCAACCTTTGGTTCAAAATGTCCTTCAGTGATTATCTATGTAGAAAATCCAGTGGAATCTACAAAAATACTGCTACAACTAAAACATGATTTTAGCAAGGTTGCAGGTTATAAGATCAATATAAAAAAGGAATTGTGGGCAGGCACGGTGGCTCACGCCTGTAATCCCAGCACTTTGGGAGGCTGAGGTGGGCAGATCATGAGGTCAGGAGTTCAAGACCAGCCTGGCCAATATGGTGAAACTCCATCTCTACTAAAAATACAAAAATTAGCGAGGCATGGTGGCTCACGCCTGTAGTCCCAGCTGCTCGGGAGGCTGAGGCAGAAGAATCGCTTGAACCCAGGAGGCAAAGGTTGCAGTGAGCCGAGATCACACCACTGCACTCCAGCTTGGGTGGCAGAGTGAGACTCCATCTCAAAAAAAACAAAACAAAAAGAATTGTGGCCAGGCGCAGTAGCTCATGCCTGTAATCCCAGCACTTTGGAAGGCCAAGGTGGATGAATCACCTGAGATCAGGAGTTCGAGACCAGCCTAGCCAACATGGTGAAACCCCGTCTCTACTAAAAATACAAAAATTAGCTGGGTGTGGTGGCGCATGCCTGTAATCCCAGCTACTCAGGAGGCCGAGGCACAAGAATCACTCGAACCCGGGAGGCGGAGGTTGTGGTGAGCCAAGATCACACCACTGCACTGCATCCTAGGCAACAGAGTGAGACTCCGTCTCAAAAAAAAAAAAAAATTGTGTTTCTATATACTAGCAATAAACAATCAGAAATTGAAATTTAAAAAACAATGCCATTTACAATAGCATCAAAAAATATAAGGAGACAGCAAAAAGATCAGTGGTTGCCAGGGGTTCAGAGGGAGAGGAGAGAGATGAGCAAGCCAGCACGAGGGATTTTTTAGGGCACTGAAACTATTCTTTATGGTACTATAATGGTAGATACATGACATTATACATATCAAAACCCTCAATAACCTATAAGGTAAGTAATAGCATTATCCTCAAGGTGAGGAAGGCTAGGAGATACACTTGAACCTGGAGAGTTGGCTTGGCAGAATTCAGGGATGTGTATACACACACACACACACACACACACACAGACACACACACACACCCCTTACTCCTTACCTTTCTTGCCATTTTCTCTGCTCCCTTAAAGGTTTTCTTTTGGTGATAGAGAAAAACGTTATGTGTCTTTGCTCCTCCTCCTCCCACTTCAGTCTTTCCTGGAAGGGTAAAAGGAACTAAAATGAAGGCAGCCAATAAGGAGGCTTTGTTTGAGGCTCTTCCCCTCCCTGAGGCAGGTGCAAACATCTGGAAACAGGAGGTAAGAAGAAAGGAGAGAAGAATGCAGAGGGAGGGGGCAATAGCCCCTCCTCCCTAGGCCAGATCCTGGCTGCAGGAGCAGTTTGCCACCTTACATCTGGGCCTTTGCCCAGGAAGTTCAACCCCCCAGCTAACCTTAGCTTTTCTGTTGCACTTTTGGACTTTTCTGTAGCACTTCTGGACTTTTCGGTAATCTGCCTCTAGAGAGCCCTAGGCTGGCAGTAGTGAGGCCCCAGAAGGAAAAACAGCCGGGAGAGTGCCTGAGGTCTGATCTCCTCCATCCTCCATCCTCAGGTCTTGCCTCCTCCCCAACCCCTCCCTGCCCTTCCTGGGCTGGTAGGAGCCAGTGCTGATGGCACTGGGGAGACCACATGAGCAGGATGAAGGACAGCCACGATGTGCAGTCCAGGACAGAACCCAGGATGCCCAGTGCCTGTTCTGCTGCTCACATCAGGAAGGACCTGAGGGTGCAGGCCATGAGGTGCTCTGGCAGGGACTGCAGAGTGGCCAGAGTGGGGTGGGATGCAAGCTGTGGCTGCCCAGCGCAACAGTTAACCATTCATCAGGTCCATCTGCCCACCCAAGGCCTGCTCTGGGCTAATGAGACCCTGCCCTGGTCCTAGGAGCCTGACTCCAGCCACATCCAGAGACAGGCATGCACTGTCCCAGCCCCAAGGAGAGGAGGAAGAGGGCTGGCATGACCCACACCTGGCCCTGCAGGGGAAGGGGGCAACCATGCTAAGGCTAACCCAACACACAGGTACTGGACAGGTGCTAGATTCAGTCTCCAGACCCACCCCGCTTCCTTGCCCTGATCCCATCTCCTAGCCTTGGCCTGACAACCCCCAATCTACCAGCCCAGCCTTCAGAACCTAAACGTGGCTCTGACCCACCCCCCAACCCCCCACCTCTCGGCCTTGGTGCTGCCCCTGAGACCCTATTGCCAGGGTCAATCTAGAGGCCTCATTCCCCCGGTCCTGCCTCAGCTGAGAATGCAAGGATCTGAACGGCCTTCTCTCTCAGCTTCTCCACCTGCTGCAGGTGGCTTCCTGATCGGATGGCTGATTCAGGGCAGTCCTCAACGTGAGCCAGGTGAGTGCCCTTTCCTCCACGTGGCCCCACCCCTGTCCCTGATGCCCCGCCCTTCCCTGGTTTTTAACTGCCTCTCAGCCAAACTTGCACCACCACCAAGCACAGAGTTTCTGTCCATTACCTCACCAAGACTCGCTAATACAGGCGGGGCGCGGTGCCTCACGCCTGTAATCCCAGCACTTTGGGAAGCCGAGGTGGGTGGATCACGGGGTCAGAAGATCGAGACCATCCTGGCTAACATGGTGAAACCCCATCTCTACTAAAAATATAAAAAATTAGCCAGGCATGGTGGCGGGCACCTGTAGTCCCAGCTACTCGGGAGGCTGAGGCAGGAGAATGGCATGAACCCGGGAGGCGGAGCTTGCAGTGAGCCAAGATCACACCACTGTACTCCAGCCTGGGAGACAGAGCAAGACTCAGTCTCAAAGAAAAAAAAGACTCGCTATTACAATTTCACACACCAGAAACGTCTTGTCCAGCCCACTGCCATCCCCTGGGCCAGGCTTCTCCACCTAATTTCTTCCTGGCCCATTGTTTGGTGTCCCTGTCCAGTCCATCCTCCCATGACCCCAGAAGGATCTTGAGTCACTGGCCTGCCATCTAGGGCCAAGACTAGCGTAGAGTGAGTGAAGCAGTGAAGCAATGGACTTACCTCTCCTGTCTGAGCCCTGCATGATCCAGTCTCTTTTTTTTGAGTCGGAGTTTCGCTCTTTCACCCAGGCTGGAGCCAAGTGGCACCATCTCGGCTCACTGCAACCTCTGCCCCCGCTCCCCCCACACCCAGGGTTCAAGCAATCCTCCTGCCTCAGCCTCCTGAGTAGCTGGGATTACAGGCACCTGCCACCACGCCCAGCTGATTCTTTTCTATTTTTAGTAGAGATGGGGTTTCACCATGTTGGCCAAGCTGGTCTCAAACTCCTGACTTTGTATCTGCCCACCGCAGCCTCCCAAAGTGCTGGGATTACAGGCATGAGCCACCACGCCTGGCCCTGATCCAGTCTTTAATTGAAAGTTTGATATTTTATTCATCATGAACTTTTGCATTAATTTTGATTTTTAAAATACTACATTAAAATATTATTCATCATAATTGTTGAGTTTTTTAGCACCCTCTTAAATTTGCACCTCACCCCACCCTAGTCCCAACCCTGCCCTGCACACATACCTTCCTCGGCTGCCCACTGCTTAAGGGACATTCAGTGACTTTTATGAATGGCTAGGGCCAGGCTCTCTGGGCTCCTCTCTATGTGCCCACTGCCCCAACTCCCAAACCTTTGCATGATCTCTATCATAATCTTTATCTTGTAGAATCCTGATGGTTTGTTTACTATTACCTAGCCAAAGATAACACTAGCACAAAGTCCTTGAGGCAGGAAAGTGCTTGGTAGGTTCTTGGAACCGCAAGGCCAGTGTGGCTGGGGCAGAGCAGTGAGGAGTCAGTGGTAGGAAACGAGGCTCAGGAGGAAGCAGGAGCTGCTCCTGTGGGAACTGACGCTTTATTCTGAGAAAGCTGGAGAGTCGTTAGAGCATTTTGAACAGAGGAGAGACATGATGTAACTTACATATCAAAAGGGCCTGAGACAGTAATCCAGGTGAGAGACAACACTAGCAAAATCACAGTGGTTGCACTCCGGATGTATTTAAGGAAAAGACAAGAGGATTTTCTAATGGATTAGATTTGGCATGTGAGAGAAAGAACAGAGTCAAGGGTGACTCCAAGGTTTTTGGCCTGAGCTACTGAAAGGACAGGGTTGCCACCTGCTGAGATGGGCAAGGCTGCGGATAGAGCATGTTTGGGGTTTGGGATGAGTCATGACTGAGATGATTCTACACATCCAAATGGAGCTGGCAGGCAGCACTAATGACAGTGGTAATAATAAGCATAGCTCCAGCCGTAGAGCTCACTCTGAGCCAAGCATTTTTCTAACACTTTCCACGTCTAAACTCATTTAATCCTCATCATGGCCCTAGGATGTAGAGCTATTATGATTCCCATTTTACAGATGAGGAAATATTGGATAGACAAGACTGGTGTTCAGAAGAGAGCCTGGGCTAGACATATACATTTGGGAGTCATCAGTGTGTGGGTGGCATAAGCTCACCTGGAAAGTGGGTATGAAGGTCCAAAGACTGAGCCCAGACGGGCGTGGTGGCTCACACTTGTAATCCCAGCACTTTGGGAGCCTGAGGCGGGTGGATCACCTGAGGTCAGGAGTTCAAGACCAGCCTGGCCAACATGGCAAAACCCCATCTCTACTAAAAATACAAAAATTAGCCAGGTGTGGTGGTGCATGCCTGTAATCCCAGCTACTCAGGAAGCTGAGGCAGGAAGAATTGCTTGAACCCGGGAGGTGGAGGTTGCAGTGAGCAGAGATCATGCCACTGTACTCCAGCCTGGGCGACAGAGCAAGACTTCGACTCAAAAAAAAAAAAAATGCTGAGCCCAGACACTCCAAAGTTCAGAGCAGGATGGTGAGGAACATCAGCAAAGGAGAATGTGGAACAACAGCCAGGGGAGTAGGAAGAGACCCAAGACGGGGTGTCCCCAGAGGCTGAGCACAGCAAGGATTTCTAGAAGGAGGAGGTGCTGAAGAAAAAGCATTTTGGAAACTGCACATTGAGATCATGATATGAGGAGACAATTTTGGGTTGGGCACTGGCCACTAACATCTGGAAACTGGAGGCAAGAAGAAAAAAGAGAAGAACACAGAGGCAGGGGCAATAGCCCCTCCTCCCTAGGAGGGAGCCTTTGGCAAATTACAGGGCCTCAGCTTCCCCATCTGTAAAATGGTTCTTTAGAGATTCCCCAGCTAGGACACCCTGTGGCAGGCCCTATCCTCAGCACCATCTCAGGACTGAACCAAGCTGAACCAGGCTTACCACCCCCATCCCTCTCCTGTCTTCTCCTTACCCTGCCCTTGGCCCCAACCCCCGCCTCCCACCATTTATCTCATTAGCATTTTCTGTTCATAATCTGTAATTTTGCCTCTAAGGGGTTCCCTTACCTTGAACCAGGCTTGGGGGTTGGAGGCAGTGTTACTCTAAATAGTTGTCCTCAACTCCTGAGATTCACCCCTCACTCAGCCAGGGTGCTCAATTGCTCTCCTCTGGCCCAGGCCCCTGGCTCAGGCCCAAAAACCAAGTCGGTTGCAGCTGCAGCTGGAGAGAGGAAAGAGGCTGCCTATTAACCCCCTAGAACCCAGAATCTCAGAAACTGCTCTGGAGAGGAAGGCTGGACGCCACGGGTGGGCAGTGGGACTAGGGCTTGGAGCTGCAGATTAAGGTGCAGGAGCCTGGAGCTGGGAACCAGGAGACTTGGGGCTAGAGGCCTCATGTAGGGGATAGGGAATGAGGTCTGTTGATTGAGGGCTAAAGAGGGAGGCTTGAAGCTGAGCCTAGGAAATTTGGGACTAGGGCCTGGGATTAGGAACCAGAAAACCACATACTGGGGCTGAGGGTAGCTGTCACACTGACCCTACCAGAAGAGCCCAGACAGTGCCCCTCAGGTCCTCTGGGAACTGGAAAGGACCAGGGAAGGGGCAGCGGGATGAAGTTGAGCCCTCTAGGGGGCTGAGCCAGGGAGGTCATATGAAGCCGGGCACAGGAAGGGCTCCCTAAAGAGAGTACAGTAAGGGATCCAGAGGTGGGCAGTGTCCGGGAAAGGCTGGGGCTAGGGAAAAGAATCCTTCAAGGGGGCAGGAGTAGAGGCCGAATGGGTGACGGGTGGTGCCTAAAACTATCACATCAGAGCTGGAGGTTTTCTAGATAAGCCAGTCCAGAGTGACCCACCTGTGTTCCTCAGAAGCCAGTCCTACGAGACGCTCCATGTAAAAAAAGATCCTGTGGAGAAATAAGTTTGGGAAATGCTGATCGTTCTCTTTGCCTCTCAGAGACTCTCAACACATGTTTGCCATTTATTTGCTCGGAGAGGTTCCTGCAGTAAAGAAAGCCTAATTAATTTCCCATTTCATCACAGAGGACTTTTTAAAAAAATAAATAAATAACATCCACTAACTTCCACAAAATAGACTGAGGAACACTGGGCTAGCCTGAGTTCCCATTTTACTTTCAGAGAAACTGAAGCTCAGAGAACGGAGGGATCTGCCAGGCCACAGAACAGAGTCAAGCCCCAGGTGTCCCATCTTCAAGGAACATCAGAGCTGGGAGAGCCCACTGAGGCTACCAGGTCCGACTTTGCCTCCATCTCCACTCCAAGTACAGAATAGACTGAGGGTGAGAGAGAGGCCATGACTCCTTCTACAAGGCGCTAGACAGGGCCCCGCGACTTGACTCAGTCTGGCGCCCTGACATACCACACAACCTCCAAAACCAGATCACCCTTCCTGGGCAGGCCTGCACCCTCTGCATAGGGCCAGCGTCTACTGACCATCCTTCTACCTTCCCTCACCTTTTTATCCTGTTCCTGGGAAATGCATGGGCTCCACTGTGCCCTAATACCTTTCCCAAAATCATTTTGTCTCCCCAACAAGCTCATAAGCCCCATGGTTTCTGGGCCCTGGTTTCTCCTGTTCCCTTCCCAGTGTTGAACACAGTGCTGGGCATAGACTCCAGTCTGAACCCTTAGGATGGAGCTTCATTACCAATCTGGAGGAGGCAGGACATGCTATGGGCTGCACTGTGTGGTTTTTAAACTAGTGAAACTCTGGTGACCTGTCCCCTGAATGCAGGGCAAGGGAACAAAGGGTCCCCATAAGGAGGGCTACAGCTGGGGCTGGGCTTTTATTCATGTGTTCCTTCAGGCTAGGCTGTTATAACAAGAAAACTAGAGCAGAATGGGCATGTGCTCAAGAGAGAAGTCGTTCACGCCTGGGGGAAAGACACAGGGATACAAGTGAGGAGGCTTGGGCCCAAACAGAGTTGTCCCCCACCATCCAAACCCCAGACGGACACAGCCCTGCTTCTCCCTCTCTCCCTGCATTGCTACCATTTCCTGTTGAGAGGTTGCCCTTTGGGAAAAGCCTTCCTTCCTCCTTCCTTCATTCCTTCCTTCCTTGGACAAGGTCTGGAGCTGAGACACGCCCAGCCCCACTATCTCTGTGGAAAGGGGGCGGGGGCAAGTAGGACAGGGAAGGTTGTCTACATGCACCCTATACCCTCTGGCCGGGCACTGCTCATTCTCGGTCTCCTCGAGGGGCTTCTTGCAAACCCCCAAGATCCCCAGGGAGCGGAAACTCTAGGCGGCAGGCCCCTCTCCCTGCCCTGGCCTCCAGCTGCAGAGCTCAGGTCCTAACTCGATTGTGCACCGTTAATCACTGCGTGTGCCTGCCGGCAGAGTAAACAGGTGGCCTCAGAGATCCTCTCATTCTCATCAATCTCTGCCCCCGTCAGACCTCCGTCAGCAATGGGACTGGCAAGAGGCGCCAAGGGGGCGGGGAAGGGGGGCTGTGGGGCCAAGGTCATGTCAGGTCCTAACAAAAAGGCTGATTGCCCCACAGTGGGAGCCAGAAGAGGAGAAGGAGGCAGGAGATGATGTGGATACATCGCCATTGACATTTGGGGAATCTTTAGGATAGGGGCAAAAGCAATGATTGGAAGTCAACTAGTCTGGCTCTGGCATGTACTAGCTGTGTGACCTTGGACAGGTTACAGAACCTCTTGGTGCCTCGGTTTCTTCATCTGTAAAATAGGAATAATAATTCTACCTGCTTCGTCAAGTTATTACGAAAATTAAATGAGTTAAAACGTAAAACACTGAGAGGGTGACAGCACATTGCTGGTGCTATGCAAGTGTTTGTTAATATAATGGGACCACAAAATGAAGCACTGCAGGAGACATCGATTTAGCAATTTCCCAGGAAACTCCCTCTTACAGATAGCAGACAGTGTTCTCAGGCTCCAAGCTGGGGGCAAAACCTGCAAACTGGGAAGGGGTTAAGAGGGCAGATTGTTACCTAACCTCCCTTCGTGGGGCAGTCGTGAAGATTAAATGAGAAAGTGCACGCAAAGATGTTATGAATGCGGTAGCCAGGAGCAAGCCCTCAATAAAGGGCAGCCAGCTCCTATCGCCTTCCTAGCGTTAGCTCTGCACAACCCCTTACCCACCCCGCGCCAACAAAAGGCCTGCACTGGGGCATGAAGGGGATATAAGTGCTGTTATTCCTCTCCCTGAGAAAGAGAGTGGGCGCTTGGCACCGGGCCCCCCTCCCAGCCCAGGCACTCTAGCCCGTCGCCCGGCCCCTCCTAGGTACGGAGCTGGGTGGGCCCCTAGGGGCCGCGGCAGGGGCGCGGAGGGTCATGGGCGTCACCGAAGCGGCCCCGGGCGGCGGTGACTGAGGTGGAGAACCCCTGCGAGCCAATAAACAAAGGGTAGGGTAAAGGGCAGCCCCCGACCCACCGACGTACTTGCGGCGCCTGCCTAGGGGTGAGGGTCTCGCGAAGACGCGAGTACATTTGACACTGAGGGGACATTTAGGATCGCGGCAAAAGCAATGATTGGAATTCTACTGGCCTGACTCTGGCACCTACTAGCTGTGTGACCTTGGACAGGTTACTGAACCTCTCGGTGCGTACTTGCGGCGCCTGCAAGTGTCTCAGGAGAGGAACCGGGCTGAGGCTCCACTCCCCCGGCGCCTTCCCACCCACCCTTCGTCATCGTGGGCTTCAAGCTTTGGCCTCCGCCTCGGGGGGTGGTGGGGGGGAGACTCGAGGACTCGGCGTCCAGGGAACTGGGAGAGGAAGCCAGCAAGGGAAGGAAGGGTGAAACTTCGCCGGGCTGGGAGCACGGGGACCCTGAAATCCGCACTGCCTCACCCGGGTCACGACCCTGGACGAGCGGATTCCACTGTACAGAGTTGGGGGTTGCCTTGAGACCTGGACCTGTTCTGACCCCAAATTCCCGTCCGAAGCTCCGCCGGGCTCCAGCAGTTTCACGTGGGACCTACACCCGCCTGGGCCCGGGCGCGTACACCCTGTGGCGGAAAGCTGAGGAGCCCAATGTCCGCAGACCCAGCGAAGCAGGGTCGACGCCGTGAATCAGGTGTTTCGAGAAGCGAGGGGCGCGAGCTTCCATAGTGCGGGGGAAGGTGCCTGCTTCCTGCGTCGGGGCCGCACTTTCACGGTACATCCAACTCCAAGGCGGCAACCAGTGGCCTGGACTTCCAGGTTGTGTCCTCATAGGCGGGGACAGAGGACGCTTAGGGATGCCCTGTGGGAACGCAGCTCCTCTCCACGGCCCGGTCCAGCGGGGAGTCCGAAACGCCACGTTGCGTTATCTCAGTTCCCAGCATTCACTACCCCTGGCAGGACCCCGGGCGCCGAGTCAACTCAGCGGAGTCTCCGGCCGGGCTATAAGGACCCGGGAACGGCAGGAAAACACGCGAGGCGCCGCTTTCGCGACCGCCCCAAACCCATCTTTTCTTCGGGAACTGCCCGCAAGACTTGGGGCTGGGGAGTGGAGCTGCTTCTCCGCACTCCCACTGCCCTCCGGAGCCCAGCACGTAGCCGGGCAGGAAAGGTGAAGCGTCTACAAGGCCTCAATTTCGAAACCGGACTCGGAAAATCCCGATTTCCTGTCCCAATAAGATGCCTTTATTGTGGCCGCGTCCGCTCTCGCCTCGGACGGCGGGGACTCTGGGGGCCCCTTACTGGGCCTGCTCTATACGCAGCCCCGCCCTGGATTTGAGTTTCTTGTTTTACATCTGGGAATTAGTCTCTCCAGGAGTCCTGGCGGGAGGGAGTGGGGGGAGAGAGGAAGTTGAGGACCTAAGGCCATTGAAGGTGAAGATGCGAGGAGGGGCGCCCTTAGGCCGACCCGCTGCCTCCCACCCGGACTCAGAATGTGTGCCCCAGGACAGAGGAAGCGGCACTGTAAAAGTGGCACATTTAGCTGGGTTTGAGTTTCTGACACGGATTAAAACCAAGGGCGGAGACTTACACTCCGGGTCTGCAGCGCACTCCCGGAGCCTGCTCATTCATTCCTCCACCCACCTGCGGCCTTGCCGGACCCTGGGAATCTTAAAAATGCTGTCCCACAGTCCCTGCCGTCTCTGGAACTGCAGCAGGTGCTCAGCCCCAGGATGGCTCCAGGCGCACTGACCTCATCCTCCATGAAACCACAGGGACCCACGCCTCTTGTAAATCTACTCATCTGTAAAATGGGAATAATGGAACCTCCCTCATAGAGTTGTGAAAGTAAATTAAAGAATATAGGCCGGGCGCTGTGGCTCACGCGTGTAATCCCAGCACTTTGGGAGGCCGAGGCGGGTGGATCAGGAGGTCAGCATATCAAGACTATCCTGGCTAACAAGGTGAAACCCCGTCTCTACTAAAAATACAAAAAATTAGCAGGGCGTGGTGGCATGCGCCCGTGGTCCCAGCTACTCGGGAGGCTGAGGCGGGAGAGTCGCTTGAACCCGGGAGGCAGAGGTTGCAGTGAGCCGAGATCGCACCACTGCACTCCAGCCTGGAGGAAAGAGCGAGACTCCGTCTCAAAAAAAACAATAAAATAAAATAAAATAATAAGAATATAGAGGCCGGGCGGATGCGGTGACTCACGCCTGTAATCCCAGCACTTTGGGAGGCCAAGGTGGGTGGATTATTTGAGGTCAGGAGTTCGAGACCAGCCTGGCCAACATAGCGAAACCCCGTCTCTACTAAAAATACAAAAATTAGCTGGGCGGTAGTGGCGCGCGCCTGTAATCCCATCTACTCGGGAGGCTGAGGCAGGAGAATCCCTTGAGCCTGGGAGGCGGAGGTTGCCGGTAAGCCGAGATCACGCCACTGTACTACAGCTTGGGCGACAGAGTGAGACCCTGTCTCACAAATATATATATATATATATATATATATATATATATAGAGAGAGAGAGAGAGAGAGAGAGAGAGAGAGAGAGAGAGCACTTAGCAGTTCCTGACACATAGTAAGTGCTCAATAAGTGTTATAAAAAAGAACTGCCGGACGCGGTGGCTCAGTAATCCCAGCACTTTAGAAAGCTGAGGGGGGCGGAGGCGGGCGGATCACTTCAGCTCAGGAGTTCAAGACCAGCCTGGCCAACATGGTGAAACCCTGTCAATAAAAAATTTAAAAAAAAAAAAAAAAAAAAAAAAAGCCAGTGGGGTGGCGCGCGCCTGTAGTCCCAGCTACTCAGAGTGGGTGAGGGGGTAGGGCTGCGGTGGGAGGATCGCTTGAGCCCGGCAGGCAATTGCAGTGAGCTCTGATCGCGCCACTGCACTCCAGCTTGGCCAAGAGACCGAAACCCTGTATTAAAAAAAAAAAAAAAAACCGCAGTGATGGCTTTCACTTTTTGCAGACGCACGTGCCACGTTTTACCTGCAGAAGCTCAACTAACCCGTCAAACAGCCTGGTCGGGGAGGTATTTCTACCCTTCTTGTCACTGATGAAGAAACTGAGACCTAGAGAGGGGGCCTAGCTTGCTCAGGCCGCTTCAACTAGAAAAAGGCCAAGCTGAATTCGCATTCAGGGCACTCTCCTCTTGCACAGTAAGGGGGCCGAGACTGGGGCCGAGCCGCGCAAGGGCGACTCCACGTTCCCTTGGTGGCCTGGAGGACTGAATTCTCGACCAGGCGACCAAAAATAACAACCAGCAGGAGCCGAGACCCGAGAGTCAGACCCCACCCAACCCAGCCAGAAATGAGGGAGAACTGGAGGGGGTCGCGCGGGGGCGGGGCCAAAGCCCCACGTGCGCCGCCTGCAGCCGCTTCAAGAAGCCCTTTGTCGCGAGCAGCCGCGTTCGTGCCGCACTCGGAGGCTTAAAATAAAGACAATGTTCCCAGCCTCCCTGCGGCTAAATCGGGCGCGAGTGCGGGGGTGGTGAGCGAGCCGGGCGGGAGCGCTTCTCCAGGCCGTACCTCTCTTCTCCCCTCCTGCCTCAGTTTCCCCATCTGATAAGGGTGAGCTAGCCAAGTCTGGGCGGGGACGTCAGAAGAGTGATACAGTGGTGGGGGTGGCGGGGGGCGTCATCCCCCTGCGTCCGCGACTGCACAGACTTCAGAAGAAAGCCGCGTGGGACAGAGGGGGGCACTCAGGAGGAGGCAGGGGAAAGCTGGACACCCTCCCCACCCGCCCACAAAATAAGTGTTTTTATTTCTAAAGGGACGTGTGCAGAGGCGGTGGGAGAAGAGAAAAGGGAGACCAAGGAGACTGGGGGGAGGTGGCAAAGAGGGAGCCTGATTCAGATTCGGAAATGGATGTTGAGCGTGGAGGCCTAACACCCCCACACTCAGCCACGTGTACGCGCACAAGTACACGCAGCCCCACCGCGCCGCCCAAGCCGCAGCCGCAAACCCAGGGCAGCCCAGCAGGGGGCATCCCGAGTCCGCGCCCAAGGGTAGGGACTGGTCAAGTTCTGACCCAACCCTGACCGGCTGGGTGACCCTGGGATGGAAAGGGGATGCTCACTTAGATTTCTCTCCAAGCTGCAGCGTCTGCTTGACTTCAGCAGGGAGGAGGACTGGGTGCCTGCTGGAACCCCAGCTGGCTTTGAGAAGCACAGATGCCCCCACATGTACCTGCCACGTGTGCCCACCAGTAGCTGCTGACCAAACCCCAGGAACTCCAGTTTCAGCTCCACTTGGCTCCATTGGCCAACTGGGCTCCTGGGTGAGAAAGCCCCAGGTTACCCTCAGGCACCAGCATTGGCGGGGTTGTGGGGGCGGGGGGCGGCGCTTGGTGGGGAAATGAGTAGGGGAAACCCCTGCCCCAGACTCCAGAGCCCTGGGCTTAGAGCCAAGTGACCTGAGCCCAAACACCTGCCCACCACATGCTAATCATACCTCTGCTCTTCAGATTTCTCACCTACAAAATGGGGATAATTGATGCTCCCATTCCTTCCCACCTCTCACCCCAAGACTTCGACACAGCCCAGTGGGCAAAGAACACAGCAGCCCCAGAAGGCAGTCCCTGCAGCCTCCAACTCTCCTCCCCAGTCAGCTCCCGGGGAGGTCTCTAGGGCCAAACAGAGGCGGTGCAGGACCCACATCTCTAGGGCAAACGGCCCCCCAGGGGTTCTATCTCTGAGGAAGCTCAACACAGAAGTCCAGACCAGCCTGGCAGGGAGGGATGCTGGCCTCACCCAGTAGGGCTGAGGGAGATTGGGAGGAGGGCTCATCTCCTCCCAGGTACACACCTGTGAGCCCTGAGTGGGAGTCAGGGGAGACAGAGCTTGACAAGCTGGGAGGAGAGCTGTCTGTCTGCCTGTCTGTCTTCCAAGTGGAAGCTTGGGGTGGAGCAGGCAGGTAGAGGCTGCCTCACTTGTCAGAATTAGCAAGTTCCACAGTTGGGCAACACTCAGCCACACATCAGATACAGACACACGTGTGCACACGCGTCCTGCCTCCAGACTGATAGGGTCACACCTGCACTTACACAGGCTGCATGGTGACATGAGTACACAGGGACACACATATGCAAGGCACTCAGCCGCACATGGGGCAGGCACCTGGCCCTCTACTCATCCCCGAAAAGCAGACACCCATATACCCTCACAACAGGCTATGCATAGCCCAATGCTAGCGCACACAGCCCAGCATGCGGGCACGTTCACTCAGCCCCCGGGCGGGTGCGCCAGCCCTCTGGGTCTGTTCCAAGTTGGAGCCTCTCACGTGAGGCCCAATGTGTCATTTCCAAACAGAAGGAATCTAGCTCTCTCACAGCAGGGAGGAAGAGCAGGGTGTGTAGTTGGGTGGGTGGGTGCGTGGGCATGTGCAGGGGGGAGGGCGTGTGTGCGAGGGAAGCAGGCATGTGAATACCAGGGCATGTGTGTTGGGGCATGGTGCACAGGGGCTGGGGGCTCTAAGGTTGGGTGGGGGGAGGAGCCCAAGGAAACAGTGTGCCTTTGTGAGGGTGTGTGTGCCGCCGGGTCTGTGCAGTGGGTGTGGGTGTTTGTCTCCCTGTATCCGCCTTCTCTCCCGTCCGGGACTTTTAGCCTTCCTGGGCTCGCCTTCCTCATGTCCTTTCTCCTCCCTCTTGGGGCTCAAATTGGGTGCCCTGGTGAAGGAGGGGGGCACACTCCAGAACCTAGTCCAACCCCAGACGCTGCCTGAGGCTTCCCTCCAGCTCCCCTCCCTTCCTTTTCTCCCTTTCCTCCCTCCCTCTCTTTCCCTTTCTCCCTCCCCGCTAAGGCTGGCGTGCCAGGGGGTGGGACATGCCAATCACTGGCTGTGCCTCTCCCGCTGCCAGCACAGGGCGCAGCTCCCCCTGGGAGCCAGGTGTTTGGGTCCCTGGAGACGCCGCAGGCCCCCAGGGAGGCAGTGGGGCTGAGGACCCTACAGACCCCTCTTCAGCCCCGTGGTGAGTACATTTGGGAGGGCTTGGGAGGGGCTGCACTAAGGTAGAGGGTAGGAGGGTCCTGGGGAGCGGGGGAGGGCAGGGATCAGGATGAGATGGAAATAGGGATGGACTCACAGAGATAGGAGGAGGCCAGGGAGGGGTCTAGAGGGCAAGGGGGCTCTGTAGCATTGAACACTGACTGCTCCAAACACTCGGCCTCCTGGCTTTGAGTGGATATAGCTGATGTTTTTCTGGGCTTCTGCTGGCAGAGGAGATGGAGATCCCCCTCAGGAAACTGGACCTGAGGCCCAGAAGGGATTAGGCTGCCTGGTAGCAAGCAGAACCCCCAACACCCTAGGGGCAGAGTGGGAAGGGCAAAGGGCCAGGAAGCAGCCCTTGCCACCAGCATCCTGTGGGAGGTTGACCCCCATCTTGATGGGGGTGCCAGTCCCAGAACCTCCTGTCCTCCCTCAGGGCACCCTGAAACCCACCACCCCCGTCCACCTCAGCTCCCCCAAGATGGACTGAATCAGGCTGCTGGCCAGATAGAGAAGCTAGAAGCCAAGGTGGGTGTCAGGCCAGAAGCCAGCAGGAGACCAGGCAAAGAGCCCCAGGGCTCTTTGGGGACAAATGGGCATGTGGGTGGCCACACTAGCCAGGGAAGGTGGCCCTGACGTGCGCAGGGGCCCAGAGGACCCTCCTTATGTTTCTAGTATCTTGGGCTCCCGCAGGGTGGGTCTCAGTCCTATATCCAGGCAATGCATGGATACCAATGGGCACCCACGCCAGGTACTCACCCCAGTGCCCGCAGACTGCACAACATGGGGATGGGCTAGGGGCCAGGAACTCTGATGCTTGTAGAGTTGTCAGCTCCTGGGCAGGCCAGCTGGGGAGGGGGTCGTCAGCTCTCATTAGGTCATCCAGACATGTGCAGCTTAGAGGTTATCAGAGCCAATGGAGAGGGGTTCACATCTTTGCACAAAACACACCTGCAGCTCCACCCAGACTGACCCAAGACCCCTGCCCAACTGGCTGGAAGGAGTCAGGCAGTCTCCAGTAGCCAGACAGTCTCCTTTCTCAGGGTAATCAGCTGTTCAGTGGGCTGTCAGATGAGAGTTCTCTGCCCTCTGACCTCAGCCACCAGGCAAGCTGCAGTCGCTATCGCGGCTGAGATATGAAAGGGAAGGAGATAGTGAAATGGGCTGCAGAAGATGTGGGTCTTGGCTCGCAGCTGACAGCTGGCGGTTGGAGTTCTGAGAACTGGATTCTGAAGTGTAATGGGGAGTCCAAAGTGTCAAGAAGGGGCTAACCAGAGGTCATGTCAGACCTAGAAAGGAGGCTTTCTATTGTATGGAGGGACTGAGGCTGAGAAAGGGAAAGGGACATGCTCATGGTCGGAGAAGGGATATGTAGGGATCCAGCTGGGGCTCGGACCCCTTCTCCGCATCCTCAGCACAACACTGCGCTGCCGCCTCCATGAGCAGGAAGATGGGGTGGGAGAGCAGGGGGCGCAGTAAGCTCTGAGACGCAGAAGCTTGGGCTCCCAGCAGGCGGGGAGAGGTGGGTGAATTGCGCTGGGTTTCTGCTCTGCTGTGGTGCCATGGTGATGCCTACAAGGATGGAGGAGGGAGGGAGAGAGAAGAAAGGAAATGAGGAGGAGAGTGCAAGGAGCCAGGAGCAGGGGGCTTGCGGAGAGGAGGATGAGGGACCCAGAACCTCTGATGCCACACTGGCAGAGTGAGGTCTAGGGTCCAGCTGCTCATGCCCAGGCTCTGTCATGGTCTGGCCAAAGTCAGGCAACTGCTTAAGATCCATCATGGGTGAGCAAATTTGGCAGTGATTCTAGGGCTGATGCTTCTCTTCCAGCTAAGCAGTGTGTTTCATGTAGCATTTAACTGATGGCTGCTGCCCTCCACAAGACTAGTTGGCCCTCCCAATGGCAACTGTTGAGCCTTAAAAATGTGATAAATTCTGTTTACTCCCTCATTCTCAAAGCCAGACATCAGGGGTGGAAGTTTTGTGCACCTTAATGGGTCAAGAGCTGCTGTCAAAGAAAAGTTAACCCCGAGGGGAGAGCTGCCTCGTATGGGCTGGCTTCTGGGGTCAGGCCCTAGCAGAAGGGATCAGTGAGTAGACCTGGCCAGAAGGAGCGCCCTCCTCATTGCATATGTGAGGCCTCAGGTGCCCAACCCCACAGCCCCCTCCACATACCTCCCACTCCCCAATGTTATCCCCTCTTCCTAACCAGGACTCTACCAGCTTCCAGGCCCAGAATCACAAGATGGCTCCGCTCCTCCCTCCTAAATATCTTCCCCAGCATCCCCTCATTCCCTCCCTCCCCTTCTGTACTCTTTGGCCAGCGGTACGTTCAGAAAAGCCTGGTGTTCAGGAATCCCTCTCCCCATTTCCCTTTCCCTGCCTCCCCCAGTGGTTCTCTCCACTCCCAGTTGCTCTCACAAGCCAGATCCCCAGCCCCTAGGGATTGGTCCTGGGCGCTGGGAGTCAACAGTCTGGCCTGCTGTAATAAAGGCTCTGACCTCATCCCTTAACCCTTTGAGCCCAGGCTAACATTCTCCTCTCCCCAGTGACAAATGCTTTGGCACGTCCATGTCTGTCCTGGCACCTCACTTAGCTTCCCTGCAGCCGGGTGAGGCAGGGTTTCCTTGGTCCACTTTACAGACAAGGATGCTCTTGGCTGTTTTTCTCCTATGCTCTCCAGCCAGGCAGGGCCTCACTCAGGGAAGCAGGGACCTGGCAGATGAGATGTGGGAGCTCAAGGGAGAAGAGGGGCCTCTGGACCATGCTCTGGACCTGGTCCTGACCCCCACAGGTTCACCCTCAGGCTCCAGGGTCTGAAGTTGAGTACACACACGTACATTTATTCCACAGGTATTTATTGAGCAACTACTATCTGCCAAGCCCTGGGATAAAGCATTGAATGAGACAGACGCAGCCCTTACCCTGCCCTTTAAAGAGCTCCAGTAGACCCACCCTCTTCCCACAGCACTGTTATCACACATCACACAGATATACGACAGACACTGCCGCGCACACAAAGGAGGCCAGATTCTGAAAGAAGGACCGATTGCTCATCGTTAACTGATTCAAAGTTGGGCTTGAGTAAGCTAGCTGAGGTGGGCAAGGAGGCTGGCAAACCCCCGCAACCCCTCAAGGGCAGGAGTAGGGTTCAAGAGGTTGGTCTCGGAGGCAGACGGCCTGGATCCAAATCCTGGTTGCATCGCTGATGAGCTGTAAGGTCCTTCAGGTCTTGAAGCCTCAGGTTAGGCCTTTTGCAAACTGGGGATAGCAGGACCTACTTCACAAGGAGTTGTAACAGGTAGATTAGATCGAGTTTATAATGTTTATGTATATAATGCTTAGAGCCATGTCTGGTATATAGTATGCAGCCAGTAAATACCAGTTACTATAATATGAGTAATTTTTCTTTGCTGCTATTATGTGTAAGGAGTATTAGTGATAGTATTAAAGCCTTCTAACAGCCTTCATCAGGAGGCCACAGTCCTGGAGAGAAGCCCCTCCTTGCTTCCTCACTATCTTCCTGAACTCCAGGTGAAACACCCTCTGAGGATGAGTCCCCACAAAGCTATGGACCCACCTCCACCATTCCCAGCCTTGCTCAGCAATGCATATACCCTCACACACAAACACTCATCCTAGGAGTTCACCCCATTCCACAGAAGGGCCACCAGGTCAGGACGGTCATTTACCCAAGGTCACATAGCAAGACAAGAGCTGGCAGCTAGGCAGAGGCAGTGCCAAGGACTGCCTCGGGGGGTCTTCCTGCTGCCCACTGCAATCCCCATTGACAAACTCACTGCATATGTGAGCCCCAGCCCCCATGGATGCCTTCACAGGACGTGCCCTGCAAATGCAGCTTCAAGCCCCCTTTTCAACCAGCTGGCTGTCCTAAGTCCCTCCTTCTTTAGGGATTCTAGAGCTACCACTGAACCCCATACCCTAATCCTCAGCCTAGGGCTGGTCTCCCCAGGGGAATCTGCCACAATCATGGGAAACCAGATTCTTTCACAGCCACCATCTCACTGATCCCACAGGAACCTTGGACAGGTAGAAGACTGCCCCACATCGACAGTTAAGGAGACTTGGACAAGGTCACACAGAAGGGACTAGAGCACGTCTCCAGGAATCTTCTCCTGAGCTCTTTCTCTGTCCAAGAGAGGGCTGGGGGTGAGGACCTCTGCTTCTGATATAGAGGAAAGGCAGTCATTCATTGATGGGTCTGTTCTTGTACTGCGTCATAGGGGGCAGAAGATCTAGACGGTGGCAAGAATCAGGTTCCAATTCTCTGGAACCTCTGGTGACTTCTCTACCTGCCACCTGCCCCAGGTGAGAGGCCTTAGCCCTCATCCGCGTAAGTGGGGCAGAGGGGTTTTGCTGAGGTGGAAAGAACACAGGCTTGGAGCCCACAGGTCCGGGTCAGAATCCCACCTCCACCACTGCTGTGGGACCATCAGAAATCTACTTTGCACCCTGAGCCTCAATGCCCTTACCTATAATATAAAGATAGAGCCCCCCATGGGATGTCCACTGAGGTGTCCTGTGATTAAGGGAAAGAATATATATTAAGTGCCTGCCATCCAGGAGGCATTAATTATGGTGGTTAGCAATACGACTATTAAAATGGGAGATTTGGAAGGAATTTCCAGACATCAAGGCAAGGGACTGCCGGCTTCCTCACCTCCAAGGACCCCTCTAGGAGAGGTCCTCACCTCCAAGGACTCCTTGAGTTACTTCTTCTCACAAGTCCCCTGTTCTGAAAGCATTTTTTAATTCACCAAAGTTATAGCTAGCCTTGTGATGGGCACCGTATTCGCAATCTGAGTTGATGACATTTCCAGCCCCAAGTGAGATAATGTAAGTTGAGCCTTCAGCCTTGCCTCAGGGACTTGGGTTCTTTCTGTTCAGCACCTTGAGATGTTGGCTTCCGGACTTAGTAAAATCTCCCCAGACACCAGGCTTGTCCAACTCCTCCATTGCAAATGAGCAAACTGGGAGGCAGAGTAGGGTCGTGCCTGGGGTCTGGAGGGGAAGCGGCATGGTGGGAAGAGGCTGGGCACTGGATCAGGAGAAGGAGTGGAGAATAACAACAGGGCCGGGTGCTGTGGCTCATGCCTATAATCCCAGTACTTTGGGAGGCCGAGGCAGGTGGATCACCTGAGGTCAGGAGTTCGAGACCAGCCTTGCCAACATGGTGAAACCCTGTCTCTCCTAAAAATACAAAAATTAGCTGAGTGTAGTGGCAGGAGCCTATAATCCCAGCTACTCGGGAGGCTGAGGCAGGAGGATCGCTTGAATCCAGAAGGCAGAGGTTGCAGTGAGCTGAAATCACATCACTACACTCCAGCCTGGGTGACAGAGTGAGAGTCCATCTCAAAATAATAATAATAATAATAATAACAATAAGGCTTTAACTTTTTAACTGAGTGTCTGTTTCAGTGCCAGGCACTCTGAACGGTATCATCCTCACAGCTGGGGATGAGGGCAGCAGGGGAATGAAAGGTCGACTGGTTACTGATGGTCACACAGCAAGGAAGGCTCAGCGCCAAGCTTCAAACCCAAGACTGGGAACTACAAGGCCAGGACTAGGGTGAATCAAGCAAGGCACTCGCTTCAGAGCAAAATTTAAGAGGGGGACGTAAAAATACTCACTAAACAAGAGAAATAATATCATAATAATATTTTTTTAAATCAAATAGCAAATTCCAGCCCACAGGCTGGCTGTCTGTCTTTGTAACTAAAGTTTTATTGGAACCAGGGTCAGGATTAGGGTGAGGTGAGTGAGAAAGGGCTGTGCAAGTGCAGGGTGGACCCTGTCTTTATTTAACATGTTGTTCATCTTGGATTTTTTTGCATTAACTTCCATTTTTGTAAATATTACATTAAAATATTTTCTTGAAGACTAAGTTTTGGGGCACCCCATACATTTCGCATTGGAGGCAAGTGCCTGATTTTCACCTTACCCTAGTCCTAGCCTGCTGAGGTATAAGGAGTCAAGCTTTTTTTTTTTTTTTTTTTTTTTTTTTTTGAGACAGGGTCTCACTCTGTCACCCAGGCTGGAGTGCAGTGGCGTGATCGCGGCTCACTGCAACCTCTGCCTCCTGGGCTCAAGTGATCCTCCTGCCTCAGCCTCCCAAGTAGCTGGGACCATAGGTGCCCGCCACCATGCCTGGCTAATTTTTATATTTTTAGTAGAGACAGGGTTTCACCAAGTTGCTGAGGCTGGTCTTGAACTCATGAGCTCATGTGATCCGTCTGCCTCAACCTCCCAGAGTGCTAGGATTACAGGCGTGAGCCACCACGCCAGGCCTAAGGAGTCAAGCTTTAAAGGCTGCACCATGCCCAGGCAGATGAGAGGCCCCTGCAGCAGGGCAGGGTGCAGCCTCTCAGGCTAGCAACCTCCTCTTGTCTAACTCAGCCTTTGCAGGTCTTTGCCAAGGGCCCAGGGATACAGAGCTGATCCAAACTACCAGGAGAGTATGGCATGGGGGGCAGTACCCAATCTAGGAGCCAGGAGACCTTGGACTAGACAATGCCTTCTACTCCCTTTTCTCTGGGCCTCAGCTGCTCCCTGTGAGCGATGGGCATTAAATAGCACTAAGCTCAGAAGATGACAGTGACAAGAATTGCACAAATTCTCAAGGGTAGTGTCTACCAGTGGCCTCACTGGGGAAAGCCCCAGCCTAATCCCAGCCTCCAGCCCAGTGGCTGATTTTGTTTAAGGGAAAGGGTACAGCAAAACTCAGTAATCAAGACAAATCATATTTTAATGTAATATTTTTAGAATTCGAATTAGCAAACTATGATCCCCAGGCTGGCCTTCGGTTTTTGTAAATGAAATTTCACTGGAACAAACTGCTTGGGCTCAAATCCTAGTTCCTACCTTCCTTGCATGATCTCGTACAAATTCCCTTGCTTTTCTCAGTCTCAGCTTCCTTATCTATAAAATGGAGACAATAGGCCAGGCGCGGTGGCTCACGCCTGTAATCCCAGCACTTTGGGAGCCCGAGGCAGGCAGATCACAAGGTCAGGAGATCAAGACCATCCTGGCTAACACTGTGAAACCCCGTCTCTACTAAAAATACAAAAATTTAGCCGGGCGTGGTGGTGGCAGGCGCCTGTAGTCCCAGCTACTCAGGAGGCTGAGGCAGGAGAATGGTGTGAACCCGGAGGCGGAGGTTGCAGTGAGCCGAGATTGTGCCACTGCACTCCAGCCTGGGTGACACAGCGAGACTCCATCTCAAAAAAAAAAAAGAAAAAGAAAATGGAGACAATAGCTGCAGTGAGCCGAGATCGCGCAACTGCACTCCAGCCTGTATGACAGAGCGAGACTCCATCTCAAAAAAAAAAAATGGAGACAACAGCCATCCCTTGATCCTAGGCTCCTGTTAAGATTAAATAAGATTATGCATATAAACCCTTTAACAGCAACTGGCACTCAGGGAGCTCTCAATAACAACAATGAGCATTATTATTACTAGTTGCTATTGTCATAGTATCAGACATTTCTTTTCTTTTTTTTTTTTTTTTTGAGACAGAGTTTCACTCTTGTTGCCCAGGCTGGAGTGCAATGGCACAATCTTGGCTCACCACAACCTCTGCTTCCTGGGTTCAAGCAATTCTCCTGCCTCAGCCTCCAGAGTAGCTAGGGTTACAGCCATGTACCACCACCCCTGGCTAATTTTGTATTTTTAGTAGAGACAGAGTTTCACTATGTTGGCCAGGCTAGTCTTGAACTCCCGACCTCAGGTGATCCACCCGCCTCGGTCTCCCAAAGTGCTGGGATTACAGGCGTGAGCCACCGCACCCGGCCAAGAGGTAGACATTTCTAGGCAGCCTAGCACCCTCATTGCTACACATCCTGAGAGTTAAAGGAGACCTACTGTTTACCATGTGCCAGGGCCATTCTAAGCACCTTACATGCATTGATTCATTTAATCCTCATCACCTGAAAAGAGGTGACAGTCTTGCTAATGGGTATTATCCCATTTTTCAATTAAGGAAACCTAGGCATATAGAAGTTATATCACTAGCAATAATCACACATCCAGTGAACAGGATAGACTAGATTCAAATCCAGATAGTCTGGCTCCAGAGTCCAGGTTGCACATGCCCCCTCATGTGCAAACTGTCCCAGACACACAAGCACACACTGCCAGCCACAGTCCTTGCTCATTCTGTCCCCCACTGAACTCGCCACGCTGTCAGTGACTTGTACACACTGAGGGTTCACGGCAAACCATGGAGATGCCCTCAGCCACAAACCACCCAGGCCACCTATCACAGCAGCCTGTCACAGGCCAGGTGCCCAAGGAACACCAGGGCTCAGTGGGCCCTTGCCTAACATCTCTCCCTTGGAATTTTCCCAACAATATAGCCCCTGGAGGCCACAGCTGAGGGTCAGGGGACCCTCAACCTCTTCAATGGTCAGATGGATGCCTGAGGCCCAGAGCAGGAAGGGACCCACCAAATCACATGGCAGCAAGCCCCTGGCTGAGCTGCCTGGACCTTTACCCTTCCATCTGGCTTCACTGTGGCTGTGGGGGCCTCCTGCCCAGCCAGCAGGTTGTTAAGGGCCCCGGCCTTTCTCTTTACCCAGGCTTAGTGCCTGGAGCAGATTCCAGATCCAAGAAAAGTCTGGGGGATCTTCCCATTTCCCTTGCTTCTCCTCACTCAGCTGGGGCCCAGGAACAGAGCCAGGAGAGGGAGGGAAGCCTCCCACACCCCATGGGCCCAGACCCCCACTGAGCTAGGAGCTGAGGCCCTCATCCCTGCTTCCTGCTTTTGCCCCAGACCTTCTTTTTTTTTTCCTTTTGGTTTTTTTTTTTTTTTTTTGAGATGGAGTCTTGCTCTGTTGCCCAGGCTGGAGTGCAGTGGCACAGTCTTGACTCACTGCAACCTCCGCCTCCCAGGTTCAAACGATTCTCCTGCCTCAGTCTCCCAAGTAGCTGGGGCTACAGATGCGTGCCACCACGCCCGGCTAATTTTTTGTATTTTTAGTAGAGATGGGGTTTCACCATGTTAGCCAGGATGGTCTCGATCTCCTGACCTCATGATCCGCCTGCCTCTGCCTCCCAAAGTGCTGGGATTACAGGTGTGAGCCACCACGCCGGCCTGCCCCAGACCTTCTTACTAGCAACTGAGTGTCTGAGTCCAGCACAATTTTCCCTGCTGCCCTCATAGAGAATTCAATTCAGCCCCAAATACCACCCCCTACATACGTATGTAAACCCGCATGCGCAGAAAAACGTGCAGAAAAAAATACATGCACGCACACACCCCTAAGGCCCCTCTGTTCCCATCTCTCTCTGTTTATCTTCTCAGGAACTCCCCTTTCTTCCCATCTCTCCTTATTAGTGGAAGAATCCCACTGGAGCACCACATACCCGGGGAGAGTGAGAATGGCTTCTTTTCTTTCTTTCCTGTTTTAGGACACATTTCTGTTCTTGCGGGTTCTTATCATACTTACTATCTCTGTCACCATGGCCAAGGCTTGCAGCTGCTCAGAGCCACAGTTCCCTCACAGTGAGATGGGCATAATAAGAGCCCTTTCTCCTAGAGACGTACAGCAGTTAAATTAGATAATTCATTTAGGTGGTTAGTACTGTGTCTGGCATGCAGTGACTACTCAGTAAGTGAGGGCTTTAATAAAGTTGAGTGAAATGCTTTGAGAATTTGGCAGGACTGTATACAAAGTGAGTTTCCCAACTCCTGCAACCCGAGTTATGTAAGATAGGAATTTGTAGTAATTTCCCAGTAAGAAAATGGAGGCCTGGAGTCTGAAAGGTAAAACTGGAATGAAGATTCAAATCCCTGGATCCCAAAGCCACTCCACGCTGCTGGCAAATCCACTTATGGCTGGGAAAGTGCATGATAAATGACCATGAGTGGGCACCGGTAAGGGAGGGTGATGCTATCTGGTCTGAAGCTCTGCAAGGGCAAGAATTACATCCCTAGCATCTTCCAATAAGGTCTATCAGAAATGTCCAGTGGCCCAACCAAAGCCCATGTCCTCTCTTTTCAGGTGATGACTTTCCCCTGAGGAAGCCCTGTAGCGTGCCTGGAGGAAGGGGCTCTCCAACCCCAGCCCCACCTAGCCACCATGAACACTTCAGCCCCACCTGCTGTCAGCCCCAACATCACCGTCCTGGCACCAGGAAAGGGTCCCTGGCAAGTGGCCTTCATTGGGATCACCACGGGCCTCCTGTCGCTAGCCACAGTGACAGGCAACCTGCTGGTACTCATCTCTTTCAAGGTCAACACGGAGCTCAAGACAGTCAATAACTACTTCCTGCTGAGCCTGGCCTGTGCTGACCTCATCATCGGTACCTTCTCCATGAACCTCTATACCACGTACCTGCTCATGGGCCACTGGGCTCTGGGCACGCTGGCTTGTGACCTCTGGCTGGCCCTGGACTATGTGGCCAGCAATGCCTCCGTCATGAATCTGCTGCTCATCAGCTTTGACCGCTACTTCTCCGTGACTCGGCCCCTGAGCTACCGTGCCAAGCGCACACCCCGCCGGGCAGCTCTGATGATCGGCCTGGCCTGGCTGGTTTCCTTTGTGCTCTGGGCCCCAGCCATCCTCTTCTGGCAGTACCTGGTAGGGGAGCGGACAGTGCTAGCTGGGCAGTGCTACATCCAGTTCCTCTCCCAGCCCATCATCACCTTTGGCACAGCCATGGCTGCCTTCTACCTCCCTGTCACAGTCATGTGCACGCTCTACTGGCGCATCTACCGGGAGACAGAGAACCGAGCACGGGAGCTGGCAGCCCTTCAGGGCTCCGAGACGCCAGGCAAAGGGGGTGGCAGCAGCAGCAGCTCAGAGAGGTCTCAGCCAGGGGCTGAGGGCTCACCAGAGACTCCTCCAGGCCGCTGCTGTCGCTGCTGCCGGGCCCCCAGGCTGCTGCAGGCCTACAGCTGGAAGGAAGAAGAGGAAGAGGACGAAGGCTCCATGGAGTCCCTCACATCCTCAGAGGGAGAGGAGCCTGGCTCCGAAGTGGTGATCAAGATGCCAATGGTGGACCCCGAGGCACAGGCCCCCACCAAGCAGCCCCCACGGAGCTCCCCAAATACAGTCAAGAGGCCGACTAAGAAAGGGCGTGATCGAGCTGGCAAGGGCCAGAAGCCCCGTGGAAAGGAGCAGCTGGCCAAGCGGAAGACCTTCTCGCTGGTCAAGGAGAAGAAGGCGGCTCGGACCCTGAGTGCCATCCTCCTGGCCTTCATCCTCACCTGGACACCGTACAACATCATGGTGCTGGTGTCCACCTTCTGCAAGGACTGTGTTCCCGAGACCCTGTGGGAGCTGGGCTACTGGCTGTGCTACGTCAACAGCACCATCAACCCCATGTGCTACGCACTCTGCAACAAAGCCTTCCGGGACACCTTTCGCCTGCTGCTGCTTTGCCGCTGGGACAAGAGACGCTGGCGCAAGATCCCCAAGCGCCCTGGCTCCGTGCACCGCACTCCCTCCCGCCAATGCTGATAGTCCCCTCTCCTGCATCCCTCCACCCCAGTCCCCGGGAAAGGCCGGTGGGAAGAGGGCAGGGGCTGCATCCTCAGCCCCAGGGCCCTGCTCAGGCCTCACCTGGCTTCCCAGGACCCTGGGTCACCTTCCTGGGCAGCCCAGAGAGACCCTGCCAACTTTCCAGACTTCGCTATTCCCAGGCAGGGAGGGAAACCCGGGGAACTGGTTTTTCTGTTCCCTGCTGGGTGGGAATGCGCTCTTCACCAGGAAGAAGGCCCGGGAGGAGGATCCGGGCTTTGGACTCCTTGTTTGCCTTTAGGCAGGAAGTCAGGAGCCAGCAGGGCGGGCCAGGAGAAAGAAGGCTTAACATTAAGTATTCCTTGGCCCAGCAGCGGCCCAGATTGCGGTGTGAGATGGTGCCCCCTGGGGGGCACAGCCAGAAACTGAACTGGCCGCTGGGAGAAAAGCCAGATGACAGGGAGCTGGGGAATCCCCTCGCTTCATAGGCAGAGCCCGCCCACCTGGGCCCTAGGCATACTCTCCAGGATTGTCCACAAATGTCCTCAGAGGGTCCCTAGGTGGGTCAACTCCAAGGCAAATGTCCAAGCATCAGCAAGACAATGACACTGGAAGGGTCCGGCTTGGCTAGTCACATATCAAGTCCCGAGGCAGCAACAGGACCAGGAGCCAGGTGTCCTGACTGTCCTACAATATCATTTTCCTGGGAGTGGGAGTCAAGTGTGCCTGCTATCCAGCCGCAAATCCATACCCCCTGCCCCAGAGAAGCCTCAGTCCCTCCCTCCTGGCTCACAGCCACCACCTGGATGGATCTGCTCCATGCAGATCTAGCCAGGCCTCCCGCATGCTGCCTGCCTCCGGCCCTGCCCCACACAGGCCTGGCCCAGCCAGCAGGTTCTCTCCTGTGAGCTCCCCAATCCAACCCATGCATGGCCTCCCAGCCACCCGGATCTCCAGGCCCAGCCTGGCCCCAAATGTTCTTTCCTTTCATCCTCAGCAAGTGCTGAGTCTGTGAATAAAGCCACATAACCAGCGGGCACTAAGGGGCCTTCCTAACTGTGTTGGCTCAAGGCCTTGGTCTCAGGCCAGGGCTGAATGGGGCAGGGAGGGCCCAAGTACTTTGGAATGTGGGCCGTGGCCGTGAAAGTGGTTCTAGGAGGGCCAGCACTGCATGGTTGGATCTACTAAAGCCTGGGGACCCCAGCACCGTGGAGTCCCTGGCTCAGGTGAGTGGGGCTATAAAAGGCAGACCTGACCTCTGGAAGTGAGGCAGCTAGGTGAAATAAACCAACCCTGCCCACATCCCTGCATATTCTCTATTGGCTCTGCCATACCCGGGGAGAACAGAACTCTTCCAAACCCCCATTTACACATGAGGAGATAAGGCCCAGAGATCCAGGAGGATTGTTCAGGGTTACCCCACAGAGCAACACCCAGACTTCCAGGCAATTCATAACCTCCTGACCTCTGGACTGAGTAGATGACAGCCTAAAGTATTTAGGCCAAAACACTCCATCAGGATGACCCTCAGGTCAGGTTATAAGGCACTTCTTTGGTGAAGGGTCCCCAAAGCCCAACGCAAAGGAATTCTAGAGAGGTTAATCCCGTAGCCTGGAGTAGTGGTTTCCAAGACGATCATTGGGTTCAGTGATTTGCTAGAATGATGCATAGAACTCAGCAAAGTTATTATCCTCACAGTTTATTACAGTGAAAGAACATAGAGCATAAAACAGCAACAGCAAAAGGTGCACAGAGCAGAGACCAGGAGAGACCAGATACAAACTTCCAGCTGTCCTCTCCCAGTGGAGTCGTGCAGACAGTGCCCAATCTTCCAAGCAATGATGTATGACAAAAAAAAATGAAGTACTGCCAACCAAGAAAGCTCACCAGAGCTTTGGTGTCCAATGTTCTTACTGGAGGCTGATCGTGTAAGCATAGCTGACCACCCACATGGCTGACCTTACTTAGTCTCCAGCCCTTCCAGAAGTTAAACTGATACCATGTGGCCCAAGGAGCAAAGGTAAGCAAAAACACTTACCAGGCAGGATATTCCAAGGGTTTAGTGTTATCTTCCAGGAGCCAGGCAAGGCCAAACCTTTCTTTGAAATGTGCAAATGTGCAGGATTCGGATAATCCAGACTTGCTGAGTGAATCTTTCAGTTCACAGTGGTTCTGACCAGTAGCCCCAGTATCACCTGGGAACTTGTTAGCTATGAGAATTCTCAGGGTCCTCCTAGATTTACTAAATCAGAAACTCTGTGGAACTCGCCACCTATTTTTAACAAGCCCTCTAGGTGTTCTGATGCAGGGTAAAGTTTGAGAATCATTGGCCTAGAGGGATGAGGTCCTGGGTGGAGCTAAGCCCTTGCAGAGAGAGGAGTGGAGATTCAGCCCCCTTATAGCCGTTGGGACTCCCAGAAGCCTTTGGAAGAAAGCTTCCAACACGATAGGAAATGGTATCCATTGAAGATCTAAACAGGATAGGCTAGCCAGGAACTACAGCACTGTGAGAATGACCCTGCTGTTTGGACCTTCCTGTTTGGAAGGATCCAAACCCCATATCCCCTTCCCACCAGCACAGCTTACGGGGTTGTGAGCTCAAGTTCCTAAGAGGGCCCCTCCCTTACCACTGCTCCCTCACAGCCCTAAGGCCCCTTTAAGGCTAAATGCCCTGCCCCATGTTAAAGGCGTTGAAACTGAGGTCCTGGGAGGCAGAAGGACTGAGCAAGCTGAGCAGTGCTGGGAGAATAGGAACTTTGGGGCCAGATTAACCTGGTCTCTACTGAAGGCCAGAAGTGGAGGGGGTAAATCTGGTATTCACATCAGGAATGGAGCTAGCAGTTCACACTTGTCCCTTGTCCCAGATGCAGGTCTGACCTGCCATGTCCCTCACTGAACAACCTTAGGCATGTCTCTTCTCAGTGTCTTCATCTCTGAAACGGGAACAAGCCCTTTGCAGAAGTGTTAGGAGGATGAGAGAGATTGTAGGGAAATGCCCTCAATGGCTCTATGATCAGTGTTACCACGGGACAGGGCTGCTCACCGGTAAATGCCAGAAACCAGGACTAGTTTCAGACCCAGCTCTGACCCTACACCTCCAGCCTGAGCTTTGAAAAGCCCATGCCCCCAATCCAGGGAGAAGAAACTTAAATCCCATCATGGCTTGGTTAAAGCAGTTTGGGGGAACAAGTTTCGGCGGGAAAGGGTGTGTGCATTCCAGGAAGGCTTCCCGGAGATGGGGTCTGTGCCCTCAGTCCTCTGAAGCTAGATTCCTGCAGGCCCAGCTGCCAGAGAATTGGGGAAATGGGATAAACCCAAAGAGAGAGGGTGGCTGGACATGGCAACTGTCCACCCCAAACACTCCACCACTGCCCCGTTCTGAGAGTCTTTCTTGGCCCCAGAAACAAGGGCGACTACACGCCTGAGCTGGAAATAGGGAAAGAATGAAGCGGCTTTTTGAATGCTGTCTTCCCCTCTACTGCTACCAACCCCTTCTCCGGCCTGGAGAAGTTAGGATCCTCTCTCCTCCTGCGCCACCTTCCTTCCACTCCCACCGTGTTGCTTTAGCGCCATCTGCCGGCAATCACAGGAATAGCTCTGCCAAAACACGGCTCTTGTAACCCGCCTGAGCCTGCTTATCAGACAAGACCACAGGACAAGATGGAGTAGGTGATTCTGGCCACCCCAGTCCCTGCCCCCAAGTCTCAGCAGGTACATCAGACCCCAGAAGAATCAGCTTCCTTGGATACCACTATAAACTTGCAGAGACAGGCCCTACCTCTCTGGCCAGTATACCAAATTCACCAACAAGGAGATAGAAGGTAGGGGGCTTGGCATCTAGGAACAGCTCCAACTTCTCCTAATCCCCCATGGCCCCAGGCCTTTGGAATCCTTGGTTTTATTCTTAGGACACTGGCTGGGATTTCACAGGACTCATGCTGACCCAACTGGAAATTTAGACAAGTACCTGCTCACCTTTAGAGCACAAAAGTCTTTTGAATGGCCAGGTTCCCCACACCAGCCTCAGGCTCTAAGGGGCTTGAGAGAGCTTGAGGTTATTGCTTCTGACATCGTTGTTGTTAGCACCTTTGGTAACATACACACACTGGATAACCCCACAAATCAGACTATCACACAAAATAAGCCTGAAAACAGTTCTCACTCTTCACTGTGAGTCCCTGTCCTTCCCCTGCCCTTGAGTTTCACTTTCTCTCTTGATATTCCTGGCCTGGCTAGCACCACCATTCACACGTTGCTCAAACCAGAAAGCTGGGAGTCATCCCAGACTCCTTCTGTCTTTTACTCCCTGTACTCAGCGTATCTCCTGAATTGTTCACAAATTCATCCAGTTGTCTACATCCCCACTGCCTCCAAACTAGTCCAGGCTTCTTGCCCAAAGTGCCAAAACAATCCCTTAATTCAGGGATTAGCAAATTTTTTCTATAAAGGGCCAGACAGCAAATATTTTAGTTTTAGACTCTGCAGACCAAGAGACAAAATCAAGAATATTGTGAAGGTACTCCAATATTACACAGTCTCTGTCACAACTATTCAACTCTGCTGATGCAGTCAAAAGCAGCCATAGACAATATATACTTAAATGAGCATGGCTGTGTTCCAAAAATATTTTCTTTGAATATCACTGAGATTTGAATTTCATATAATTTTTCTTGTGTCACAAATACTATTTTTGTTTATTTTTCAGCCTTTTAAAAATGCAAAATTCAGGCCAGGCGCGGTGGCTCACGCCTGTAATCCCAGCACTTTGGGAGACCGAGGTGGACGAATTGCCTAAGGTCAGGAGTTCGAGACCAGTCTGGCCAACATGGTAAAACCCAATCTCTACTAAAAATGAAAATAAAAAAATTAGCCAGGTGCGGTGGTGTGCGCCTGTAATCCCAGCTACTTGGGAGGCTGAGGCAGGGGAATTGCTTGAACCAGGGAGGTGGAGGTGGCAGTGAGCCGAGATCGCGCCACTGCACTCCACCCTGAGCAACAGAGGGAAACTCCGTTAAAATAAAAAATGCAAAATCCATTCTTAGCTAATGACTGGTACAAAAACAGGCCCACCAGACATAGTCGGCCAACCCTGCCTTAATTGGTCCCACTCCCATCCATTCTCCATGCTCTAGCCAAAGTGATTTTGCCAAAACACAGATCTGATGCTTTCAATTCCTTGCTTACAGCTAGCCAATCGCTTAAAATAAAAATGCAAGCTCCTTAGCCTTCAAAAGCCTTCCCATTCAGCCCTACTTAATTCTTCAGCCTCTTCCGTGACACCTCCCTTACAGACCTTAGTCCCAGCCTCTGGAATTCTCCTGGTCCTCACACAGGCCCTCAGCTTACTTCTTCATGGTTTTACTCCTTTCAGTTCCTTTGCTTGGATCAGTCTTTTCCTACTTCACCTGGGAAATGTATATGCCTTCTTCAAGAGCCAGAGAAAAAAACAGCCCCCACCTGAGAGGGTTGCAGGGTGTCCTCGGAGGGACAGCAGGTTTCGGTTGAAGCTAGACGGTGGAGGAGATGGTCAGAAAAGAGGCTCAGATGCAGAGGCACTGGAAGACCACTAAACGGAGAGGGCACAGCAGAGAGGTCTGGGAGGAAGGGCCCAGGCAGTAGAGGGAGGGGATATGTGGGACACGTGGGGAAGGGTAGGGAAATGGCAGTTAAAGCAGAGAGAGGCCGGGCGCGGTGGCTCACGCCTGTAATCCCAGCACTTTGGGAGGCCGAGGTGGGCAGATCACCTGAGGTCAGGAGTTTGAGATAAGCCTGACCAACATGGAGAAACCCTGTCTCTACTAAAAATACAAAATTAGCCAGGCATGTTGGCGCATGCCTGTAATCCCAGCTACTCAGGAGGCTGAGGCAGGAGAATCACTTGAACCTGGGAGGCAGAGGTTTCGGAGAGCCGAGATTGCACCATTGCACTCCAGCCTGGGCAACAAGAGCGAAACTCTGCCTAAAAAAAAAAAAGCAGAGACAGACCCACATGAGCCTCCAGTAGTCCTCCCCGAAGACCCATCCTAAAGGGCTTTTTGTGCACTGGGCCAGCTCCAAGGTCCTGGAGAGGATGGATAGTGTCTTTTTATGGCAATCTCTGCCATCACCTCACTCCCAGTGCCATTCCCCCACACCTACTGTGGTCCTCTCTTCTGGTTATCTGGAGAGATACCTCCGCTGAGGCAATGCTTAGAAAGGGGTCCATCTGTGGGCAGTGGAGGTGCTTACTTAGAACCACTTTGCTAATGGCAGGACCAGGACAACCAGGGCTGTCCAAATCCAGAGCTAAACCAAGGTTTTGTCTCAACACTAACTCCTCTGCTCACAAGCTGGATGACTTTGGGCAACTTTTTTAACCTCCATGAACTTTCATTTCCTTACTGGGAAAAAAGAGCTGCTATACTTTCCTGATGGGGAGTTCAGTTCAGATAAATAGTTGCCAGGCCCCCACTCTGTTTCAGAGACTGTAGGAGCAGGGAGCAGAGAAGTAAATAGAACATAGTCTCTGCCCTGGAGAAGCTCACATTCTAAGAGTTTTTCAAAATGTGGGTTGTGACCCCATTAGTGAGTCATGAAATCAGAGTCATGATCAGCTTTTTTTTTTAATGAACTTGTTTAAAGTAGATTTGAAAATACGGGGGTGTGACACATAATGAGGGTAAGTAGTACTTTTTGAAACTTTTGTTTCACTTTAGAAAGGGAAAACAGATACATGTTTGCATGCACCAGATCACTAGGTAAACTATTTCTAATGGTGGAACATGGTACTAGGAGTTTGAAATCCCCTGGACTGGGAGTCACTGAAAGGACTAAAGGAGATAAAGTATGTGGATTAGTTTCCTAGGGCTGCCGTAACAAAGTACCACAAACTGGGTAGCTTACAACAGAAACCCATTGTCTCACAATTCTGGAGCCTAGAAGTCTAAAATCAAGGTTTTGGAGCAGCCGTGCTCCTTCTGAAACCCGTAGGGAAGACTCTTTCCTTGCCTCTTCCACTTCTGGTGGCCACAGGCATTCCTTGTCTTACAGCTGCCACACTTCAATCTCTGCCTCAGTCATCACATGGTGCTCTCTCATCTGTCTGTGTCTCTCTGTCTCTTCTCTTCTTATAAGGGTACCAGTCATGTTGGATTAAGGGTCAACCCTACTCCATTGCGACCTCATCCTAATTAACTATATCTGCATTCTGTGGTACTGAGGGTTAGGGCTTCAATATATCTTTTTAGGGTACACAATTCAACCCATAACATTATAGGACAGTGCCCAGCACCACGTCAGGCTCTCAGGGAGAGTTCTTTGAGCTTGTCCCCCGCAGAGAGCCAGCCCAGGAGCCTTCAAGCACCTGTAACTCTAGGGCTTCAAGTCTGGGTGCTTGAGTTGGGAAGTACTAAACCATCAGAACCTCTAGTTTCCTGTTCTTGAAACCCAATGCAGAAATCTTGCAAAGCCAAAAAATACTATGCCTCAACATACTCCTCAGAGCATACCAGATCTTGAGCCTCTCCTTCCTAATTCAAACTTCCCTATTGCCTGGAATCCCACCCTCTTCTTTCCTCCTCTCTTCTCCCAGTCCCCCCAGAGGAGATGATATGGAGTACAGCAAGAGTTTGGGAGCCAGAGTTTTTTTGTGAACATGGATGAGTCACTTCATTATTCCAAGCTTCAGTTTCCTCATCAATAAAAGGGGGACAAATCATGCTAAGCCTGTCATATGTTAAACACTCAGAAAACACTGGTTTCCTTCCCCATCCCTGCAGTCTTCACTTTCCCTTTATTCCTCTCTGCCTCTGCCCAACCAAGTCTTGGCCAGCACACTTCAGACCCTGACCTCTCAGCATCTGTAAGCACTTGGCATATTGTCTGTGACACAGTAGGCAATAATTTTTTTTTTTTTTTGAGGCAAAGTCTCACTCTGTCGTCCAGGTTGGAGTGCAGTAGTGCCATTTCAGCTCACTGCAACCTACACCTCCTGGGTGCAATCAATTCTCCAGCCTCAGCCTTCTGAGTAGCTGGGATTACAGGCGCGCACCACCACGCCCAGCTAATTTTTGTATTTTTAGTAGAGACAGGGTTTTGCCATGTTGGCAAGGCTGGTCTCGAACTCCTGATCTCAAGTGATCCACCCACCTTGGCCTCCTGAAGTGCCGGGATTATAGCCATGAGCCACAGCGCCCGGTCAATAAATGATTACTAAATGACATTTTTGCTGCCTTGGACACCTGAGAACCAGACAGGAAGTCTATCTGCTTCTCTGACTCTATTAGCATTCTTCTTTTTTTTTTTTTTTTTTTGAGAAAGAGTCTCACTCTGTCACCCAGGCTGGAGTGCAGTGCAGTGGCATGATTTCGGCTCACTGCAAGCTCCGCCTCCCGGGTTCATGCCATTCTCCTGCCTCAGCCTCCCGAGTAGCTGGGACTACAGGTGCCCGCCACCACGCCCAGCTAATTTTTTGGTATTTTTAGTAGAGACGGGGTTTCACCGTGTTAGCCAGGATGGTCTCGATCTCGTGACCTTGTGATCCACCTGCCTTGGCCTCCCAAAGTGCTGGGATTACAGGCATAAGCCACTGCACCTGGCCTAGCATTCTTATCCCTCTAACATACAGACAAACTCTGAGTCTTGAGACTCCCTCAAGATGGATGTTATTGGCCCTATCTCACGGAGAAGGAAACTGAGGTTAAGAGGTTCAAGCAGGGATAGAGCAAGGATTCCACCCCCAAATGATCTCAAAGCCCATGCTTTCCTCCTCTTTTTTTTTTTTTTAGACGGAGTTTTGCTCTTGTCGCCCATGCTGGAGTGCAGTGGTGCAGTCTCGGCTCCCAAGTTCAAGCAATTCTCCTGCTTCAGCTTCCCAAGTAGCTGGCACTACAGGCACGCGCCACCACACCTGGCTAATTTTTGTATTTTTAGTAGAGACGGGGTTTCACCATATTGGCCAGGCTGGTCTCAAACTCCTGACCTTGTGATCCTCCCACCTCGGCCTCCCAAAATCTCACTCCTGGGATTACAGGCATAAGTCACTGCGCCCAGCCTCCTCCTCTTAAATCTGGCCACCATCCTGGCTGGGTGACCCATTCAACTCAATAGTGCCAGTGTCATGATGTCTTCAGCCCCAAGGACCTTACCCTCTACCCTGTGTCAGCCAAATCCAGAGCCCTCAACTGCTCCCGCTTCAAGAGCTAAAACCCCAATGTCTTCCACTCTCACTCTCCCACCCCCTCAGCCTCTCATCTTCCTCCAGGCCCTGTCCTTGCCCATCCTCAGCAAGTGCTTTCTTTCCCTGAGCAGCCTGGACCCTGCAGTCTTTCCTCAGCACCACCAATACTCATGATCCCCCGACCCCTTGCTTCTACCACAAATTCACCACCCTGGGTCAATGCTACCATCCATCTTCTCTGACCCGACACATGGGCAGTCAGGCACTGCTGGAAAAAGCTCCCACTCTCTGGCAGATTGGCACCAGAACAAATGTAGGGTTCCTGACCTCTGCTCAGGAGCCTCATGGCTCCACCTCACATCTTTGTGCTTGTCCTTAGTCAACTCACTTGCCTTATTCCCAAAAGTGCTTGTTCTCAACTTCCACCTCTCTTCATGGCCGCTACCTCTGACTTGCTGCCTGCATGATTTTTTTTTTAAGAGTTGGGGGGCCGGGTGTGGTGGCTCACACCTGTAACTGCAACACTTTGGGAGGCCAAGGCACGTGGATAACCTGAGGTCAGGAGTTCAAGATCAGCCTGGCTAACATGGTGAAAACCCGTCTCTACTAAAAATACAAAAATTAGCCAGCCATGGTGGCGGGCAGCTGTAGTCCCAGGTACTCGGGAGGCTGAGGCAGGAGAATTGTTTGAACCCAGGAGGCAGAGGGTGCAGTGAGCCGAGATGGCACCATTGCACTCCAGCCTGGGTGACAGAGCAAGACTCCGTCTCAAAAAAAAAAAAAAAAAAAGAGAGAGAGAGAAAAGAGCTGGGGGGTCTCACTCTGTCACCCAGGCTGGAGTGGCTCACTGCGACCTCACATTACTGGGCTCAAGGGATCCTCCCACCTCAGCCTCCCAAGTAGATAGGACTACAGGAGCACACCACCACACCCAGCTAATTTTTTTTATTTTGTAGAGACAAAGAGTGTCACTGTGTTGCCCAAGCTCGTCTCAAGCTCCTGGGCTCAAACAATCCTCCTACCTCAGCCTCCCAAAATGCTGGGATTATAGGCGTGAGCCACCACCCCTGGTCTCCATGTTGATTTAAATGAGACAATATTCTCAAATTCTTTGTTTGATTAAGAAATCTTGCAGTCACTGGGTTTATTCTACTTCATGCGCGTGGGAGAAGAGGAATGTGTCAATGCTCCCCCTCTGGCTTAACAAAGAAAACTCACAGGTATTTATACCTTCTAGAAAACACAGATGTGAATTTAAATATTATTGCCAGGGCAACACACTATTAAGGAAGACAAGCAATCAGAATCACAAGCTTTTTAAAAGTTAAAGGTTACTTTCGCAGGACAAAGCAAGTCTCATAAAGTTAACTGTCTGACGAGACTCCCTTGTTAGAAATAACATTTGCAAAGATGGTTTTACGATGCAAAAAAGAATCTGCTTTTTATTTCTGCTGCTGCAGAAGGAGAGGGCACATTTTCTCTTTCTTATCATACTGTGGTTATTTTTTTTTTTTTTTTTTTTTGTCACCACCAGTTAGAAGGACCTGGAGTCTTCAAGGCAGCACCAAGAGAAACAAAGGCAGGCTGAGAGGTTGATCTCAAGCCAGTTGTTCCCGCCACCCACTACATGGCAATCAACTTGCAAATCTCTCAAATGGTGGCTCTCCCACACTCCTGCATCAGAGCTTGTCAAATTTGAGTGTGCATAGGAATCACCTGGGATCTCATTAAAATGCAGATTCCGGGTCAGGCGCGGTGGCTCATGCCTGTAATCCCAGCACTTTGGGAGGCTCAGGCAGGTGGATCACCTGAGGTCAGGAGTTCAAGACCAGCCTGGTCAACATGGCAAAACCCCACCTCTACTAACAATACAAAAATTAGCTGGGCGTGGTGGCACGTGCCTGTAATCCCAGCTACTGGGGAGGCTGAGGCAGGAGAATTGCTTGAACCCGGGATGGTGGGGGGTTGCGGTGAGTGGAGATGGCACCACTGTACTCCAGCCTGGGTGACAGAGCAAGACTCAAAAAAAAAAAAAAACACGCAGATTCCGGCTGAGCACAATGGCTCACATCTGTAATCCCAGTGCTTCAGGAGCCTGAGGTGGGAGGATTGCCTGAAGCCAGAGGTTTGAGACCAACCTGGGCAATGTAGTAAGACCCCATCTCTACAAAAAGTTAAAAAAAAAAAAAAAAAAAAAGCCAGGTGTGGTGATGCATGCCTGTAGTCCTAGCTATTCAGGAGGCTGAGATGTGAGGATCCTTTGAGCCCAAGAGTTTGATGCTGCAGTAAGCTATGATGGCACCACTGACTCTAGCCTGATTGGCAGCAAGACCCTGACTCAATAGGTCTGAGTAAACCTGAGAATCTGTATTTCCAACAAGTTGTTACTGTGGTTGCTACTGGTCCCCAGACAGACACTGTGAATAGGAAGGTCTGAGGGGTTTATTCACAATTTCTCCTTTCTCCCCAAACCTCTGACACTTGGAGGTTTATCACACCCCATAAATCTATACAATTATTATTAATTCTCAATTAATTTTTTGTTTTTTGAGACGGAGTCTCACTCTGTCACCCAGGCTGGAGTGCAGTGGTGCAATCTCGGCTCACCACAACCTCCGCCTCCCGGGTTCAAGCGATTCTCCTGCCTCAGCCTCCCGAGTAGCTGGGATTACAGGCATGTGCCCCCACGCTCAGCTAATTTTGTATTTTTAGTAGAGACGGGGTTTCTCCATGTTGGTCAGGCTGGTCTCAAACTCCCGACCCCAGGTGATCCACCCGCCTCAGCCTCCCAAAGTGCTGGGATTACAGGTGTGAGCCACCTCGCATGGCCCCCTCAGCAGCATTTGACAGCATTTACCTCTTCCTCCTCACTTGATCCCCAGGACCACACCCCTCTGCCTATCTCACTGTCCCCTCATGCTTTGTCTGTATTGCTGGCCCACCCCCATTTCTCCAACGTCTGAAGAGCTGAGTCCTGGGGCCTCTACTTTTCCCTCTCTGCACTTACTCCCCTGATCACCTCCTATTGTTTCATGGCTTTAAATACCAGCTGTGCAGAGGACTCCTAAATTCACATCTCCAGCCCAGGCCTCTCCGTGAATAGCAGGGCAGTATGTCCAGCTGATGTCTTCACATTTGCACTTTAATGGCTAAGATTTCAAAGGCATTAAAGGCCCAAACTCAGCTGCCTATTTCTCCTTTTAAGTCCACTCCTTCTGCAGCCTTCCCCATCTCATTAAATGGCAAATCCAATCTTCTAGCTGCTCAAACCAAAAATCTTAAAATCACCGTTGATGAGGCAGAGGTTGCAGTGAGCCAAGACTGAGCCACTGCACTGCAGCCTGGGTGACAGAGCAAGTCTCCGTCTCAAAAACAAAATGAAAAAATAAAAATAAATAAAATCGGGCTGGGCTCAGTGGCTCACACCTGTAATCCCAGCCCTTTGGGAGGCCAAGGTGGGTAGATCATGAGGTCAGGAATTCGAGACCAGCCTGACCAACAGGTGAAACCCCGTCTCTACTAAAAATTCAAAAATTAGCTGGGCGTGGTGGTGGGTGCCTGTAATCCCAGCTACTCAGGAGGCTGAGGCAGAAATGCTTGAACTCGGGAGGTGGAGGTTGCAGTGAGCCAAGATCGCACCACTGCACTCCAGCCTAGGTGACAGAGCGAGACTCCGTCTCAAAAATAAATAATAAAATAAAATAAAATCACCATTGACTATTCTATTTCTAGGGCCACACTAACCACATCAGCATCATTGTGTGAATTTTAAGAGGGTGTCCCTGCAGAGCAGTGACAGTATCATGGGTGCGTGATTTGGCAACTGGATGGAGCCCTGTGTTTTGTTTTTTAGATTTAGGGTCTCACTCTGTCGCCTAGGCTGGAGTGCAGTAGTGTAATCATGGCTCACAGCAGCCTCAACCTCCCTAGCTCAAGCAATCCTCCCACCTCGGCCGCCCAAGCAGCTGGGACTACAGGCATGTGCCACCATGCCAGGCTATTTATTTTATTTTCTGTAGAGTTGTGGTCTCGCTATGCTGCCCAGGCTGGTCTCAAACTCCTGGCCTCAGACAGTCCTCCCACCTCAGCTTCCTGAGTAGCTGGGATTACAGTGGAGAGAGCCCTTTGTAAGAAATAAGAGGTGATCCCCCTTTGTCCTTGAACTCGGGACACGCAAGGGCCATTGCAAATGGAACATGTTCTGAATTTCAGCACCACCCACATCCCACCCAGGGTGGCCAATGCCTCCGTGCAGCACGCCTTTGTGCCCAGCCACACACATCTTGGCAGAATGTTTCTCGGTGGCAGCATCCCAGGCTGTTCCAGTTAAAAGACAATTGTACTTCCTGCTTCTTGGCGCTTGCTTCCTGTCCGTTTTCCAAGTCTGGTCCTGCTTCCTCTTGGCAGTTCCTGGTGGCCTTCCAATAAATTCTTTTGCTGCGTAAGAAAACCAGGTGCTCCAGCTGGGCGCGGTGGCTCACACCTGTAATCCCAGCAATTTGGGAGGCCAAGGTGGGCGGATCACGAGGTCAGGAGATCGAGACCATCCTGACTAACACAATGAAACCCCGTCTCTACTAAAAATACAAAAAATTAGCCAGGCGTGGTGGCAGGTGCCTGTAGTCCCAGCTACTCGAGAGGCTGAGGCAGGAGAATTGCTTGAACCCAGGAGGCGGAGCTTGCAGTGAACCGAGATCACACCACTGCACTCCAGCCTCGGCGACAGAGCAAGACTCCGTCTCAAAAAAAAAAGAAAAAGAAAACCAGGTGCTCCAACTGATACTATCTAGAAACATGTACAAATCCTTCTCATCCTTCAAATTAAAAAAAATCAATTTCTCCACATTCCCCTGGAAGTGCTCTGGAGAAGATCACCCAGAAACCACTGATGCTCTCCTTGTCACCAAATCTGAAGGCCACCTGGGACAGTTCTACGGATACCAACTGGCCTCTTCTTGTCTTCCTATCACCAGCCCCAGGCTCTGTTCTCTGCCTTCTATGTGGGTCTCTCTTCAACTGTCTCTAGTCTATAGATGTTGCCAGTCCTTGGGGCTCCAATCTCACCCTTCTGCCCTTCTCCACCCACACACATCATTTATCCTCATGGCAAATCCCCCACCTCTACCCCCAGGGCTCCCAGATCTTGCCCTCTGCTGAGCTGTAGACTCTCCCCTGCTGGAAACCTCCACCTGCAAGGATAAGGGCACCCAGCGTATCTGCATGGAGCTGATCAGCTTTCCACCCTCAGCTACTTTTCTTTTTTTTTTTTTTTTTTTTTTTTTGAGATGGAGTCTCACCCTGTTGCCCAGGCTGGAGTGCAGTGGCATGATCTCAGCTCACTGCAACTTCCTCCTCCCAGGTTCAAGCAATTCTCCTATCTCAGCCTCCCAAGTAGCTGGGATTACAGGTGCGCACCACCATGCCCGGCTAATTTTTTGTATCTTTAGTAGAGACAGGGTTTCACCATGTTGGCTCGGCTGGTCTTGAACTCCTGACCTCATGATCCACCTGCCTCAGCCTCCCAAAGTGCTAGGATTACAGCATGAACCACTGTGCCTAGCCTCCTCAGCTACTTTTCTTCCTGCCTCCACTACTCAGCTTGATGGCCCCAGCCTGCACTCCGAGTCACCTAAGCTAGAAACTCAGGAGTCACAGCACAGCCCTTCTCCCTTCATATCCAGCCCATCCCACCTAGGTGGTCACAAATCCTGGAGTCTCTTCTCTTGACTCATTTCTCCAACCCATCCCCTTCTCTCCAAATCCACAGCCTGTCTTCTTGACTTTTTTTTTTTTTTTTTTTTTTTTGAGAGAGAGAGCCCTGCTCTGTCACCCAGGCTGGAGTTCAGTGACACGATCTCAGCTCACTGCAACCTCTGCCTCCCGGGTTCAAGCGATTCTCCTGCCTCAGTCTTCTGAGTAGCTGCGATTACAGGTGTGCACCATCATGCCAGCTAATTTTTGTATTTTTAGTAGAGATGGGGTTTCACCATGTTAGCCAGGATGGTCTCGATCTCCTGACCTCATGATCCTCCCACCTCGGCCGCCCAAAGTGCTGGGATTACAGGCGTGAGCCACCGCGCCCGGCCTCTTGTTCTTTTTTTGTTCTTTCTCTTGTTCTTAGCTGAGCTTGTTACATGGGTTCTAGTGTCCCATCCCAGACCTTCTGAATCAAAACATCCAGGAGAAAAATTCAAGGCTTTTCTTTCTTTTTTTTTTGAGACGGAGTCTCGATCTGTCACCAGGCTGGAGTGCAGTGGCGCAATCTCGGCTTATTACAACCTGCAACCTCCGCCTCCAGGGTTCAAGCAATTCTCCTGCCTCAACCTCCCAAGTAGCTGAGACTACAGGCACACGCCACCACGCCCAGCTAATTTTTTTTTTTTTTTTTTTTTTTTTTTTGAGACGGAGTCTCGCTCTGTGGCCCAGGCTGGAGTGCAGTGGCACGATCTCGGCTCACTCCAAGTTCCGCCCCCCAGGTTCATGCCATTCTTCTACCTCAGCCTCCTGAGTAGCTGGGACTACAGGCGCCAGCCACCACACCCGGCTAGTTTTTTGTATTTTTAGTAGAGACGGGGTTTCACCGTGTTAGCCAGGATGGTCTCGATCTCCTGACCTCGTGATCCGCCCGCCTCCTCCTCCCAAAGTGCTGGGATTACAGGCGTGAGCCACCACGCCCAGCCACTTTTTGTTATTTTAGAAGAGACAGGGTTTCACCATGTTGGCCAGGATGGTCTCAATCTCTTGACCTCGTGATCTGCCCGCCTCGGCCTCCCAAAGTGCTGGGATTACAGGCCCAAGCCATTGCGCAGGAGAAGGCTTTTATTTCTAATCATTGCCCTCGGGCATAACTCAGCACACTTGGGAAACACTGATCTGCTTTAAGAATCATTTGGGGAAGGTGGCTAAAAATAAACTTCCAGCCAGGCACGGTGGCTCACGCCAATAATCTCAGAACTTTGGGAGGCCAAGGCGGGCGAATCACCTGAGGTCGAGAGTTTGAGGCCAGCCTGAACATGGTGAAACCCCGTCTCTACTAAAAAAAATACAAAAATTGAGTGGGGCATGATAGTGGGCACCTGTAATCCCAGCTACTCAGGAGGCTGGAGCAGGAGAATCGCTTGAACCCGGGAGGCGTAGGTTGCAGTGAGCCGAGATTGTGCCATTGCACTCCAGCCTGGGTGACAGAGTGAGACTGCTTCTCAAAAAAAGTAATAAAATAAAATTAAAATAAACGTCCAAGCTCACACCCTTGGAGATTCACAGCATATGCCCCTTGGAGATTCTGATTTGGTGTAAGTTGGATGGGAAAATTTTTTCCAGAGGATTCTGCATAACCAGGCTGGGAACCACTGATCTACATGATGGGGTAAAGTACAGACAACTTGAGCCATGGCTGTTAAAGCCCTTTGTGCTTCAGCCTCTGGTTGGCTCTCACCACTCTCCCAATTTGTCCAAAATCACACTTTATGTCCCAGTTACAGTTCCTCACATTCGTCAGGCTGTCTCAACTGAGCAGTGGTACATAATGTCACCTATACCCGGTGGCCTTTTCCTTCACATGCATAACGTGAATGCCTTCTGGTGCCTCAATCTCAGCTCAAATGAAGGCTCCAGGAAGCTTTTCCTGATCCCTCTGGGGTTAAGCTCCTCCTCGGTCCATCACAGGGCCTGGTGCTCTACAGCCTTTATCTCACCCCCGGTTACTTACACATCTGCTTTCACTCCTGATCAGTGAAAATCAGATCAGCAGGACAGTATTTTAGTTCCGTTTATGTCCCCAACATGTAGCACATCAATTGGAACCAGAAGAATGGCTCAGGCTGACAGAGATATCCACCCTGACCCATGAGCCAAAGGCAGGTAATTGGCCAGGGATCCCAGGAAGGACCAAGTCCATTGGCACATGGGGCTTGACCATGGTACTAAGGCCTGGGTCTGAATGGCAGCTCCATTGCTGTGTCTAGAAGGGTCCCTTTACTTCTCTGAGCCCTCAGCCTCCATGAACAGGGTTCCCACAGTCCTCCTAGGTGTGTGTCATAATGACTTAAAAGTGAAAGTCATTAAACCAATGACTTGCTACATTGTTACATTATCTCAGTTTGTGGTGCCCTTAACCCTTAAGAGAGGTTCTCAGTGCTTATCATTTCAAGCGCTTGGTCCTTTGGAGGTTGGAAATCATGTCAGAACAGGGTCTTGTTCACCCCTGTACCCAGAAAGTTGAGCATGGTACCAGAGACAGAGCAGTAACTCAAAAATGCTTGCTAACAGCCGGGCGCAGTGGCTCATGCCTGTAATTCCAGCACTTTGGGAGGCCAAGAAGGGCAGATGACTTGAGGTCACGAGTTCAAGACCAGCCTGGCCAACATGGTGAAACCGTCTCTACTAAAAATACAAAAATTAGCTGGGTGTGGTGGCAGGCACCTGTAATTCCCAGCTACTCAGGAGGCTGAGGCAGGAGAATCACCTGAACCCGGGAGGCGGAGGTTGCAGTGAGTCCAGATGAATACCACTGCACTCCAGCCTGGGCGAAAGAGCAAGATTCCATCTCAAAAATAAATAAATAAAATAGTAAATTTTATGCCATGTATCTTATAATTTTTTTTTTTTTTTTTTTTTTTTTGAGACAGGGTCTCACTCTGTCACCCAGGTTGGAGTGCAGTGGTGCAATCATACCTCACTGCAGCCTCAACCTCCAGAGTTCAAGTGATCTTCCCGCCTTAGCTTCCAGGTTAGCTGGGACTACAGGCACATGCAACCATGCCCAGCTAATTTTTTTTTTTAATAGAGACAGGGGTCTCACTATGTTGCCCAGGTTGGTCTCAAACTCCTGGCCTCAAGAAACCCTCCCACCTCAGCCTCCCAAAGTGCTAGGATTACAAGCATGAGCCACCAGTTGGCCTTACTATACTTTTCTTAAGTGAAAATCTCCCTGGTGGTCTAGTGGTTAGGACGGGGGAAAAGATGAAAATTAAATAAGCACATAACCATAATGAGGCTCCATCCATAATAGCACTAAGATAAAAACTGTGTTAAGAGGGGAGTCCAGGAGGCAGAGGAAGGAGGAAAGGGGGAGGGCTGGAGCTGGGACCCTGGGAAAGGACATGGACAGGGAAGGGTGGGGAGCCTCAGGAAGAGGCCCAGAGCAGGCAACAGCCAGAAGGTGGGGCGGGTGTGGGGGTGGTTGCTGAGAGAGAAGGGAAACCCTAGGCAGAGGGAAGCCAAGGCCCAGCAGGCTGAGTGTCTTCTCAGGAACTGTGCTGACAGCCTCAGGATCCTGGGCCTTAATTTGGGTCTTTTAATGTCTTGATCTCTCCCCTACACCAGGAAACCCTCAGAGGCCCAGGCCCACTCCAGGACACAGCCCATGGGAAGTGAAGCCTGCACCAGTGACCCGCGTTTTTTGTTTTGTTTTTTTTTTTCCGAGACTGAGTCTTGCTCTTTTGCCCAGGCTGGAGTGCAGTGGTGTGATCTTGCTCACTGCAACCTCCGCCTCCCAGGTTCAAGCAATTCTCCTTTCTCAGCCTCCCGAGTAGCTGGGATTACAGGCGCCCACCACCATGCCCGGCTAATTTTTGTATTTTCAGTAGAGACGGGGTTTTGCCATATTGGTCAGGCTGTTCTCGACCTCCTGACCTCAGGTGATCCAACTGCCTCGGCCTCCCAAAGTGCTGGGATTACAGGCACGAGCCACCGCACCCAGCCAGCATTCTTTTCTGTAAGAAAACTAAGAGAGCCGAACTAACTCCAAGGGCCATGAGGCCTGCGCAGATCACTAGTACTGCAACAGGATCCCAACAGCAAATACTGCAGATCTGCTTGCACAATAAACGCAGGACCAGCCAGGCACGTGGCTCACGCCTGTAATCCCAGCACTTTGAGAGGCCGAGGTGGGCGGATCACGAGATCAGGAGATCGAGACCATCCTGGCTAACACGGTGAATCCCCGTCTCTACTAAAAATACAAAAAAATTAGACGGGTGTGGTGGCGGGCGCCTGTAGTCCCAGCCACTCGGGAGGCTGAGGCAGGAGAATGGCATGAACCTGGGAGGCGGAGCTTGCAGCGGTCGCACCACTGCACTCCAGCCTAGGTGACAAGAGTGAGTCTCAAAAAAAAAAAAAAAAAAAAAGAAACGCAGGACCCAAACACTTCTTAACACTTCTTACCACCTCCACTACTACCATCCTAGAAAGTATTCTAGGTTGCAGGAACAAACCATCTTAACTGGCCTCCCTGCAAGCTGGCTAGTAACAGCCAGTGAAGTCTGTTAAATTCCAAGCGAGACCATGTCACTCTGCTCAAAACCCTCCAACAACTCCCATTCCACTCCCTCAGACTCTATGTGTAGTGAAGAATTCTTACTTGGAAGTCTGGCCTTTACCCTCGGCTACTGGTAAGTGCCCTCTAGACCCATGGAATGTCCTGACCAACAGGAGTGTCAGTGATAAATGTGATTTACGATCTGAGCTTTGGAACAGGCAACCTCTGGGGGAAATGGAGACAACTAAAGGCCTTAGCCCAAAGCTCTCACAGGGGCTGAAGATTAAAGGTCAGCCACAGGGCACTATGTGATTAAACACCAGGGGAAACTCGGCACACCCAAGGATCAAGTGAGCTTCTCTGGTTATATCTCCGTCATGGCCGGGAAGAAGTACCAGGACTCCATTGCAAGATAGCAGGAAGCTTCTTATTTAGCTCCCTCCCAGACCCCGCCCCAGGCCTCTCATCTTTTGGCTGGCTCTGGGTATGCTTTTGCTGTAATAAAACCATAATCCCAATACCTTCCTGAGTTCTGAGTCACTCTAGTCTATTACCTACCTGAAGGTGGTCATGGGGACCCCTGAACTTGCAGCTGGTATTGAAGTGAAAACAGACTTGTGGGGACCATGCCCTCCAACCACGTAGGCTGCCAAACTCTCTGCACCCTACGTGACCACCTTATTACAACTGTCATGATCTGCCCACTCCTTGCCGATGAGACTTCATCCCTTACTCCTTTCCTCATTCATATCAGCCAGGCTCCCACCCCTCAGTCCCAGGAAGCCCCTTCCCCAGATACTCACCAGGTGAACTCCCTCACTTATTAGGCCTTTACTCACAGGTCACCTCCGTGGTGAGGCCTCCTTTGGCCCCCTCTACCCTGAAACACCTTTCCTGCTTTACTTTTTCCTCCATAAAAACACTGTCACCATATCCTCTGCACTACAACAGCTGTGTCTTTTTTCTTTGCTCCCCAAAGGGTATGAGCCCCAAGGAGGCAGGAATTTTTGTACTGTGTTCCCTGCTGTGACCCCAGAACAGGGACAGTTTCTGGTATGTGCTGAGTGTTCAACAAATTCTTGAATGCATGACCTCTAGTATCCTTTAGAAATACCTTTTAAAAACCAGACCATCCCACCCCTACTCTCCGTGAAAGGCCAAGTCTGCAAAAACAGGAAAACTAACTATGTTTGGCTAGAGCCCTTTGCTGAAGGGGATGAAGTTAAGAGTCGGCAAGACCCAAGATGTCCAGAGAGCCCCGTGGCCCAGCATGGGTGAGGCATGGGTGCTTTCCCAGCCCTGACACCTCCATGCTGTTGACTTTGGGAGGCCCCCTCTCCTCTGGCCCTGGGACCCTACATAAATAATGAAGGAGTTGGAGGAGACGCATGGGAGGGGAGGAAGGAGAGAAATTCCTGCTATGAGAGAAGCAGAGGGAAGACTTCACCATGCAGGGGTGACTTTTATTTGAAGGCAGAAAACACCCTATTTGGGGGTTCACTCATAATCTGCAACAGTTTGTTTGTTTGTTTTTAAAAAAGAGAAAAATCAGAAGCCAAAGGGCCTGGGAAGGAAAGGAGAAGGGTAGTGGGTCCATGTCAGGCTGAAGTCAGGCCGCGTAGGGGAAGCGGAGCAGCAGCCCTTCGTGAGGCTCCAGTTTCAGGCGTTCCAGCTCAAGAGGGGAGCCCTCCTCACGGCCTGGCTGGGTGCTGAGCAGGAGGTCAGCCTTGGCTGGCAGGCTGGCGCTGGCAGGCAGGTCGGAGGCCTGCAGTCCAGCCGAGAGGCCCACATCCCCAAAGTTAAGCACTACCAGAAAACGCTCATTCTGGTCCCAGTGGCGGATATAGGAGAAGAGTCCAGGCCCAGCGGAGAACGCGTGGAAGTCCCCATGCAGTAGGGAGCGCTCCTTACTCCGCTGGTCACTCAGCCGCCGGAACAAGGAAAGGAGGGAGCCAGGGTCTTCACTCTGGCCCTAAGAATGATAAAAACATAGCAGAAGCGTGTGAGGGGCTCCCCTGGGTACAGACTTCTACAAGCCCAGCCCACCCTCCACCGGTCAGTTTCTACCCATCTAGAACTCTTACCTTCACAGTCATGTTGGCACTTACAGCCCCTGGGATGTCAGGGAAGCTGGACTCATCCCACAGCATGACTGGAGCCTCCATAGGCTGAAAAGCAGAGAAAATAGGACTTTAAAAAGGCCTGGGGTCAGGCATGGTGGCTCACATCTGTAATTCCAGCAGTCTGGGAGGTCAAGGCCAAGAGGATTGCTTGAGCCCAGGCATTTGAAACCAGCCTCAGCAACATAATGAGCCCTCATCTCTACTACAAAATTTTTAAAAATTAGCTGGGTGTAGTGTTACATCCCTATAGTCCCAGATACTGGGGAGGCTGAGGAGGGAGGATCACTTGAACCCAGGAGTTTGAGCTTGCAGTGAGCCATGACTCCACCACTGTACTCCAGCCTGGGCAACAGAGTGAGACCCTGTCTCAAAAAAAAAGCCCTGGGCCCACTGTCCCGTATCCCTCTTCCCATTCACATCCTCATCAATATATAACCTCCCCAACTCATGTCTGGCTAACTTTTTTTTTTTTTTTTTTTTGAGACGGAGTCTCGCTCTGTTCAGGCTGGAGTGCAATGGCACGATCTTGGCTTACTGCAATCTCTGCCTCCTGGGTTCAAGCGATTCTCCTGCCTCAGCCTCCCCAGTAGCTGACCATAGGTGTGCACCACCACACCCAGCTAATTTTTTTGTATTTTTAGTAAAGACGGGGTTTCACCATGTTGGCTAGGCTGGTCTCGAACTCTTGACCTCAGGTGATCCACCCACCTTGGCCTCCCAAAGTGCTGGGATTACAGGCATAAGCCACGACACCCGGCCTGGCTAACTTCTACTGGATGAGTGAGGCAGGCTCCCACCTCAGGGTCCTCACACATACACTGTTGCCCCTCAGCCAAGAGCTCCCAGATGGCTGCCAGCCAGCTCTCTCACTTCCCTCAGGTATCTGCTTGGTTATCTTACCAGGTCTCCTATGGCTACTCTCTATAAAACAAGCCCCATCATCCCCTAGTCTCTAGGCTCCTTACCCCGCCTTCTTTTGCATAGCACTGATCAGCAGCTGGCGTTTTATTTATGCATATCTAATTATCTAACCACCTCCAGCTCTCTTGTGCAATGCTGTATCCTCAGTGTAACAGACAGAAATTATTCTATAAACATCTGTGGAATAAATGAATAACTGGTTCTATAAACATCATGCTGATGGCCGGGTGCAGTGGCTCGCACCTGTAATCATAGCAGTTTGGGAGGCCAAGGTGGGAGGATCATTTGCACCCAGGAGTTTGAGAACAGCCTGGGCAACATAGTGAGACCACACCTCTACAAATTTTAAAAATTAGCTGTGGCCAGGCACAGTGGCTCACACCTGTAGTCCCAGCAATTTGGGAGATCAGGGCAGGCAGAGCGATTGAGCCCAGGAGTTGGAGACCAGCCTGGGCAACAACAGTGAAAGCCTGTCTCTACAAAAATTAGCCGGGCATGGTGGTGTGTGCCTGTATTCCCAGACCACCTGTATTCCCAGCTACTTGGGAAGCTGAGGCAGGAGTATCACTTGAACCCAAGAGGCAGAGGTTGCAGTGAGACATAATCGCACCACTGCAATCCAGCCAGATCAACAGAGCAAGAACCTGTCTCCAAAAAAAAAAAAGATCAGCTGGGCATGATGGCACGCACCTATCTATGGTACATATCCCAGCTACTCAGGAGGCTGAGGTGGGATGATCACTTCGGCCTGGGAGGCGGAGGCTGCAATGAACCAAGATCATGCCACTGCACTCCAGCCTGGGCGACATAGGGAAATGCTGTCTTAAAAACAAAAACAAAAAACAAACAAACAAACAAAAAAAAAAAGTCGGGGATCAACAGTAACCCTGTATCTAAAGCTAGTGAATGCCTTTGTAGTAGTATCCCTACCATGTATTTCTTTCTTTCTTTTCTTTTCTTTTTTTTTTTGGAGAAGGAGTCTCCCTCTGCCGCCCAGGCTAAAGTGCAGTGGCACAATCTCAGTTCACTGCAACCTCTGCCTCCAGGTTCAAGCGATTCTCTTGCCTCAGCCTCCCCAGTAGCTGGGACTACAGGCGTGCACCACCACACCTGGCTAATTTTTGTATTTTTAGTAGAGACTGGGTTTCACCCTGTTGGCTAGGCTGGTTTCGAACTCCTTACCTCCAGTGATCCACCCACCTTGGACTCCCAAAGTGCTAGGATTACAGGCATGAGCCACCGTGCCCAGCCACTGCCATGTACTTCTCCACTTATTTATCTGGCTCCCTCACTAAACTATGAGCTCCTGAGGGCACAGAGCCTAGCACAGTACCCACTGTCCAAAGAATAAAGGAATGAATAAATGAATGGTGGCTACCATAGCAAACATCTGCCAGGTACCAGGCATTACCATTAAAAACATGCCCTCATTTAATACTAACCACCCTTCAAGAAATGCAGTAACACAAGGGATGACCAAAATTCAGAAAGGTAAAATAATTTGCCCAAAGCCACATAGCCACTCAGCTACTGACTAAGAATCAAACGCGTTTTCACCCCAAGGCTCACGTCTATGTGCCGCCATCCCCAGAATCATCATTGTAAGATGGATAAACAACCTCCCTGTGACAGAAAGACAGCAAGCAGTACCTGTCCAGGAAGGGCAGCTGCATCCAGGCCAATCTCATCCCCGTAGCTGAAAACAGGGGTCCCTGGCAGGGTGAAGAGCATCAGCTGGTAGAGTCGGAGAAGTTGAGCCGGCAAGAAGGAAGTCAGGAGCCTTGCCTGAGACAACTACAGGGAGAGACACTCCAGTGAGCCCCATAACCCACCTCTGCCTCTGTCTCCCAACAACCCTTTCTTCTCCCATCTGCCCCCTTTCCCACCAGCATGGTACTCACACTCCAGCTGCACCAGCGATTGCCAGTGGCATTCAAATACTGTGTGACTAGGGATTTTGTATGCTCCCCAGTAGAACCAGAATCAGACAGGTATGAGCTAGTCAACAGCAAGTCTTTGTTGGATTCGAGTAGGCTCAGGATCTGCTGAAGGTCGGAGGAGTTAGTCCCCGCAATCAAGAGCCTGCAGAGGGGAGGGAGGAGTTCAAGGTTAGCACAAGAAAGAATGGGGCCAGGCGCAGTGGCTCACGCCTGTAATCCCAACACTTTGGGAGGCTGAGGCGGGTGGATCACTTGAGGTCAGGAGTTCGAGACTGGCTTGACCAACATGGAGAAACCCCGTCTCTACTAAAAATACAAAATTAGCCAGGTGTGGTGGCCCGCGTCTGTAATCCCAGCTACTTGGGATGCTGAGGCAGGAGAATCGCTTGAACCCAGGAGGCAGAGGTTGCAGTGAGCCAAGATCACGCCATCGCACCCCAGCCTGGGCAAAAAGAGCGGAACTCCATCTCAAAAAAAAAAAAAAAAAAAAAAAAAAAAAAAAAAAGCTAAAGAAAGAATAAAGGTAAAGAAAATGCTCTAGACTAGGAATCCCCCCTTCTTAGGCCTAGCACTCCACTGAGGGGTTCCCACATTGGAGCTGAGTCAGCAGAATGGCTCCTGCACCCACCTGTCTTCACTGAAGCCCTTGGTGATATTTTGCCACTCAGCCAAGAATGAGGATGCATCCTAGAAAGAAAAAAGCAGAATCAAGGACCAGAGAATATTATGAGGCTCTAGCTGAGTCCCTCTGTTCTCGCCCAAGCTTTGTCCCTAATGTGGAAAGGGAACTCACCTTCAGATTCTCTATGTCCCGAACCTGGAACCCATCCACGCCAGCTTGCAGCCAAAACTCCAGAGCATCCTATAGGGGGCAGAAGAATAAAGGACAGACATCAGTTCTCAGGAAAAGGCTCAGAAAATTCCAGCCCACACTAAACCTCACCCACCACACACTTCCCCGGGAGCTGGGGAGAGTCCTGTGCCTTGCCTGGGTCTTCCCCACCTGCACTACAAAGGCTTAGCCTTTGGACCCCTCCAGCTCTACCCTTCCACTCATTTTCTTAGTGCTACAGCATTTTACTTCTCATTCTTGCCTCTGGCAAATCACACAGCTTCAACTTTGAAAGCCACAGAAAAGGCCCCAGAGAAAAGGTATGTCCATAAACATAACTTCGTTTAACACTTAGCATTGGAATGTTAGCATACCTATTTTAGAGATGAAGAAACAGACCCAGAGAAGCAGGGAGACGCGTCCACAGTCATAATCAGTGAGCAGCAGACAGGATCTAAAATGTCAGTCAAGATCCCCCCTCTCCCAGTTTCCTGAGGCCTGGGGAAGGTGTGAGTACAATAACTGCTCAGAGCAAGGCCAAGGATGAAAGATTGAAATTCAAAGCATAGCCCCAGGGCAGTTTAGATTTGAAAAGAGGCCAGTGCTGCTGAATGGAATCCTGGCAGTCCTGCACACACTGTGGAACTTCACCCCCATTCTCCTTTTCTTCCCTTTCTCTGGGCCATGTACTCTCTCCTCTGGTCTCCATTTCCATCTGAGGGTACCGCCCCTCATGCCAAACCATCCAAAAACATTCCCTCATCAGCAACTTTTAAAGGGTCCCCTAGTAACTGGCAAGGCCTAAACTGGATGATCCCGGGGTCCTACCCAAATGCTGGGAGTCCAGAATTCTATCTTAGAATCACAGCTACCAGCAGTGTCAGTATCTGCTTCCATTTTTGTTCTACCCATTCTGAACAGGTCAGTGTCCTAGGACCCAGACATCAGGAGCTAGGTGACATTCAAAGCCCTACTCCTAGCCTGCTGGGTACACATTTGAACCTATGGCAAATTATATACCTTGTATGGTTATACAGAGAATTAGAAAACATCTATAAAATACTTGGCATAGAGTCCCAGACACATAGGAGTACCCCAGTGCTTATAATTTCAGACTGGGCTCTATTCCAAACACATCAAACAAGAACTGGGAAACCAGTCAGGACAGGATTCTCACAGAGAAAGGGCTTCCTCTCCCAAAAGAAAGAAAAATCAAACTTCCAGACTGACTTCTGAGAAGGTCCCTTCCTGGCACTGTCTCATCCTCAGAGTCAAGGAAATAAGAAAAATAAGAGGTCAGAAAAGGAACAAGAAAAACAGGTGTGCTATTGGCCTATCCTTTGGCTATAGGAGGAGGCATTCCTCCTTGGTCCTAAGGAGCAAAGGGACCCTCAGCTGGAGTCAGGCTGGGTCTACAGGGCTTGCTGTGAAAGGACTGTCCCAGCCCCAGCATCTGACTTCCACCAGCCATCAGCTCCAACACTCACCTTCACCTTGGTGGCCACAGTGTCAACCTGAGTGGAGAACCACGAGTTCTCACCCCGGTAGTTGGGAGTAAGGTCCAGAATGACACGGATGCCTAAAACAACGGAGGAAGACGCAATCATGAGACAGTCTATGAGTTAAGGGAAAATAAGGAAATCACAAATGCAAGTCACTGAGTGTTTCCTATGTATTACTTGGTACAAAAGCTTGAATTTGAACCCGGGCAAAATTCATTCCATTGAAACAGATGTGAGCAAGGAAGGGCCTTAAGATATGGGAAGGCAGGCCAGGCGAGTTCAAAACCAGACCGGTCAACATGTTGAAAATTGTCTCTACTAAAAATAAAAAAATTATCTGGGTGTGGTGGCACACGGCTGTAGTACCAGCTACTCAGGAGGCTGAGGCACGAGAATCGCTTGAACCCTGGGGGAGGAGGCTGCAGTAAGCTGAGATCGTTCCACTGCACTGCAGCCTGGGTGACAAGAGTGAGACTCCATCTCAAAAAAAAAAAAAGATATTGGAAGGCAGAAAGTTTATAGTGCAGAGAAGTGGCCCCTGTGTTCCCCACTCCCAAAGTGAACCTTTTTAAACATGTGTCTATATCGAGTCGTAAAACAATATTTGGGATTCCCCCCCCCCAAAAAAACCTACTGTTTTACAAGTTTAAAACCACTGGTTTAGTAAATATCTATATTTTGCAAATAAGGGCACTGAAGCCCAGAAGTTAAATGACCTGCTCAAGATTCCACAGCCAAGTAGAAAGCCCCCAGACGACTGGACAAATCCATTTTAGGCTGAAGACTAACAAATCTCCCCTCTACCTGCCCTAGGAAAACTCAGAGCCAGTTAGCAGGAAACCAGACAAAAGTTCTAGCCTACTTTTCCTCTGGCCAAGTCCTTTCTAGCTGTTTCCTTGGGAACCCCAGGATACCCACTCTTTTTTTTAGCCGATTGCAAGAGACTGTCAAAATCTTCCTTGGAGCCAAAATTGGGGTCGATCTGCAGCAAGTCAGTCTGAGCGACATCATCCTTCTGGTTCTTGTGAATTGGACCCAGCACAAGGCCCTTCACCTTCAGAGAGCTCAGGTAATCGAGACGCCCCTTCAGACCTGAAATGGGGGCTGGGTTAACAAGTGAGGCCCCTCTGAGAGGCCCCTGACCTCCCCACCCTCCCTTCTCCCAGCGCCTAAGGGTGGGACGGGGAGGGGGCAAAGGGGGAGAGAGGGAGGCAAGGCTGAATCACGAGACTCAGAGGAGCTGATGTAAGGAGTCCTGCACATTACTTCAGAAACCGGTTGCAACTGGCTTCTGGCGCCGCGGGGAAGGAGGACGCTGAGTCACCCACCCTCGTGACGGAGTGAGGGGCGGGTCGGCTTTCTTCAAAGAAAGGAGGGAAGGACAATGTGCCGGGGAGGGGGTGGGGGAAGGGGGAACAGTCGTCGGTACGGGATGGAGGGAAGAACCATCTAGATCCGTCTGGGGACAGGGGAGGGGGTCGGTGCAAGCCACCAGATTCAACCGGAGGTACCCGGGACGGGGGCGCGCTGCACTCACCCGCCAGGTTGCCCGCGCCGTGGCCCTGGAAGGCCTGAAGGTCGCCGATGCGGTAGAGGGCGCCCGTGTGCCACCACTTCTGCGCCGGTAGCTCGCGACAACGCGGCGCTCGCACGATTATGACCACGGCACCAGCAAGCATGCCGAGCCAGCCGAGCCAGAAGAGCAGCAGCAGTGCCCAGCGGGTGCGTACCCAGCCGGGGCTGCCTGCCACCTTCAGCAGCTCCTCCTTGGACAGGCCCGTGAACTTAGCCGCGGCTGCCGCCTCCGCCTCGTCTTCCGCCACCTTGATCTTCACCAGACCATTCTTCTCGGCTCCCGCCAGGGACATGGCCGCCCCAGACGCCGCGTTCATCGGCTGCTTCTCGGGCTCTAACTCATTCAGCTCCACCTCCTTCATATCCACCTCGGTGTCCTGGCTCATGGTGCCTGCAGAACCGGCGACACGACGCAGCTTGCGGTCAGATGGTGGCTCAACCCCTACCTGGACCCTCGGACCCAGAACGCTCTCCCCGGCCTCTGTGCCTCCGCGCAGTTTCGGCTACTGCATCTGCTCAGCAGCAGGCGCGGCCTCTGGGAAGGGGCAGCGGAGCCCCGCCCCGGCCCGCCCCTTAAGGTGGAACCTCGGGGACTGCCCCAGCCGTGGGCGGCTCAGGGTAGTAAAGTCAGGAACACGCCTCCGACAGTACTTCCTGCATGGTCCAATTTCTCATCTCCAACCTGTCTAACCCTAAAGTTCTTTTCAACCTGATTCTGGGAAGGCCTGGCACGGAGCCACCTTTAAGTGGACTAGGCCTGTGATCCTGCCCCAAATCCCGAGGCCCCTCCAGTGTCCTTTAGGCCTTACCGCCCCCAAACGCCCCTCTTCTTCCATTCCGGCAGGCTAGTGACTACCCCAACACCATCCTCCATTTGCCCCTGGTTCACGGCTCCGGCCGCCGTCTGGTTTTCCCAACTTTGCATGGCTACTTGCACTCTCAGAGGCAGCCAGTCACAACTTCTGCCTTTTCCCCCACCAAGGCTTGCCCTCTCAGGCCTCTGGGACTTGGCGCTAGACCTCTGCTAGACCTCTGCTTCCGTGCACGGCTTACTCCCACTCGTTTTTCAAGACTCATCTTGAATTCATTTCAAGAAATTCCTCATGCAGCAACTATTTATTGTGTACTCACTACAATACTTTGCTTTGTTAACTTTATTGAATTTAACACTAATCCAGCCTTCTTCACAGTACTTTAAAATGAATGGTTTGGGCAGGAAGGTTGAGGTAGACACCCCCCTTCTTATCCTACCCCACCCCCAGCTGCTAGCACCTGGATGTTTGGCAGCTAGGAATCAGACATCCAGAAGAGACTGATAGGGCTGTAATGAACATAACAGAGCTAGGTCTCAGAGGCATCCACCTTTTTTGTGGAATAGACCAGAAGATGCCATGGCCAGACTCTTACCCACCTTGCAGGAACTCCCACAGTTATCCCCAAACTCCCCCAAGGTCCTGTCTCCCTATCACTTCACTATGTTAGGCCTTGGAGGCAGCTGGTACTGCAGAGGCTTTGAAGAAGCCTAGAATTCCCTCCACAGGGTCCTTGGATTGAAGTGGGGCAGAGACAGGGTTCACAGCAGGGAACTACCGGACATCAACACCGTGGGGTGCCAACACTCTCAGGAACTCCTTGTTCCTAAACAGTGCCAGTTGGGCTACTTTCAGAGAGGAGCTGGAGGAAATCGGTTCTTTCTCCCTTTCCCACCTAGGCTGGAAGCCAAGATTGCTGTGTATTTGGAAGAAAGCAAAAGCCAAGATCTGAAGTAATAGCATAGAGAAAAGGGTCACCCTCTGCTAGTCCCCTCTGCAACCCCAGGCATCCAACCCCATCCCCACCCTAGGAACAAGGGGTGCACGGGGCAGCCCCTGGGAGAAGGCAAGCAAGTGGGTTCAGACCAGTGCTCAAAGATAATAAGAGATCCAAGGTGCCCTGCATGTGCCAGATAAGAAGTGCCAACCAGAGGTTCTGAATGGACTATATCTCGAGCACAAAAGCTCAAGGCTGGGCGCAGTGTGACTCATGCCTGTCACCTAGCCCTTTAGGAGGCCAAGGAGGGAGGATTCCTTGAGGCCAGGAGTTTAAGACCAGACGGGGCAACATAGTGAGACTCCATTTCTAAATAAATAAAAAAATAAATTTTAAAATTATCTGGGCCTGGCTGGGTGTGGTGGCTCACACCTGTAATCCCACCTACTAATCCCTGTAATCCCACTTCTCATGCTGTGGCATGAGAATCGCTTGAACCCAGGAGGTAGAGGTTGCAGTGAGCCAAGAATGGGCCACTGCACTCCAGTCTGGGTGATAGAGCAAGACTCTGCCTCAAAAAAACTAACAGGCCAGGTGTGGTGGCTGACACCTGTAATCCCAGCACTTTGGGAGGCTGAGGGTGGCGGATAACTTGAGGTCAGGAGTTCGTGACCAGCCTGGCCAACATGGTGAAACCCCATCTCTACTAAAAATACAAAAATTAACTGGACATAGTAGCACACGCCTGTAGTCCCAGACTTGGAGGGGTGAGGCATGAGAATCGCTTGAACCCGAGAGGCAGAGGTTGCAGTGAGCCAAGATTGCGCGGCTGCACTCCAGCCTGGGTGACAGAGTGAGACTCTGTCTCAAAAAAGAAAAAAAAAGGCCAGGCGTGGTGTCTCACACCTGTAATACCAGCACTTTGGGAGGCCGAGGCAGGTGGATCAAGAGGTCAGGAGACCGAGACCATCCTGGCTAACACAGTGAAACCCCGTCTCTACTAAAAATGCAAAAAAAAAAAAAAAAAATCAGCCAGGCGTGGTGGCGGGTGCCTGTAGTCCCAGCTACTTAGGAGGCTGAGGCAGGAGAATGACGTGAACCTGGGAGGCGGAGCTTGCAGTGAGCCAAAATCGCGCCACTGCACTCCAGCCTGGGATACAGAGCAAGACTCCGTCTCAAAAAAAAAAAAAATTATCATCTGTAATTGGTGATGTGCCCCTGGAGTCCCATGAGATGCCAACACTCAAGGGAAGCAAAAGCAGGAGGATCACTTGAGTCCAGGAGTTTGTGAGGCTGCAGTGAGCCATGGTGGCACCACTGCATACCAGCCTAGGAGACAGAGCGAGACCCTGTCTCTAAAAATAAGTAAGAACAAGGTTGAGAACTGTGGGGTCAGAAGCTGTCTTTGAGATGGTCCAACATGACACAGTATCTCACTCACAGATCCTCATGGCTCCAAATGGCTGAAGTCAATTCCTTTTGTTTTTTGTTTTTTTTTTTTTGAGACAGGGTCTCACACTGTCACCCAGCATGGAGTGCAGTGGCGCGATCTCAGCTCACTGCAACCTGTGCCTCTCAGGTTCAAGCGATTCTTCTTCCTGAGCCTCCCCAGTAGTTGAGATTATAGGAGGCGTGCACCGCCACACCCGGCTAATTTTGTATTTTTAGGAGAGACAGGGTTTCACCATGTTGGCCAGGCTGGTCTTGAACTCCTAACTTCAGGTGATCTGCCCGCCTCAGCCTCCCAAAGTGCTGGGATTACAGGCATGAGCCACTGTGCCCAGCCTGAAGTCAATTCCTTCTGCATGCATAAAGAGGATAACAGCTTGCCTCTCCAATCTTATCAGCCACCACCTGCTTCACAGGCACTAGCCTCCAGCCACATCAGCCTTCAAACACCTGCCAGACTCACAACACACCAGGCTTTTTCAGGCAGAGCTCTGCATCTTGTACATGCCATACCTCTGCTGTTGGCCCTTCCTGTTTGTCCACTCAACCTCATGAGTTCCTATTCATTCAAGATCTAGCTCAAGTGACAGCTTTTCTCAACTCCCCAGACAAAATTACTTTCCCTCCACCATGCATCTGCCTCTGCTACAATCATGTCCCATTTGTTTATTACATTTGTTTGTCTGGATGTCTCTTTGTCCTTGAAGACAAGTGGCAGGAGCCTTGTGCTATTGTGGACGAACCTGCCTATTCGGAGGCAGCATATAGTAGGCACTTCGCAAGTGTTTGGTAAATAAGTGGATGAACTATGTCAATCAAAACCAATATCTCCCTTCTTAGAAACAACTAAACAGGCTAGGCACGGTGGATCACACCTGTAATCAGCACTTTGGGAGACCAAGGCAGGCAGATCAATTGAGGTCAGGAGTTCAAGACCAGCCTGGCCAACATGGTGAAACGCTGTCTCTACTAAAAATACAAAAATTAGCCAGGCGTGGTGGTGGGCACCTGTAATCCCAGCTACTCCGGAGGCTGAGGTGAGAGAATCACTTGAACCCAGGAGGCAGAGGTTGCAGTGAGCCCAGATCGCACCACTGTACTGCAACCTGGACAACACAGCAAGACTATCTCTCAAAAAAAAAAAAAAAGAAAAGGAAGAAGAAAAAAGAAACAACTGAAAAAAACTAGCATGTGAAGACAAAGGCAGGAAAATGAAAAGGAATTTAAATAACGCTGTATCATATCAAGATAAACCTGTTGCTGCAGGAAAACAAACCAAGACTTGTAACTGTTCAACCAAAATAAAACAAACTGCCAGGCACTGTGGCTCACCTGTAATCCCAGCACTTCCGGAGGCCGAGGCAGTCGGATCAATTGAGGTCAGGAATTCAATATCAGCCTGGCTAACATGGTGAAACCCCGTTTCTACTAAAAATACAAAAATTAGCCAGGTATGGTGGTGCGTGCCTGTAATTTCAGCTACTCAGGAGGCTGTGGCAGACAAATCACTTGAACCCATGAGGCAGGGATTGCAGTGAGCCAAGATCGCGCCATTGCACTCCAGCCTGGGCAACAAGAGCAAAACTCTGTCTCAAAAAAATAATATAAAATATAATAATAAAACTAATAAATTAGGAGATGGAGGACAGGAAAACAAAAAGACTACAGAGAAAAGACTAGAGAAATGGACCAGAGGTGAGTAAAGAGCCTCAGATCCTGCCATATGTGTTGATATAAAGCTTAATATTTACTATAGGAACACAAAGAATATAATTTTTCAAGAATTTAGCCTTCAAGAGAAGGCTGGGCAAAGCAAAGGAAAAAAAGCAGTTTGGCAGCCCAGATGCCAATAAGGTCCACTTTACACTCAGACAGACAGATGGCGGTGGAGCCCTGAAATGCAGGGGGCCAAGTATATAAAGAAAGTTCCTTTCTAACCCTCTGCTGCAAAAATCCATGTCACATGCTTCCTAACACATGAGGATTATTACTTGATCTTAGCCTGAAAACAGGACATTTATTTTTCCTCAAACATGTAAAAAGGATTGACCAGGCACAGCAGCTCATGCCTTTAATCCCAGCGCTCTGGGAAGCTAAGGCAGGAGGATCACTTAAGCCCAGTAGTTTGAGACCAGCCTCGGCAACATAGGGAGACCCCATCTCTACAAAAATTAACAAATTAGCCAGGCATGGTGGCTCACCCCTGTGGTCCCAGTTACTAAGGAGGCTGAAGTGGGAGGATCACTTGAGCCCTCAGGTTGAGGCAGCAGTGAGCTGTGATCACAATCACACCATTGCATTCCAGCCTGGCTGACAGGGTGACCCTATCTGAAAACAAACAAACAGGCTGGGCGCAGTGGCTCATGCCTGCAATCCCAGCACTTTGAGAGGCTGAGGCGGGCGGATCACCTGAGGTCAGGAGTTTGAGACCAGCCTGGCCAACGTGGTGAAACCCCATCTCTACTAAAAATACAAAAATGAGCTGGGCATGGTGGTGGCTGCCTGTAATCCCAGCTACTCAGGAGGCTGAGGCAGGAGAATCGCTTGAACCTGGGAGGCAGAGGTTGCAATGGGCCCAGATCGTGCCATTGCACTTCAGCCTGGGCAACAAGAGCAAAACTCCATCTCGAAAAATAAACAAACAACTAAAAACATCTAAGAAGGACTTTTTTTTTTGAGATGAAGTCTCGCTCTGTCGCCCAGGCTGGAGTACAGTGGTGCGATCTCAGCTCACTACAAGCTCTGCCTTCCAAGGTTCACACTATTCTCCTGCGGACTCCAGGTGCCCACCACCACGCCCAGCTAATTTTGATTTTTTTGTGTATTTTTAGTAGAGACGGGGTTTCACCATGTTAGCCAGGATGGTCTTGATCTCCTGATCTCGTGATCCACTCGCCTCGGCCTCCCAAAGTGCTGGGATTACAGGCGTGAGCCACCGTGCCCGGCCACATCTAAGAAGGATTTCTAAAGGCAGAGAGAAGATGGGAGGACAGCTAGAAACTCTTCAGGAGACTGTCTCTGTCCAACAGCCTCCATAAATCTTCGAAAGCCCAAGACTCTATTCCAAAGACCCAGAAACAAAACATCAAAGCTGCCTCTAAAATACCAATCAGCCAGAAATCTTGAAGATTTTAGCCATTTGAAAAATGAGGCCAGTGTGGTGGCTCATGCCTGTAATCCCAGCATTTTGGAAGAATGAGGCGGGCAGATCATTTGAAGTCAGGAATTCGAGACCAGCTTGGCCAACATGGCAAATCCCCATCTCTACTAAAAATACAAAAATTAGTCGCACACGATGGCGGGTGCCTGTAATCCCAGCTACTTGGCTGAGGCAGGAGAATCCCTTCAACCTGGGAGGCGGAGGTTGCAGTAAGCTGAGATTACACTGCACTCCAGCCTCGGTGACAGAGCAAGACTCTGTCTCCAAAAAAAAAAAAAAGAAAAAGAAAAAGGAAAGATGGGTGAGGAATTGAGCATTTGGAAGTCAAAGCGTGGCTGAAATTAAAGCAGAGAAAAAGACTCCAACTAAAGCAGTTCACTTCGCAGCTACTATCTGAAGAACCCATGTCAGAATACTATTAATTGTTACTATGAATCCTATAGGAGGGACACTGGCTGCTAAAGAAGAGACCTGTCAGGGTTGTCTTACTAAAGGGTGAAGAATGCAAAGTGGGGATAAAAGCCAGAAAGAGTGAAAGAAATAGAACCAAAGTCATCTCTTAGGAGAAGAGAAATAAATGCACCATCTGAAAAGTATCCAGTATTCAAGTAAGTTAGACAAATGAAAAACATTGCAGCAAGCCATTCTCTCAAATGAAACCAAATACTAAAAGATAAACACCAGAGAAATAGCAGGTCAGTATGTGGAAAATATGGGGTAGTACTTTTAACATATTATCCTTGGATTAATGACATCAGATATTCAACTGATCAGAGACAGAATACTTAATCTCATCAAAAAAGATAAGTAGCAATAAGAGACCTTAAAATGATCACTGAGGCCCTCCAACAGCAGCTATTTCTGCAGTCATGATCACACAATACTGCATCCTCATTTTCTCCCTCCCCTGGCCCTCCAAAACTTTGTCATCACACTCTGAGGAAGAGAATCACTAAGCGCAGCCTGCACTCAAGATGTACAGAGTTAAACTCTGTATCTCTGGGCAGAGGGAAGATCTACATAAATTATTTGAGACTCTTTCTCCAAAAAAAAAAAAAAAAAAAAAAAAAAAAAAAAAAAAATTAGCTGGGCATGGTGCAAGTACCTGGGGTCCCAGCTACTTGGGAAGCTGAGGTGGGAGGGACCACTTGAGCCCAGGAGGTTGAAGCTACAGTGAGTTATGATTGCACCACTGCACTCTAGCCTGGGCAACAGAGCTAGAACTGGTCTAAAATAATTAAAATAAAAATTAGAAATAAACAAAAAAACAAATAACTGATGAGCCTGGCCAGGTGCCATGGCTCACGCCTGTAATTTGGGAGGCCAAAATGGGAGAATCATTAGAGCCCAGAAGTTTGAGACCAGACAGGGCCACGTAGCAAGACCCCGTGTCTCTATAAAAAAAAGTTTGATTTTAATTAGCTGGCCGGGTGTGGTGGCTCACACCTAGTACTCCCAGCACTTTGCAAGGCCAAGGTAGGAGGATTACTTGATCCCAGGAGTTCAAGACCAGATTGGGCAATATAGTGAGACCTTGTCTGTACAAAATTTTTTTTTTTTTTTGAGACAGAGTTTCGCACTGTCACCCTGGCTGGTGTGCAGTGGTGCGATCTCGGCTCACTGCAACCTCTGCCTCCCAGGTTCAAGTGATTCTCCTGCCTCAGCCTCCCAGAGTACCTGGGACTACAGGGGCCCACCACCATGCCCGGCTAATTTTTGTATTTTTAGTAGAGACGGGGTTTCACTAATGTTGGCCAGGCTGTTCTCGAACTCCTGACCTCATGATCTGCCCGACTTGGCCTCCCAAAATGCTAGGATTACAGACGTGAGCCACCAGGCCCGGCCACAAAAAATTTTTTAAATTAGCTGAGTGTGGTTGCACATGCCTGTAGTCCCAGCTACTCGGGAGGCTGAGGTGGGAGGTATCACTTGAGCCTGGGAAGTTGAGGGTGCAGTAAGCTGAGATCACACCACTGCACTCCAGCCAAGGCCACAGAGCGAGACCCTGTCTGAAAAATATATATATATTTTATAATCAATAAGGTGAAAGAGAATATAAAATATTGAGAAGTAGATATTTAGAGTATGGTATGCTGTAACAGAAAATTGAATTTGAAATATCACTCATTCTGCAACTAAAAAATTGGTTAGGCCAGGCACAGTGGCTCACGCCTGTAATCCCAACACTTTGGGAGGCCAAGGCGGGCGGATCACCTGAGGGCAGGAGTTAAACACCAGCCTGACCAACATGGAGAAACCCCATCTCTACTAAAAATACAAAATTAGCCAGGTGTGGTGGCACATGCCTGTAATCCTAGCTACTCAGGAGAATAAGGCAGGAGAATCACTTGAACCGGGGAGGCAGAGGTTGCAGTGAGCCGAGATCGAGCCATTGCACTCTAGCCTGGCCAAGAAGAGTGAAACTCCGTCTCAAAGAAAGAAAAAATTGGTTAATTTCAACACCAAGTCTCTTAAAAGGAGGCTGGACTATAGAGAAACTAAAGACAAATTCTGTTTTCTGTTTCTTGGGTTTTTTTGAGACAGGGTCTCTCTCTGTTGCCCAGGCTGGAGTGCAGTAATGTGATCTTGGCTTACTACAGCCTTGACTTCCTCAGCTTAAGCAATCCTCCCACCTCAGCCTCCTGAACAGCTGGTATTACAGGAGCATGCAACCATGCCTGGCTAATTTTTGTATTTTTTGGTAGAGACAGGGTTTTGTCATGTTGTCCAAGCTGGTCTCGAACTCCCGGGTTCAAGTGATCTGCCTCCCAAAGTGCTAGCATTAGAGGCGTGAGCCACTGCACTCAGCTAATGAATTCTTTTTTTAAAAAAGCAGAGGGCCAGGTGCAGTGGCTTACGCCTGTAATCCCAGCACTTTGGGAGGCCAGGCAGACGGATCACAAGGTCAGGAGATCGAGACCATCCTGGCTAACATGGTGAAACCCCGTCTCTACTAAAAATACAAAAAAAATTTAGCCAGGCGTGGCGGTGTGTGCCTGTAGTCCCAGCCACTTGGGAGGCTGAGGCAGGAGAATGGCGTGAACCCAGGAGGCGGAGGTTGCAGTGAGCTGTGATCACGCCACCGCACTCCAGCCTGGGCGACAGAGCAAGATTCCATCTCAAAAAATAATAATAATAATAATAAAATAAAGATTTGATGTCATAAAGAAATTAGTGCTCCCCAAACAATCTAAAAATCCAAATGCAATTCTAATACAAATCTTAATATCTGGTGGTGAGAACTTTGTAAGATGACTCTATAATTCATGTGCAAGAGAAAAGGGCAGAGAATAGTAAAGATATCTTTAAAGAAAAAAAATCGTATTTTTAAAGACAAATTCTACCAGATAGCAAGCATGTTATTTGCTAAAATAATAATTACCTGTAACCTCAGCATTCTTGGAAGCTAAGGCAGGAGGATCACTTGAGGCCAAGAGTTGAAGACCAGCCTGGGTAACACAGTCAGACCCCGTCTCTACAAATAATAATAATAATAATATTATATAAAGTATGGTTGGGCACAGTGGCTCACGCCTGTAATCCCAGCACTTTGGGAGGCCGAGACGGGCGGATAACCTGAGATCAGGAGTTCGAGACCAGGCTGGCCAATGAGGCAAAACTCCGTCTCTACTAAAAATACAAAAAATTAGTCAGGCATGGTGGCGGGTGCCTGAAATCCCAGCTATTTGGGAGGCTGAGGCAGGAGAATTGCTTGAACCTGGGAGGCAGAGGTTGCAGTGAGCCAAGATCACGCCACTGCACTGCAGCCTGGGCAACAGAGCAAGACTTCACACCAAAAAAAAAAAAAAAAGATAAGCCCTACCAGGCAGCAGGCATGTTATTTGCTAAAGGAATAATTACCTGTAATCAGGCCGGGCGCAATGGCTCACGCCTGTAATCCCAGCACTTTGGGAGGCCAAGGCAGGCGGATCACAAGGTCAGGAGTTTAAGACCAGCCTGGCCAATATGCTGAAACTCGTCTCTACTAAAAATACAAAAATTAGCCAGGCGTGGTGGCGGGCGCCTGTAGTCCCAGCTACTCAGGAAGCTGAGGCAGGAGAAACACCTGAACCTTGAACCCAGGAGGCGGAGCTTGCAGTAAGTGGAGATCGCGCCAGTGCACTCCAGCCTGGGCAACAGAGCAAGACTCCATCTCAAATAATAATAATAATAATAATAATAATAATAATAATAATTATTATTATTATTATTACCTATCATCTCGGCATTCTGGGAAGCTGAGGGAAGAGGATCACCTGAGGCCAAGAGTTCGAGACCAGTCTGGGCAACACAGTGAGACCCCAACTCTACAAAAAAAAAAAAAAATAATAATAATAATAATGTATAAAGTAACAATCATAGTATGCTAAAGACACAGGGATGGGCAAGTGTCCAACGGAACAGAAAACGAGCCTAAAAATAACTCATGCATACTTGAAACAATATACGACAGAGATAATATAATCAGTGGGGAAAGAATGAACTATTTACCAAATGGTACTATAAAAAAATAAAATTAGATCACTACTTCACACCAATCACAAAATTATATTCTAAGTAATCAAATAGGCCAGGCGCGGTGGCTCACACCTGTAATCCCAGTACTTTGGGAAGCCAAGGCGGGCGGATCACAAGGTCACGAGATCAAGACCATCCTGGCCAACATGGTAAAAAAAACCCCATCTCTACTAAAAATACAAAAATTAGCTGGGCGTGGTGACGCACACCTGTAGTCCCATCTACCTGGGAGGCTGAGGCAGGAGAATAGCTTGAACCTGGGAGGCAGAGGTTGCAGTGAGCCGAGATCACGCCACTGCACTCCAGGCTGGCAACAAAGTGAGACTCTGTCTCAAAAAAAAATAAATAAATAAGTAAATAAATAAAATTTCAGAAAAAAATAAGAATATCTTTCTGACCTCAGGATAAGAAAAGAGTTTTAAAGAAGAAACAAAAGAGGCCAGGTGCGGTGGCTCACGTCTGTAATCCCAGCACTTTGGGAGACCAGGGCGGGCAGATCACAAGGTCAGGAGTTCGAGACAAGCCTGGCCAGAGAGCAGCCTAGCCAACATGGGGAAACCCCGTCTCTACTAAAAATACAAAAATTAGCTGGGCGTGGTGGCAGGCACCTGTAATCTCAGCTACTCAAGAGGCTGAGGCAGGAGAATAGCTTGAACCCGGGAGGCAGAGGTTGCAATGAGCCGAGATCGCGCCACTGCACTCCAACCTGGGCGACAGAGCAAGACTCCAACTCAAAAAAAAAAAAAATACACAAAAGAATAAATCATGAAGAAAAAGACAAATAAATTGTGCAACATTAAAAGAGAAAAAATTATGCATCACAATTTGCCATAACAAACTGAAAAGACAAGCCACAAATAGAAGACATACTATCTGAAACTAATATAGCTAACAAAGTAGATGAAACATATAAATTATCACTAAAAACCAGTACGAAAAAAACCAATAATCATCAAGAAAAAAAATCACCAAATAGAAATTCTATTCTTTTTTTTTTTTTTTTTTTTTTTGAGATGGAGTCTCGCTCTATCACCCAGGCTGGAGTGCAGTGGTGCAATCTCGCCTCACTGCAACCTCCGCCTCCTGGGTTCATGCCATTCTCCTGCCTCAGCCTCCAGAGTAGCTGGGACTACAGGCGCCCGCCACCACGCCTGGCTAATTTTTTGTATTTTTAGTAGAGACAGGGTTTCACCGTATTAGCCAGGATGGTCTCGATCTCCTGACCTTGTGATCCGCCCATCTCGGCCTCCCAAAGTGCAGGGATTACAGATGTAAGCCACGGCACCCACCAAATAGAAATTCTATTCTAATCACATAATAGAAATAGCCAATTCAGGCCAGGCGTGGTGTCTCACACCTGTAATCCCAGCACTTTGGGAGGCCAAGGTGGGTGGATCACTTGAGGTCAGGAGTTCAAGACCAGCCTGGCCAACATGGTGAAACCCTGTCTCTACTAAAAATACAAAAATTAGCGGGGCGTGGTGGTGCAAGCCTGTCGTCCCAGCTATTCGGGAGGCTGAGGTGGGAGAATCACTTGAACACGGGAGGCAGAAGTTGCAGTGAACTGAAATCACACCACTGCACTCCAGCCTGGGCGACAGAATGAGACCGTCTCAAAAACAAAAAAGCCAATTCACAAAATTAGATATACAAAAGAATGGTAAAGATTACAAAACCTCATTAGTAATCTGGAAAGTGCAAATTAAAATGGCAAGAAAATAGAATTTCATGTCCGTCAGATTGGCAATATGAAAACATCTGACTAAACCAAGTGATTAGGAGGATACAAATTGCATAAGTGGCAACATTAGTTGGTACATCCGTTCTAGGAGAGCAATTTGCAACCGCCTATAGAATGAAAATACCCTTGGCCGGGCACGGTGGCTCACGCCTGTAATCCCAGCACTTTGGGAGGCCGAGGCGGGCAGATCACGAGGTGAGGAGATCAACACCATCCTGGCTAACATGGTGAAACCCCGTCTCCACTAAAAATACAAAAAATTAGCCAGGCGTGGTGGCGGGCGCCTGTAGTCCCAGCTACTCAGGAGGCTGAGGCAGGAGAATGGCGTGAACCCAGGAGGCAGAGGTTGCAGTGAGTGGAGATCGTGCCACTGCACTCCAGCCTGGGCAAGAGAGTGAGACTCCATCTCAAAAAAAAAAAAAAAAAAGAATGAAAATACCCTTTTACCCACCAACAGTCCTAGCTAGATTCATACCCTAGAGAAACTCTCACACATGTACACAAAACAATATATAAAAGATTTCACTGCAGCACTGGTTATAGTAGTAAAAATTTGGAAATTTGAAAAATAGGCCAGGCGTGGTGGCTCACACCTGTAATCCTAGCACTTTGGGAGGCCAAGGCAGGCAGATCACCTGAAGTCAGGAGTTTGAGACCAGCCTGGACCACACTGTGAAACCCCGTCTCTACTAAAAATACAAAAATTAGCTGGGCATGGTGGCAGGAGGCTGTAATCGCAGCTACTCAGGAGGCTGAGGCAGGAGAATCACTTGAACCTGGGTGGAAGAGGTTGCAGTGAGCCAAGATCATGCTATTGCACTCCAGCCTGGGCGACAAGAGTGAGACTGTCTCAAAAAAAAAAAATTTTTTTTGAAAAATAATTTGTAGAACATTTGTAAAATAATTTGTAGAAAATTTCTAACTAGAATACTAGAAATGACTAAATTTGAAAGAACCAGGACATAAAAGATAGGCAAAAATGTGTCAAAAACATAATGTTAAAGAAAAAAGGGGTCAGGCATGGTGGCTCATGCCTATAATCCCAGCACTTTGAAAGGCTGAGGTGGGAGGATTGTTTGTGGCCAAGAGTTTGAGACCAGCCTGGGCAACATAGTGAGATAAACATCTTAATTTTAAAAATTAAATTAAATTTAAAGAAAGAGGGAAGCAGCCGGGCACGGTGGCTCACGCCTGTAATCCCAGCAGTTTGGGAGGCAGAGATAGGCAGATCAAAAGGTCAGGGGATCGAGACCATCCTGGCCAACATGGTGAAACCACGTCTCTACTAAAAACACAAAAATTAGCTGGGTGTGATGGTGCACGCCTGTAATCCCAGCTACTCGGGAGGCTGAAGCAGGAGAATAGCTTGAACCCGGGAGGCGGAGAGTGCAGTGAGCCAAGGTCGGGCCACTGCACTCCAGCCTGGAGACAGAGCGAGACTCTGTATCAAAAAAAAAAAAAAAAAAAAAAGAAAAGAAAAGAGAAAGAATAAAGGGAAATAGGCCAGGCACGGTGGCTCACACCTGTAATCCCAGCACTTTGGGAGGCCGAGGTGGGCGCAACACCTGAGGTCAGGAGTTCAAGATCAGCCTGACCAACATGGAGAAACCCCATCTCTACTAAAAATACAAAAAATTAGCTGGGCGTGGTAGCGCATGCCTGTAATCCCAGCTACTCAGGAGGCTGAGGCAGGAGAATCACTTGAACCTGGGAGGCGGAGGTTGCGGCGAGCCGAGATCAGTCCATCGCACTCCAGCCTGCACAACAAGAAACTCCATCTCAAAAAAACAGAAAGAAAAAGAAAAAGAAGAAAAAAGAAATAGCAGATTCACCTTAAAGTTTTTTCCAGAAACCAAAAGATACGGTGGAATGTGACAGTCTGAATTTTAACTGACATCTGCCCCAAAAGGTAGAACCACAGCATTCATGGAGGTAATGCAATACTATATTGACTTGTAAAAAGGATGAGCAAGTTTAAGTTTTTATTCAATCTCCCTGTTCCAAAAATCTATCTGATAAAGTATCCTCAAGTACAGAACTGATGAGATGTTAGAGGATAAGAACAGATACTATTCTGGCTCACAGACCAAAAAAGCAGGGCCAGATGCGGTGGCTCACCTTGTAATCTCAGCACTTTGGGAGGCTGCGGAGGGCGGATCACCTGAGGTCAGGAGCTTGCAATCAACCTGGCCAACATGGTGAAGGCCCATCTCTATTAAAAATACAAAAATTAGCCAGGTTTGGTGGCACACACCTGTAATCCCAGCTACTTGGGAGGCTGAGGCACGAGAGTAGCTTGGACCCAGGAGATAGAGTTTACAGTGAGCCAAGATCGTGCCACTGCACTCCAGCCTGGGCAATAGAGTGAGACCACCCCCCCACCTGCCAAAAAAAAGCAAAGAAACTACCACAATTAACATTCCCATCAGGATGGATCACCTGAGGTCAGGAGTTCAAGACCAGCATGGCCAACATGGTGAAACCCCGTCTCTACTAAAAATACAAAAATTAGCTGGGGATGGCGGCAGGCACCTGTAATCCCAGCTACTTGGGAGGCCGAGGCAGAAGAATCTCTTGAACCCAGGAGGCAGAGGTTGCAATGAGCCAAGATCGTACCATTGCACTCCAGCCTGGGCGACAAGAGCAAAACTCCATCCAAAAAAAAAAAAAAAGTGGCTGAAAAAAGTGGGCATGCTGGAATAGATATACGTACTATACTGTACTATGTGAGACCAGAGAATGGTGTTCCAAGAAAGGACCCGAAGGACACATTTACAAGACCATCAAGAATATACTGGTGACATCGGTGGACATCAGCATCACTTAGAAATTCAGTGGTGGCTTCTGAGCAGTCCACAGCTGATGACAGGAGAAGCAGTCAGAGCTGAGCTACTCAAGATATACGGGGAAGTATCTCCCAACACGTAACAGAGGCTGGGTAGCATTGCTTAGCTGCCAAAAGCCAGAAATATGCAACTACCATAAAACTGTCAATGTTGCAGGGGTAGCCATGAGGCGTTTGATTCACAGAGTTGTGGATACAATAGAGCATGGCATCCTTAGGGGAAAAATATGCGGATAGCCAAAAAGGATGCTACTAAGCATCTACAAACAGAAAAAGGCAAGAATAGAGGAGGAAGAGGCAGCTAAGGGCAATCACCACAATAAACAGGCAAAATCCTTGATTCAGCTCCTGGATCTAAGCCAACTTTTTTTTTTTTTTTTTTTTTTGTGGGGGAGACAGAGTCTTGCTCTGTTGCCCAGGCTGGAGTGCAGTGGTGCAATCTAGGCTCACTGCAACATCCTCCACCTCCAGGGTTCAAGGGACTCTCCTGCCTCAGCCTCCCTAGTAGCTGGGATTACGGGCACACGCCACCATGCCCAGCTAATTTTTGTATTTTTAGTAGAGATGGGGTTTCGCCACATTGGCCAGGCTGGTCTCAAACTCCTGACCTCAAGTGATCTGACTGCCTTAGCCTCCCAAAGTGCTGGGATTACAGGCATGAGCCACCGCACCTGGCTGAAACAACTTTCACATCCAAAACTCAATTACTGAAGAGGTACACAAATCCCTACGAAAGGATGCTAAAACTGTAACGGTTCTGCCAGTTCCTCCTAAAAGGGAGAATGTCAACATATCACTTACTCAGATAACGGTACACTGGGTAAAGGGAAATGCCTAAACACTTTGAGGATTTTGGGCACAAGATCTGAGCTGACATTGAGACCTGGAAACCCAAAGCTTCATCATGATTCCCACATTACAGTGGGGACTTACAGGTGTCAGGCAGTAACTGAAGTCCTAGCCAAAACTTACTAGCTCATAGTAAGTCTGCTTGTCCATGGACCCATCACTAGATATTTCCTCAGTTCCAAGTGTTTAAACGGGGACTGGGCATGGGAGGCTGAGGCAGGAGAATTGCTTGAACCCAGGAGGTGGAGGTTGCAGTGAGCCGAGATTGCACCACTGCACTCCAGCCTAGGCGACAGAGTGGGACTCTGTCTCAAAACAAAAAAAAAAATTAGCGGCCGGGCGTGGTGGCTCACACCTGTAATCCCAGCACTTTGGGAGGCCGAGGCGGGCGGATCACGAGGTCAGGAGGTCGACACCATCCTGGCTAACACAGTGAAACCCCGTCTCTACTAAAAATACAAAAAATTAGCCAGACTTGGTGGTGGGCGCCTGTAATCCCAGCTACTCGCAAGGCTGAGGCAGGAGAATGGCGTGAACCCGGGAGGTGGAGCTTGCAGTGAGCCGAGATCGCGCCACTGCACTCCAGCCTGGGCGACAGAGCGAGACTCCGTCTCAAAAATAAAAATAAAAATAAAAAAAATAATTAGCCAGGCGTGCTGGTGCGCGCCTATAGCCTCAGCTGCTTGGGAGGCTGAGGACCAAGAATTGCTTGAACTCGGAAGGTGGAAGTTGCAGTGAGCCCAGATGGCACCACTGCAAGCCAGCACATTCCATCTCAAAAAAAAAAAAAACCAAGTATTTAACAGGATTGATATACTTAGGAGTTGAAGTAATCGCATTGGGTCCTTGGCCTAAGAGGTAAGACCTATCATAGTGGGACAGACAAAGAGATCTCTAAAACCCCTCCCTCTCTTCAGCTATGATAGTAAATCAAAAGCAGTATCACATCCTGGGGAGGGACAGAGATTAGTGCCACCATTAAAGACAAAAAGAATGCACGGGTGTGGTGTCTGTCACATCCAGACTTAGAAATATATCTCCAGCCCACATACCGGCTAAGCTGCCAACTTTGACTCAAACTCTGAGCAGGAAAGGGCTCTGCATCAAGTCTAGGATGCAATGCACACTTAAGCCATGCAATCCAGCAGATCCTGGGGGTTCAAAGTATCAGTAGCGAAAAAAAGATTCAGTGTAGAACTTATGGCAAGCTCCTATGGCAAAAGCACAATGCAAGTCCCTGAGATTCTGGAGCAAGGCCAAGCTGTCCAAAGCAGGGAAGTAGGTGCCTTTTGAGAAACAGCATCAGGGCTGTTACTGGAAAGCTTGACTATGAAGCATCCAGAACTGCCCCATTATGAATTGGGTCTTGTCAGACCTATCAAGTCATAAAGTCAGACAGACCCTTTAGTCAGATATAAAGATGGAAATGGTATATTCATGATGAAGCTGAAAGCAGAACCAGAAAACATTAGTACATTGCATGAGCAGGTAGCCCAGATACCCATGTTACCCACTGCAGTTGTAAAAGCACCTCTTCCCTGGAAGACCACCTCAATGTCACACTCCTCCACAACCCAGGAAATTCTATTTATGTTGGGCCAGGTATAGTGGCTCATGCCTGTTTCCCAGCAATTTGGTCGCTTGAGCCCAGGAGTTGGAGACCCGCCTAGGCACCATAGTGAGGCACTGTCACACTCCAAAAAATTAAAGAATTAGCTGGGTGTGATGGCACATGCCTACAGTCCCAGTTACTCAGGAGGCTGAGGTGGGAGGATCCTCTGAGCCCAGGAGTTCAACACTGCAGTGAGCCGTGATCACACACTGCATTCCAGCCTAGGTGACAGAGTGAGATCCTGGTTCAAAAAGAAAAGAAATTGAGGCCCAGAGTGGTGGCTCACGCCTGTAATCCCAGCACTTTAGGAGGCTAAGCCAGGCTGATCACTTAAGGTCAGGGGTTCGAGACTAGCCTGGCCAACATGGTGAAACCCCGTCTCTACTAAAAACATAAAAATCAGCTGGGAGTGGTTGCAGCGCCTGTAATCCCAGCTACTCAGGAGGCTGAGGCAAGAGAATCGCTTGAACCTGGGAGGCAGAGGTTGCAGTGAACTGAGATCACGCCACTGCACTCCAGCCTGGGTGACAGAATGAGACCCCATCTCAAAAAGAATTTGAGCCTTTTCTCCACTGTCACGTCTCTGCCAGTTCCCTGACAAGCACTGGTCATTTGCATATCCTTCTCCTCTATTAATTGAGGCAGTGCCTCTTGCTGCCAGGTGGGGGCAGGGTTGCTCCTTGAACAAACACTCTCCAGACCTCTCTAAGAGCAAAATCATTTGGTAAGGTAGGACAGTCAATGAATTGGCTGAGAAAAGATCATTTAAAAATTTACAGCATTCCCAACATAAAGAGGCAAACTGAAAAAAACTTATAGAGGTAACTAATAAATGTATATTGAGTCCTATTTGTGAATTGTATTCTGCTAGACAATAGAGATAGCAGGATGATTTACCTAGATAAAATCAAACCCCAGGGAGTTGACTGTGGGTGAGAAGGGGTAGTTTAGGCTTGGGGGAGGGGTGGCGATAGGGAGGAAGGGCTTTTTTCCTGTAGAGATGGGGGTTTCATCTTACTATGTTGCCCAGGCTGGTCTCAAACCTCTGGCCTCAAGGGACCCTCTCACCTTCGCCTCCCAAAGTGCTGGGATTACAGGTGTGAGCCATTGGCCCTGTTAGAAGCAGGGCTTTTTTTTTTTTTTTTTTTTTTTTGAGACAGAGTCTCACTCTGTCGCCCAGGCTGGAGTGCAATGGCGTGATCTCAGCTCATCGTTGCGATGAGCTCATCGTTGCCTCCACCTCCCAGGTTCAAGCAATTCTTATGCCTCAGCCTCCCGAGTAGCTGGGATTACAGGCACACTCCAACATGTCCAGCTAATTTTTGTATTTTTAGTAGAGACGGGATTTCACCATGTTGCCCAGGCTGGTCTTGAACTCCTGACCTCAGGTAATCCGCCTGCCTTGGCCTCCCAAAGTGCTGGGATTACAGGTAAGCCACCGCGCCTGGCCTAGCAGCACTTCTTAATGGCTGTATTGATCAATTTGGGCTATAGCTTAAAGACAATGGAGAGGCACTGAACTGATTGTGAGCTGAAGTGGGACCTGACCAGACTTTTTTTTTTTTTTTTTTTTTTTGAGAGAGGTTTTGCTCTTGTTGGCCAGGCTGGAGTGCAGTGGCACGATCTCAGCTCACCGCATCCTCCGCCTTTCTCAAGCGACTCTCCTGCCTCAGCCTCCTGAGTAGCTCGAATTACAGGCATATGCCACCACGCCTGGCTGATTTTGTATTTTTAGTAGAGATGGGGTTTCTCCATGTTGGTCAGGCTGGTCTCGAACTCCCAACCTCAAGTGATCCACACGCCTAGGCCTCCCAACGTGCTGGAATTACAGGCATGAGCCACTGTGCCCGACCGACCAGAGTTTTTATTCGTAAAGATCACTCTGACTACAGTGTGGAGAATGAACTAGAAGGGAAGAAGCCAGAGCCAGGAAGCCAGACTGAGTCTGTTACCTAGGGATTGCTTTGGGAGGCCAAGGCTGGAGAATCACTTGAGCCCAGGAGTTTGAGACCAGCCTGGGCAACACAGCAAGACCTCTGTCTATTCAAAAAGCAAAATAGATTAGCTGGGCACGGTGGCCCATGCCTGTAGTCCCAGCTCAGCCCAGAGGATTGCTTGTGTGCAGGAGTTTGAGGTTACAGTGACCAAGAGTGAAACCCTCTTTTTTTTTTGAGACAGGGCCTCTATTTGTTGCACAATTAAAGCTCACTGCAGCCTTGAACTCCTGGGCTCAAGCAATCCTCCCCACCTCAGCCTCCCCCAGAACTGGGACTATACACATGCACCACCACACGCAGCTAATTTTTATTTTTGTAGAGACGGGCTCCATATGTTGCCCAGGCTGGTCTCAAACTCCTGGGCTCAAGTAGTCTGCTTGCCTTGGCCTCCCAAAGTGCTGGGATTATGTGGGGGAAAGAAAGAGAGATCACACTGTTACTGTGTCTATGTGGAAAAAGGAAGACATAAGAAACTCCATTTTGATCTGTACTAAGAAAAATTATTCTGCCTTGAAACACCGTTAATCTGTAACCCTAGCCCCAACCCTGTGCTCGCAGAAACATGCACTGTATTGACTCAAGGTTTAATGGATTTAGGGCTGTGCAGGATGTGCTTTGTTAAAAATGTGTTTGCAGGCAGTATGCTTGGTAAAAGTCATCGCCATTCTCCAGTCTCGAGTACCCAGGGACACAGTGCACTGCGGAAGGCCGCAGGGACCTCTGCCCAAGAAAGCCTGGGTATCGTCCAAGGTTTCTCTCCACTGAGACAGCCTGAGATATGGCCTCATGGGAATGGAAAGACCTGACCGTCCCCCAGACACCCATAAAGGGTCTGTGCTGAGAAGGATTAGTGAAAGAGGAAGGCCTCTTTGCAGTTGAGATAAGAGGAAGGCATCTGTCTCCTGCTAGTCCCTGGGAATGGAATATCTCTGTATAAAACCCGATTGTACATTCTATTTACTGAGATAGGAGAAAACCGCCTTATGGCTGGAGGTTAGACATGCTGGCGGCAATACTGCTTTTTTTTTTTTTTTGAGACAGAGTCTCGCCTTGTCGCCCAGGTTTCACACCATTCTCCTGCCTCAGCCTCCCAAGTAGCTGGGACTACAGGCGCACGCCATCACACCCGGCTAATTTTTTTTTTGTATTTTTAGTAGAGACGGGGTTTCACCATGTTAACCAGGATGGTCTCGAACTCCTGACCTCGTGATCCACCCACCTCAGCCTCCCAAAGTGCTGGGATTACAGGCGTGAGCCACCGCGCCCGGCCAATACTGCTCTTTACTGCGCTGAGATGTTTGTGTAAAGTCAATCATAAATGTGGCCTACGTGCACATCAAGGCACAGCACCTTTCCTTAAACTTATTTATGACACAGAGTCCTTTGCTCACATGTTTTCCTGCTGACCCTCTCCCCACCATTACCCTATAGTCCTGCCACATCCCTCTGGCTGAGATGGTAGAGATAGTGATCAATAAATACTGAGGGAACTCAGAGACCAGTGCTGGTGCGGGTCCTCCGTATGCTGAGCGCCAGTCCCCGGGTCCACTTTTCTTCCTCTATACTTTGTCTCTGTGTCTTATTTCTTTTCTCAGTCTCTCGTCCCACCTGACGAGAAATACCCACAGGTGTGGAGGGGCTGGCCCCCTTCAGGATTACAGGCGTGAGCCGCTCCACCCAGCCTACTTTTTTTAAAATGCCCTCTTTTCTAGTAGATTCTATGTCACTCACAAGAGGTTGCAAACTCACAATCAAAGGCCACCTTTGGCCCACGGGCATATTTTGGTTTTTTGTTTGTTTTTGAGACTCACTCTTGTCCCCCAGGCTGGAGTGCAGTGGGGTGATCTTGGCTCACTGCAACTTCCACCTCCCGGGTTCAACCACTTCTCCTGCCTCAGCCTCCTAAGTAGCTAGGATTACAATCGCCTGCCACCGCACCCACACCACGCCCGGCTTATTTTTGAATTTTTAGTAGAGAAGGGTTTTCACCATGTTGGCCATGCTGGTCTCTAATGTGGGGAAAAGCAAGAGAGATCAGATTGTTACTGTGTCTGTGTAGAAAGAAATAGACATGGGAGACTCCATTTTGTTATGTACTAAGAAAAATTCTTCTGCCTTGAGATTCTGTGACCTTACCCCCAACCCCGTGCTCTCTGAAACATGTGCTGTGTCAAACTCAGGGTTCAATGGATTAAGGGCGGTGCGAGATGTGCTTTGTTAAACAGATGCTTGAAGGCAGCATGCTCCTTAAGAGTCATCACCACTCCCTAATCTCAAGTACCCAGGGACACAAAAACTGCGGAAGGCCGCAGGGACCTCTGCCTAGGAAAGCCAGGTATTGTCCAAGGTTTCTCCCCATGTGATAGTCTGAAATATGGCCTCGTGGGAAGGGAAAGACCTGACTGTCCCCCAGCCCGACACCCGTAAAGCGTCTGTGCTGAGGAGGATTAGTATAAGAGGAAGGCATGCCTCTTGCAGTTGAGACAAGAGGAAGGCATCTGTCTCCTGCCCGTCCCTGGGCAATGGAATGTCTCGGTATAAAACCCGATTGTACGTTCCATCTACTGAGATAGGGAAAAACCGCCTTAGGGCTGGAGGTGGGATCTGCGGGCAGCAATACTGCTTTGTAAAGCATTGAGATGTTTATGTGTATGCATATCTAAAAGCACAGCACTTAATCCTTTACCTTGTCTATGATGCAAAGACCTTTGTTCACGTGTTTGTCTGCTGACCCTCTCCCCACTATTGTCTTGTGGCCCTGACACAACCCCCTCTTCGAGAAACACCCACGAATGATCAATAAATACTAAGGGAACTCAGAGGCTGGCGGGATCCTCCATATGCTGAACGCTGGTTCCCCGGGTCCCCTTATTTCTTTCTCTATACTTTGTCTCTGTCTTTTTCTTTCCTAAGTCTCTCGTTCCACCTTAGGAGAAACATCCACAGGTGTGGAGGGGCAACCCACCCCTTCACTCTAACTCCTGACCTCAGGTGATCCGCCCACTTTGGCCTCCCAAGGTGCTAGGATTACAGGCATGAGCCACCACGCCCGGCCAAAAAATTTTAAATTCAACATTTCAACGTGAGTAAATACACAATTCTGGACTTCTGGATTCTTTTGAAAACTGACTATCTGATCACACAGAGACAATATTGTCGCAAGGCAACAATCAGCTGGAGCTGTGAAAGGGCTGCCCAGTTCACCAGAGTCCCAACTCAGTTCATTTCACTTACCTACATTACTTAGCTGATTTCTGTACGTGAGTTGGAGACCCCTAACCTAAATCCCCTCTTTTCCACTTCCACTGCCATTATACTTGTTAGCATTGAATCCTCTTGCCTAAACTACTATGGCAATCTAATTAATGCCCTTGTCTCCATCTTATCCCCCAATGTCTTATCACTTTCCTACTTAAAAACTCTCCCCGGTTTTTTTTTCTTTTCTATGTATAATTCAAATGATTTAGCTTTGCATTCAAGGTCCTGCTTATCTGGCTTTCCCCAGGAAATACTTTCCAGTTTTATATTCTAATACTCCCCTTTTGCCCATCTTTCATGAATTGTAGCTACACACTTCCTTCTTTTTCTAGCACCAAGCTTGTGCTCCAGTTGTTCCTTTAACTGGAATTCCCCTCCCAAGTCTTTCTACCCTTTCAGGCCCAGACACTCTATAAAGCATTTCCCGACTGCCATTCCCACACACAACCTCCCCAGCCTTGTCTGTCTACTCTGGGCCATCTTGATTTTCCAGTTTATCTGTCCCACATTTTTTTTTTTTTTTTTTTTTTTTTTTTGAGACAGGGTCAATCTCAGTCATCCAGGCTGGAGTGCAGTGCAGTGGCTTGATCACAGCTCATTTGCAGTCTCAACCTCCTGGGCTCAAGCAATCCTCCCACCTTAGCCTCCCAAGCAGCTGGGGCTACAGGCATGCACCACCGCTCCTGGCTAATTTTTTCTATTTTTTTTGTAGAGATCGGTATGGGTTTCTCACTATGTTGCTTAGACTGGTCTTGAACTCTTGGGCTCAAGAGATCCTCCCGCCTTGGCCTCCCAAAATGCTGAGCCAGGCCGGGTGTGGTGGCCCACCCCTGTAATCCCAGCAGTTTGGGAGGCTGAGGCAGGAGGTCACCTGAGGTCAGTAGTTCGAGAGCAGCCTGGCCAACATGATGAAACCCCGTCTCTCCGAAAAACACAAAAATTAGTGTGGCATGATGATGGCGGGAGCCTGTAATCCCAGCTACTCAGGAGGCTGAGGAAGGAGAATCGCTTGAACCTGGGAAGCGGAGGTTGCAGTGAACAGACATCCCGCCACTGCACTCCAGCCTGGGCGACAGAGCAAGCCTCCGTCTTGAAAGAAAAAAATGTTTGGCCGGGCGCGGTGGCTCACGCCTGTAATCCCAGCACTTTGGGAGGCCGAGGCAGGCGGATCACCCGAGGTCAGGAGTTCAAGACCGGCCTGACCAACATGGAGAAACCCTGTCTCTACTAAAAATACAAAATTAGCCGGTCACAGTGGCGCATGCCTGTAATCCCAGCTACTCAGGAGGCTGAGGCAGGAGAATTGCTTGAACCCGGGAGGTGGAATGCAGTGAGCTGAGATCGGGCCATTGCATTCCAGCCTGGGCAACAAGAGCGAAACTCCGTCTCAAAAAAAAAAAAAAAGAAAGAAAAAAATGTTTATAAAGTGTGCTTGTACACGTAGATGTTTACCACAAACGACTGAACTAATGTTGTCCGGTCTCAGTAAAACAGTCTATAGCTGACTGCAACCATATTGATCAGGCAGGAGTTGCAGCAGGCAGCACCGCCGGAGCTCTTTAGGGTTCCCCATCAATAAAATGGGGGTTGTCATCCTACCTAGCTCTTGGGATTTTGGTGGATTAATCGATTCATATAGTGTGCTTAAAACGGTGCTCCATAAATGTTAGCTAATGTTGGCCCGTAGTAGTCCAAGATCTAAAGAAAACGCACCAGAAGGCAGGACATAGGGAACCAGTTAGGAAAAAATCAGATCCTGTCTTCAGTGAAGCACTTACGTCCTGACATACTTTCCCGAAATGGCCCCACCAAAGGGGACCTCCTCCCGAGCTTAGCCCGGGATCCAGTACCTGAGTCGTCCCCCGCGCTGAGACCCTGGACACCAGCCTCCGAATGTGAGCCAGGCAACTGGCGCGGAATCGACACGACGGCGATCGAGGCTTCAGGAGGCTGTAGCTCCATGGAGGCGGATCCTGCACACAGGTTTGGGGTGTGTGGGCAAGGGGCAGCTCAGAACAGGGTTAGAGGGTAGGCAGTCGTGACCGTCAGTCCAGGATCGCCGTGAGGCAGTGATCTCACCGCTCCTGCCACATGCACTGGGTGAGAAAACCAAGCCGCAATGCGGTCGGTGAGCCAGCACGCTCCCGTAGGACGCATGCGCGCCTTTTTCGCGCCGCAAGTTCAGGTGGCGCTTTGTCTACGCCCTCCTTCCCTGGAACTCTCTACCCACAACTCCCCGGGGTCGCATGCGGTCAACGTATGCGCGTGCGCTCGCCGTAGCCCCGCCCCCAAATCCCGTGGGCCTCTGCGGCATGGTATTTAATCGTCTCCCCGGGGAGATTCGTTCTCATTTTTCTACTGCTCGTGGTAAGTGGCTTCGTGGTCTTTATAGCTGTTACTCTTTTGTACTTTGTCTTTTTCTTTTATTTTCTTTTGAGCGATTGTGCGAACATAGCATAGCACGCACTATGCCTTCTGTGTTGTAGCTGCCTGGCCAGGGCGACTGGCGGATAAGGTCTTGTGCGTGGCCTCGAGGCTTAAAAGTAGCAGTGGGGCTTTGTGAAGGACAAAATGGCGATGGCGGGCCGTGTAGGTCCCCCTTCCTATGATGAGGACCTTTTCACAGACCTGTACTGAGCTCCGTGAGGATAAATAACTCTGAGGAGATGGGCCCTGCAAGCCTCTTGCTTAGCCGTCTGTTCAGAAAATAGCGTTTTCGAAATGCCCTGAGTTGACCTAATGTCTTATTGGGCTCCTGTCTGCAGGATTTACGCGCACGTTGGAACCGAAGAGAGCTCTGTTGTTGCAGTAAGTTCTTACGGCCATTTCTTAATCTCTGCTCTTTCGTTGAGTGTGTGGAAGTTGCTACGGGGATGATTTTACGAACTGAACTCTCTCTTTCTGATGGATTAGTGGAGAAAACAGAAAATTCTGAGTAGCACTGTACTGTACGCAACAAATGTCAGGGCCCTATTGATTTGTCTGAGGTGTTAGTGAAGGGTGTTATTTTTTCAGATGTTCAGCCCACAAGAGCTTACTGGTGAAGGAATGGGACAAGACCCATCTTTATGCAAAGCCAGCGTTACAGTAATGTTCCAGGTAGGTGTACATGGTTTATGCTCTTACAGAGGAGACCTTGTAGATAACCACTCCATGATGAACACAAAATGACAAGCATATGGCTGAACTTTCAAGTGATGTCATCTTACTACTGAGAAGTGAGAGAGAGGTCTTAAGGGGTCTTTGAATGACTATTTTTAGGTACATAAAATGCTTTCCTCTGTTGTCTACAGCATCTCATAATCTATCCTGGGGAATTCAGCTGCCTCCCAGGGTGAATACAGGTAATTATCCAAATTGGTGTATGTCATCTTTGTAAATGTTCAAGAAAACAAGTGGCCGGCGGAACAATGTTTTTTGGCGCCTTCCATCTTGTTCCTCTTGAAATGATTTTCTGGGGAGGGAGATCGCAACCCGGTACTACAGTTCTTGTAAGGGTGTGCTGTTACCCTCATCCATATATCGATCACGTTACTGTCAGATGATTTGAATTGATAAGCTGATGTTCTGTGAGGTACAAAAGTTAATAGCATGTTAGAGTTCTGATGGCAGTTGTTGTTTATGAATAAGCTTCATTCCATCCTAATACCTTAAAATAACTAATTTGCTTTCCTTTCCAGGTATTCCTGATGACAGTCTGCCTCTATCTTACAGTAAGTTGTTTTTCGAATTCTATGGGCCTATTATCTAATAGATAACTTAGCCATTTTGATATTTGTTACCAAAGCCTGCTTAACCCATAAAGTTTTCTGGTTCCTCTTGTTCTCTGTAGTGATGTTTCTAGATAGATGCCCACTGATATATGCCCCTTTTTTCTCAGATAGATGCCCACTGATCTGCCCAGGGTCAGACGAATGCTTGTCAGTTGTAGCTTTCCAGGATTCTGCTCCAATGAGGAGGAAACATCCTGCCTTACCCCTGTTTTAGCCTGGGAACCAGTAATTGTGAACTCACCAGGGTTAACATGAAGAGGGCATGAGAGCTTATTCCATAAGGAATTGTCTGAGACATTTGGTTACCTTTTCTTAGTTTGTCCATTAGCAACCGTAACTAAAATAGTTTTGGCTGTTTGGGATAATTAGCTAATTGAATGATTTTTTGATTCAGGAGCAGCTTGTTGCTATATACCATTGAAAAGCCTTCAGAGCTGAGAGGTTAGTTGATATTTTTTGTTCCTTACAGCTTATGCCACCAAGTAGGCAGTTTCTATGATGAATCAAACTAGCTCACTATGACCGACAGTGAAAATACATGAACACCTGAGAAACTGGAGAACGCAGGGAGTGGGGGGTAACCATGTCTGAGGAATCTTTCACCCACAGCTTTGTTTTTCTCTAGGTACTACTAACCAATAACCTGCTTGGCTCAAAGGTGAGTAATTTCACGGTATTCAATGCACTCAGTATATAGGGTAGGAAAAAGTGCCTTTTTAGGCCTGTGTTTGTGATGACTTACATGGAATCTCGTTCGGCTGATGACTTGCTGTTGAGACTCTGAAATCTGATTTTCTGAGAATGATGGGTGGGAACAACATAATGCGGGATATGAGAAGCACTACTGACTTGGTCTTCCTCCTTTCAGGGCCAGCACCTTCTCTCTAAAGCCCAAGAGGAGTTTGAGGTAAATGGCTTTGCAATAGTTACCATCAATGGCTGCTATATAAAATTTTCTGTGATTTTTGTGTGTGATAGCACTGTGGTCTGGGTGAATGTACACAGACATAACTGGCTTAACCCAAAGTCTTTGATCTCCTGAACCACCAGTGATGAATTGCTGCTCACCAGTGATGAGTTGAATACCGCCCCAGTCTGATCAATGTGTGACTGAAAGGTATTTTCTGAGCTGTGAGCCTGCCTTCCAGTGACATGTTCTAAAAATTGCAAGTTATTTGAGGAGGCTTTACAGCCAATAGGAAGTTCTTGGGCTAAGTAGTGTTTCCTATAAAATGTGCCCTGAAACTTCTTTCTGCCAAGCAATAGATACAATTGAGAGATTGTAAAATGTGACATAGAATGAAAGTCTCTCAAGACTACATTTTTCTTTCTTGATTTTGCAGGAAAACTAGGTGTCTGTGTTCACTCCAGGCTGAAGTTACAGGTGAGTAAACCTAAATGTAAGGTGGACTATGCTAAAAATTCCCAATGAAGAAACTTTCACATGTCTTACTCTCTGTCCTAGTCCCAGAGCCTGTAAAGGTGAACCCACTGGGACTGGCTGGGGGAGAAGAGGAAGATTTGTTCCAGAAGGAACTGTCTGAGGGATGATAAAGATTTCTATACAGAGAAAGGGAGTAATCATCACTTGTTGAAAACATTGGTTTTATTTTTTCCAGGTCTGAGCAAATAAGGTGTATAAAAAATGGTAGGTATCTGTTTAAATATTTAACTGATTTTATAATAGCAACCTTTTGCTCCTAGGTTACATAGTGTTAAATATTGTGTTCATTTGTATTTTCCAATCCAATAAGAACTTTTTTTTTTACCTCTGCAGGAATCTGTCTTGGAGGACATCAGAAGGTGAATTTTCCAAGTTCTTGGACAACCTAGCTGTTGAAAAGCTTTCTGGGTTTGGGGGGTATTTCAGATGTACCTTAAAGTGTTAGCAGACACAGATTAAGACACTGGGAGCCAATGAAACAGCAGTTGAGGGTTTGCTGTGTATCACATTTCTGTATTTTATCACCCCCTTCCTGCAACATTATTTATCTGGAATCTACCTGCCCTTTTGTTTTTTAGATACAAGGGCTTGGTTTTGTTACCCAGGCTGGTTTCAAGGCCATAGCTTTAAGAGATCCTCTCACCACAGATTTCCAAAGTGCTGGGATTGCAGGTGTGATTCATGGCACCCAGACTTTGCTGCCTTTCTTACATGATCCAGGCCCAGAACCCAAACTCAGGCACTGTATAGATGACCACTTTCGTAAACTACTGACCTAGCTTGTTGCCAATTGTTGATTGAACTTCCCATAACTCCACTTCGTGTCTGTTCCTCTGTATACAGCCACCTTCTGTTCCCGTCATGAGCCTTTAGGTCTCCATTTGCATATTGCAAATACTATGTTCCATGTAGGTAGCTCATTCAGGGCCTTGCTCTTCACTTCAAAAAAGGTTCCCTTGAGGACTGGCTGTCAATTTGTGTTGCTGTGTTGGTTGTTGATGAAAATAATAAAATGATTGATTACATAGTCCTGTTTACTTTTTTTGTGTGTATGTGTCTCTTAGCATCAGTGTGTAAATTTCCATGGGAAACTGGCTTTCCTCTCATGCTCCCTGAAGTACCTGGAACTTGAAGGGACATCTGACAGTTTGCCTGATAGGCAGTGTGTTAAATGAGTAACCTGAGTAGAACATCCATCTTTTTTTTTTTTCTCTTGCCTAGTCTTAGAGTACAGTGACATGATCACAACCTCACTGCAGCTTCAAGCTTTTGGGCTTAAGCAAACCTACTTGACTTTAACCAGCAGCTGGGGCTGGGACTACAGACACCACACCCAGCCCAAATCTGTTTTTTCCTGGGGGAAGCAAGGGACAATGGAGTCAAGCTGGAGTGCAGTAGTGCCATCTCGCCTCCCTGCAGCCTCCACCTGGATTGAGTGATTGTCCTGCCTCAGCCCCGAGTAGCTGGGATTGCAGATACCTGTCACGAAGCAAGCCTAGTTATTGGGATTTTAGTAGAGGTTTCACTATGTTGACCAGGCTTAGTCCTGACCTCAAGTGATCTGCCTGCCTCCCAAACCTGTGCCTTTTTTTTTTTTCTGAGGTGGAATCTCGTTCTTGTCACCCAGGCTGGAATGCAGTGGCATTATCTTGGCTCACTGTAACTTCACCACCTGGGTTCAAGCCATTCTCCCTGCCTCAGCCTCCTGAGTAGCTGGAACTACAGCCGCATGCCACCACACCCGGCTACTTTTTTGTATTTTTAGTACAGATGGGGTTTCACCGTGTTAACAGGATGGTCTCGATCTGACCTCATGATCCGCCTGCCTCGGCCTCCCAAAGTGTTGGGATTACAGGTGGGAACCACTGCACCCAGCCAAATTATGCTTTTTATTTTATTTTTTTGAAACGGAGTTTCTCTGTTATTTCCCAGGCTGGAGTGCAATGGCAGGATCTCTGCTCACCGCAACCTCCGCCTCCCAGGTTCAAGCGATTCTCCTGCCTTAGCCTCCCAAGTAGCTGGGATTACAGGCATGCGCCACCATGCCTGGCTAATTATTGTGTGTGTGTGTGTGTGTGTGTGTGTGTGTATATGTATATATATATATATATATATTTTTTTTTTTTTCAGTAGAGACGGGGTTTCTCCATGTTGGTCAGGCTGCTCTTGAACTCCTGACCTCAGGTGATCCACCCGCCTCGGCCTCCCAAAGTGCTGGGATTACAGGCATGAGCCACGGTGCCTGGCCAAATCTCTGCTTTTTAATTGGCCTTGAGGAAGAAGGGAAAGCACAGGGACAGTGCCAACCTGTGGATACTATGGGGTACAGAGTTGTGTATGGTTAGGTCAGCAGCTCTCAATTTTTTCAGACGGTCTTGCTCTGTCACCCAGGCTGTGGTACAGTTGTGCGATCACAGCTCACTGCAGCCTCAACTTGCTGGGCTCCAGTGATTCTCCCACCTCAGCCTCCCAAATAGCTGGGACCACAGGTGCACACCACCATGCCCAGCTAATTTTGTATTTTTGTTAGAGACAGTTTCACCATATTACCTAGGCTGGTCTTGAACTCCTGAGCTCAAGCAGTCCACCCAACTCTGCCTCCCAAAGTGCTGGGATTACAGACATCTGCACCTGGCTGCTTTTCTTTGTTTTTTGTTTTTTGTGGGTTTTTTTTTAAGCCACCAGGTATTAAAGCCGGTTCTCAATCTTTTTAACCAGGCAGAATATGTTTGGAGAGATTTCTTCAGTTTTTTCTGTTTTTTTTTTGTTTGTGTGGTTTTTTTTGTGTGTGTGTTTGTTTTTGTTTCTTTTGAAGCTCTTTGTCACCCAGGCTGGAGTGTAGTGGTGTCATCATGTCTCAACACAGCCGCAAGCTCCTGGGCTCAAGCGATCCGACACCTGAGTTTCCCGAGTAGCTGGGACTATAGGGACATGCCTACTATGCCCAGGTAATTTTAATTTTTTGTAGAGATAGTCTCACTATGTTGCCCAAGTTGGTCTCGAACTGGGCTCAAGTGATCCCACTGCCTCAGTGTCTCAAAGTGTTGAGATTACAGGCATGAGCCACTGCACCCTGCATCCCTCAGAAGAGCAATTTTTTAAATCTTCCCTGAGCTTGGAGACTCCAGCCTGCATTGACAGGTAGCCCCCCTTTGGGTGATTCTGTTGTAAGCCACCAGATAATGACTACCCTTATATTTCTCAAAGTGTTTGGGAGAATGGACACCAAGTAGTGATAAATTACGGGATTTTTACCTGTTTTATTTTTTATTTATTTACTTTTTTTTTGTTTTTTGAGAAGGAGTTTCGCTCTGTCACCCAGGCTGGAGTGCAGTGGTGTGATCTCGGCTCACTGCAACCTCTGCCTCCCGGGTTCAAGCGATTCTCCTGCCTCAGCTTCCCAAGTAGCTGGGACTACAGGCGTGTGCCACTACACCCAGATAATTTTTGTATTTTTAGTAGACACGGGGTTTCACTATATGTTGGCCAGGCTGGTCTCGAACTCCTGACCTCAGATGATTCACCCACCTCGCCCTTCCAAAGTGCCAGGATTACAGGTGTGAGCCACCGCACCAGGCCCTGTTTTTAATTTTTGTTTGTAAATTTTAGGATTTCTCCGGTCAGAATTATAAGAACAGCAACTCAGCTGAAACAACACACATTTTTTGCTCATTAAATGGTAGCCACATAGACTTGAGAGTTGTCAGCACAATAATTTACAACCACAAGAATGGAAGAGTCAATTCTGAGAAGACCACCCAAGGACCCTAGGGGAGCACCAGAATTTAGAGATGGAGGATCAGCAGAACAGAAACTTAGAAAAGCAGTGCAAGCAGTGGGAACCTGCACGGTACTGACTTGCAAACTGAGGGAAGTCTCCCCACTGCCCACAGCTGAATCTTTTGTTAAAGCCACAAAGAAGTCAGGTGGGGACTGGCCAGGTGCAGCGGCTCACACCTGTAATCCCAGCACTTTGGGAGGCAAAGGTGGGCTGATTACCTGAGGTCACAAGTTCAAGACCAGCCTTGCCAACATGGTGAAACCCCATCTTTACTAAAAGAAATGAGCCGGGTGTAGCGGCATGCACCTGTAGTCCCAGCTACTCAGGAGGCTGAGGCAGGAGAATCTCTTGAACCTGGGAGGACTCCAGCCTGGACGACACAGCAAGACTGTATCTCAAAAAAAAAAAAAAAAAAAAAAAAAAGGCCGGGCACAGTGGCTCACACCTGTAATCCCAGCAGTTTGGGAGGCTGAGACAGGCGGATCACCTGAGGCCAGGAGTTCAAGACCAGTCTGACCAACATGGAGAAACCCTGTCTCTACTAAAAATACAAAATTAACCGGGCATGGTGGCATGTGCCTGTAATCCCAGATACTCGGGAGGCTGAGGCAGGAGAATCGCTTGAACCCGGGAGGCAGAGGTTGTGGTAAGCTGAGATCGCACCATTGCACTCCAGCCTGGGCAACGAGAGAAACTCCATCTCAAAAACAAAAAAAGAAATGAGACTGGGACAATATGGAGAAATGGAGGAGAAGGCCAGAATGATTGAGGCCTGGCTCTTCACATTTCTTCTGTACATTAATGACTCAGACTACAAGGTCTTTAGCAAGAACCTCTTCCCTAAGCTCCAGAGGAGCTTGCAGTGAGCCGAGATCACACCACTGCACTCCAGCTGGTTGACAGAGCGAGATTCCATCTCAAAAAACAAAAAAAGAAAAAGAAAAAAAAAAAGAAAATCACCTGGCCACAGTGCCTCAGTCTCCTCTTCTGTAAAAGGGAACATTAAAAGCACCTACTTATCTCTTAAGGTTGTTAATACATATAAAGTACCTGTAATGGTGCCTGGCACCATTGACCAGCAGGCTAGAGACCTTGAGTCAGTCATCACCAGAGAACAGAGGGAAGGAAAGCCAGGGCCCTACATGGGACATTTCAGCAGAGTGTGAATAGAGGGAGAAAATGCAAATACCTGGCCAGGCATGGTAGCTCATGGCTGTAATCTCAGCACTTTGAGTGGTGAAGGCAGGAGGGTTGCTTGAGGCCAGGAGTTCAAGACCTGCCTGGGCAACATAGCAAGACCCCATCTCTACAAAAAATTAAAATTAGCCAGGCATAGTGGTGCATGCCTGTAGTCCTAGGTACTTGGGAGGCTAAGGTACTTGAGAGGGTGGCTTGAGCCCGGGAGGTCAAAGCTAATTCCTAGAGAACCAGGGAGCAGATAAAATTAGCAAGGGTAAGGTTGATGGCCAACAGGTAAGCCAGTGTTTCTTTTGTATTTTTATTTATTTATTTATTTATTTATTTTTTGGAGACCAAGTCTTGCTCTGTCGCCAGGGCTGGAGTGCAGTGGCACGGTCTTGGCTCACTACAACCTCCACCTCCCAGCTGCAAGCGAGTCTTCTGCCTCAGTCTCCTGAGTAGCTGGGATTACAGGTGTGTGCCACCATGCTGGCTAATTTTTGTACTTTTAGTAGAGAGGGGATTTCACCATGTTGGCCAGGCTGGTCTCGAACTGCTGACCTCACGTGATCCACCCGCCTCAGCCTACCAAAGTGCTGGGATTACAGGCGTGAGCCACCGTGCCCAGCCACCAGTGTTTCTTTCCCAGGACCTGCCCAACTCCAAGCCAGAGTCACCAGTGACAGAGCACGAGTATTGCCATCTTGGACAAGCACTGTCATTTTAAGTTCACCTTGATCAAAAACTGCCTAAATCCAAAGGGCATCAACCTAATGGCTAAAGTCACCATGACCATAAACCACAAATGATATCTCCATCCAGAAACATTCCAAACCCCTCCCCGACCAGAGACATGCCAGCCCCGAGATAACCTCCACTCCAGAGACATTTAAACCCCGCCATAAATTTCTCCCCAACACAGAAACATTCCAAGCTTCTGATAAGCCCCCTCACCCTAAAACCAATATATACTCTTAGTCTGTAAGAGAGAACGCTCCTGGGCTGGGAGCGGTGGCTCACGCCTGGTAATCCCAGCACTTTGGGAGGCTGAGGTGGGCAGATCACCTGAGGTCAGGAGTTTGAGAGACTCTGTCTCAAAAAAAAAAAAAAAGAGAATGCTCCTGACCAAAATTGGACAGAAGCCCCTCTCAGGTTTATTTATTTTAGAGAAATAAACTTGTCTTTGACTGTTAAGCCACATTTCGTGTTTCTTTCCTTTTTTTTTTTTTTTTTTTTTTTTTTTTGAGGCAGAGTTTCGCTCTTGTTGCCCAGGCTAGAGTGCGGTGGCACGATCTCAGCTCACTGCAACCTCCGCCTCCTGAGTTCAAGCGATTCTCTTCTCTTGCTTCGACCTCCCGAGTAGCTGGGATTACAGGCATGTGCCACCATGCCCGGCTAATTTTTGTATTTTTAGTAGAGACGGGGTTTCTCCATGTTGGTCAGGCTGGTCTCAAACTCCTGATCTCAAGTGATTCGCCCTCCTCAGACTCCCAAAGTGCTGAGATTACAGGCGTGAGCCACTGCACCCATTGTCTTTCCTCTTTCTTTAATTCTTAAAATCACGAGGGAATATGGGCCCAGGTTAGCCACTCAAGTCCTGGAGCCAAAGATCATCCCAGTCAGCCCTTCACCAGGGCTGCCCACAATGGCCCAAGGACCTTTAGATCCTGTTCCTTCATGTCTGTCCAGCCCTTTCCGGATTTCTGTGGCCTTTTATCAGATATTTGGACACCTTCAGTCAGGTTCCCCTGTCTCTCTGGGGCTGTGGTTGTTAGTGTGTAGATTAATTTAATGGGCTTCAGCAGGGCTCCAAGAATCCCCCCAAAAACTGTATGCAAAATTGTGTAAGGCAAATATGCATTGATTTTGGGAAAGCATTCAATAAATTCTCAGAAGAGTTGGAGGATGCAATAAAAATGAAAAACCCAGCCTAGCCACCATGGTGAAACCTCATCTCTACTAAAAATACAAAAATTAGCTGGGCATGGTGGCGGGCACCTGTAGTCCCAGCTACTCAGAAGGCTGAGGCAGGAGAATTGCTTGAACCTGGGAGGCAGAGGTTGCGGTGAGACTATCTCAAAAAAAGAAATAAAAAATTAAAAAATTAAATAAAAATGAGGCTGGGCACGGTGGCTCAAGCCTGCACTTTGGGAGGCCGAGGCGGGTAGATCACCTGAGGTAAAAAGTTTGAGACCAGACTGGCCAACGTGGTGAAACCCTGTCTCTACTAAAAATACAAATACAAAAAATTAGCCAGGCGTGGTGGTGTGCACCTGTAATCCCAGCTACTTCAGAGGCTGAGGCAGGAGAATCCCTTGAACCCAGGATGTGGAGGTTGCAGTGAGCCGAGATCACACTACTGCACTCCAGCCTGAGTGACAGAGTGAGACTCTATCTCAAAAAAAAAAAAAAAATTTTGTAACATTCTCGTCTTCAAAAAAGAAAAATAAAAAAAGGCCAGGTGCCCTGGTTTAAGCCTGTAATCCCAGCATTTCGGGAGGTTAAGGAAGGAGGATAGATTGAGGTTGGGAGTTTTGAGATCAGCCTGGCCAACATAGCAAGACTCCATCTTTATATTAAAAAATAAAAAGAAAAAAAAGAAAAGCAGGCTGGGTGCGGTGGCTCACGCCTGTAATCCCAGCACTTTGGGAGGCCGAGGCGGGCAGATCACGAGGTCAGGAGATCGAGACCATCTGGCTAACACGGTGAAACCCCATCTCTACTAAAAACACAAAAAAATTAGCCGGGCATGGTGGCGGGCGCCTGTTCCAGCTACTCAGGAGGCAGAAGCAGGAGAATGCTGTGAACCCAGAAGGTGGAGCTTGCAGTGAGCCGAGATCGTGCCACTGCACTCCAGCCTGGGTGACAGAGTGAGACTCTGTCTCAAAAAAACAAAAAACAAAATAATTTAGAGACTCCGCACGGTGGCTTATGCCCGTAATCCCAGCACTTTGGGAGGCCTAGGCGGGTGGATCACTTGGTCAGGAGTCCAGACCAGGCTGACCAACATGGTGAAATCCTGTCTCTACTAAAAAAAAAATACAAAACGAAAAGGCCAGGCATGGTGGCTAACGCCTGTAATCCCAGCACTTTGGGAGGCCGAGGTGGGCAGATCACGAGGTCAGGAGTTCAAGACCAGCCTGACCAAAATGGTGAAACCCCGTTTCTTTTTTTTTTGAGACGGAGTCTTGCTCTGTTTCCCAGGCTGGAGTGCAGTGGTGCGATCTCCACTCACTGCAAGCTCTGCCTCCCAGGTTCACACGATTCTCCTGCCTCAGCCTCCCGAATAGCTGGGATTACAGGCGCCCACCACCACGCGCCCAGCTAATTTTTTGTATTTTTAGTAGAGACGGGCCTCCAACACTTTGGAGGCTGAGGTGGGCGGATCACCTGAGGTTGGGAGTTCAAGACCAGCCTGACCAACATGGAGAAACCCCATCTCTAGTAAAAATACAAAATTAGCTTGGCATGGTGGCACATGCTTGTAATCCCAGCAACTCGTGAGGCTGAGGCAGGAGAATAGCTTGAACTCAAGAGGCAGAGGTTGCGGTGAGCTGAATTGCGCCACTGCACTCTAGCCTGGGCAACAAGGGCAAGACTCCGTCTCCAAAAAATAATAATAATAAATAAATAAATAAAAATAATAAAGTAAATAAATAGTATTAAATAAAATAAAAGTAGGGTGTAAAATGAGGCAGGACACAGGCAACTACTGTTTTTATATAAGTCTTTTAACACTAGTTGACAATTTAAGGTATATTAGTTTCATGAAAATAAAACATGAATTTTAAATTTTTATTTCATTTTATTTATTTATTTATTATTTTTTGAGATAGGGTCTCCCTCTCTCACCCAGCCTAGAGTGCAGTGGTGTGATCATGGCTCACTGCAGCCTCAACCTCCCAGGCTCAAGCAATCCTCCTGCCTTAGTCTTCCAAGTAGCTGAGACTTCTGGTATGTGCCACCACACCCGGATAATTTTTGTACTTTTGTAGAGACAAGGTTCGCCATGTTGTCCAGGTTGGTCTCGAACTCCTGGCCTCAAGTGATCTTCCTGCCTTGGCCTCCCAAAGTGCTAGAATTACAGGAATGAGGCCCTGGGCCCTGCCCCTGTACTAGTTTCTTATTGCCCCTGTATTCGTTTCTTATTGCTGTTGTAACAAATTACCCACAAACTTAGCGGCCAAAAACAAAACAAATGTATCATCTTACGGTTCTGGAGACCAGAGGTCCAAAATGAGTCTCAATGGGCTAAAATCAAGGTGTAATGACAGGGCTGCATTGCTTTCTGGAGGCTGCATGGGAGAATCTATTTCCTTGCTTTTTCCAACTTCTAGCTGCTGCCCACAACTCCCTGGCTGATGACTCTCTTCCATCTGCAGAGCAAGCCCTGGCTGCTCAAATCTTCCTCAGGTTGCATCACTCAGACTCTCCTGCCTCCCTCTACCCCTTATAAAGACATTTGTGATTACTCTGAACCCACCCAGAAAATCCAGGATAAATCTCGCCGTCTCAAAATCCTTAATTTAATAATATCTGCAAAATACCTTTTGCTATGTAAGGTAACACATTCAGAGGTTCTCACTGACCATCTCTGGGGTGGGGAGGGCATTATTCTGCTTATTATCCTCTTTTTTTTTTTTTTTTTTTTGAGACAGAGTCTCGCTCTGTCACCCAGGCTGGAGTGTAGTGTCATGATCTCAGATCACTGCAACCTCTGCCTCCCAGGTTCAAGCGATTCTCATGCCTCAGCCTCCCAAGTAGCTGGGACTACAGGCATGCACCATCATGCCTGGCTACTTTTTGTATTTTCAGTAGAGACAGGGTTTTGCCATGTTGCCCAGGCTGGTCTCGAACTCCTGGCCTCAAGTAATCCACCCGCCTTGGCCTCCCGAAGTGTTGGGATTACAGGTGTGAGCCACCACGCCCGGCCCCCTGCCTACTACTCTCTTGATGTGGCACCTCTCTGAAGGCTCTGGGTTTACTTATGAGAACTTGTAGAAATTTCTTTTGTTTATTAATACCAGTGTCATAAAATCATAGATTATCAGAAGCTTTGCCGGTTGACATTTTATCAGTGAGAATGTTAACGCCCCACTCCTGCCTGGAGGATCTCAGCCATGCAAGACGCTTTGATGCAAAGACACCGCCTCTATTTCCAACCCAGGTTAAGGGGTTTCCAACAGAACGATCCACGTTTATATTAATAGAGCTTCCAAGAAAGCAAGACCTTAAGTCCCTTCTCAGCCAGGGCCTCATATTAATCCCTTTCATTCTGGCGAGCTTGCTTTGATCGATTAAAAAAAAATCGCTCCATTTCAATTTTACCTACACTCTCCTCCTCCTCCTTCGCCCCAGTCCTCTAACGACCCTGCCTCTGCCTTCGAGGAGAGGCCCTGTGGTTTCTCGGTCGGACTTCCGGGTGGGATGCCTTGCCGCGTTGCTGGTCGGCCTGAAAGTAACTCTAAAGAGTGCGTGGGTCGGAGGACATCGGGGCTGAGGCGTCAGCACCTTTCTCCCACCGCGGGATCCCGGGTTTGAGGATCAGGAGCCTCTGAAATGGCTTTCTCAGGGCATCTTTCCCTCTCAGTGAAGGGCCAGATGTTTGCTGGCGGACAGTACAAATGCAAGGTGCGGGTCGTGCCTCGCCCCTATGTCCTCAGTTCTCACAAACTCCGGAGAGTGAGTGTCACCATTTCCCCCGTTTAAATGGGGAGGAAACAAGAGCCTAAATACCAAGCCCAGGCCATTAAGTCAGGAACTGGAGAGCAGGGAGCCCAACCTCCTTTTTTGGACTCCAAAACCTGTGCTTTGACACCGCGCCGCGGCTTCTCCCAAGAAAGGTCCCGGAGAGGGGCGCCGCCACCTGCAGCACTGTCCCGCCGCCCCCTGGAAAGCCGAAAAACCCCTAGGATGGGAGACTAACGCCACAATCGGGGAAAAGGAGGCCACGCGGGCATTGAAATCACGACTGGTGTGTGGACCAATCCCAGGATCCTAAAAAAGCGAAAGGGGCGGGTTTATGCAAAACAAACTGAGCAGGGAGCAGGCGGCGGAAGAAGTAGAGGACGTTTAAATAGGGCTGTTTCCAAAATATAGCCACTACTATAAAGAAAGAATAATGAAAACTGTGTTTCGGAATTATAATGTATTGGGAGATAATTTAACATTTAGTGCCTGGATAGTTACCATAACTGGTTGGAAGATGGGAAGGATAAGGCCGCCGAGGCGACCGAAGTAAAGGTATCGCTTCTCGGCCTTTTGGCTAAGATCAAGTGTAGTATCTGTTCTTATCAGTTTAATATCTGATACGTCCTCTATCCGAGGACAATATATTAAATGGATTTTTGGAAATAGGAGATGGAATAGGAGCTTGCTCCGTCCACTCCACGCATCGACCTGGTATTGCAGTACTTCCAGGAACGGTGCACTCTCCCTTCGGGGAGAGAACAACCGTTGTTTAATGGAAGATTTCGATCAGTTAGGGTACAAGCTAAATAGTTATGTTCTTGTTGTTTGAGTTGGATTAGGTGTTTTTATCGCTAGTGTGTTGAATGACGCGTGTTTGAGTGTCTTGTTGAGAGAAGGTTTTGTTTTATAACTGAGCACGGAGCGTAGTATCTCCATGTGGTCTTCAGCAATCTTCATACTTCAGCCTCTGGGGTAGTTGGAACTATTGAGCGCTTGCCACCACCCCCGGCTAATGTTTTCCATTTTTATTTCTTATTTATTTTTTTTGAGACGTCGTCTTGCTCTGTCGCCCAGGCTAGAGTGCAATGGCATGATCTCAGCTCACTGCAACATCCGCCTCCCGGGTTCATGCGATTCTCCTGCATCAGCCTCCCGAGTGGCTGGGACTACAGGCGCCCGCCACCACGCCCAGCGAATTTTTATACTTTTAATAGAGACGGGGTTTCACCATGTTGGCCAGGGTGGTCTCCATCTCTTGACCTTGTGATCCGCCCGCTTCAGCCTCCCAAAGTGCTGGGAATACAGGCGTGAGCCACCGCGCCCGGCCTGTTTTGTATTTTTAGTGGAGACAGGGTTTCACAACGTGTTAACCAGGATGGTCTCGATCTCCTGAGCTCGTGATCCGCCCGCCTCGGCCTCCCAAAGTGGTGGGATTACAGGCGTGAGCCACCGCGCCCGGCCTGGTTTCGCGTTTGATGTGTTAAACCTAGGTCGCGCTCGGGGTTTCAAGCGTGAAATCCTAGCACTTCGGGAGGTTGGGGCGGGCGGATTGGGTAATTCCAGCCTGACTAACATGGTGTGAAAAATCCCGTCTTCACTAAAAAACCAAAAGAAAAGTGAATCAGGCCTGGTGGCGGGCGCTCTAGCCTGAGAGACAGAGCAAGATTCCATCTCAAAAAATAAATAAATCTTCGCGTTAGATAAAGGGTTTACTTGTAAACTGGTAATTTGTTGCTTTTCTGTGTTAATCTCTAGGTAAAGTAGCGACTTCCCTCTCCTATTTACGCATGCGCTATTACTGTATTTCTACTGAGCGATGACTTTCTCTGCGTTTCTCATGTAGCATAGCACAGAGTACTTTTAGTTGTTTTTGTTTTTTTTTTTTGAGACGGAGTCTCTGACGCCCAGGCTGGAGTGCAGTGGCGCAATCTCGGCTCACTGCAAGCTCCTCCTCCCGGGTTCACGCCATTCTCCTGCCTCAGCCTCCGGAGTAGCTGGGACTACAGGCGCCCGCCACCACGCCCGGCTAGTTTTGTTTTTGTATGTTTAGTAGAGACGGGGATTCACCGTGTTAGCCAAGATGGTCTCGATCTCCTGACCTCATGATCCGCCCGCCTCGGCCTCCCAAAGTGCTGGGATTACAGGCGTGAGCCACCGCGCCTCGCTGTCCGCCTCTTGAAGAGTAAACGAGGCCGGGCGCGGTGGTTTAGTAATACCAGCTGTAATCCCAGCTACTTGGGAGGCTGAGGCAGAAGAATCGCTTGAACCCGGGAGGCGGAGGTTGAGGTGAGAGGAGATCGCGCCATTGCACTCCAGCCTGGGCAACAAGGGCGAAGTTCTCTCAAAAGAAAAAAAAAATCGTCGGTTTCCTTTTCCCATCTTTCTTTCGTGACTTATATTCCAGAACGAAGCCCCACACATCATTAATGATTTGAATCGTTTCTAAAGTGTTTCTTAAATCGTTTCTTAAATCGTTTGTTGTTTCTTGTCTAACAGTCCAGAACACATATTACATAATGGAGCCGGGAGACAGACTAGGGCTGGCTTGATCCGGCCACGCAGTCCAGGAAAGGTGCTTTTCACCCCCAAGTGCAAAATGATCAATGTATTCTTCCGATCTACATAAACAAGCACCTCCTGGTTTCATTTTCGTAAAGCAAAACAAGCATGGAAGCTTTACTGTTTCGGCTCTTCAAACTTCCAGCAACTACACTGCGCTGCATCGGACTCGACGCCCGCTGGTGACGCACACGCTGCGCCGGAAGTGTGAACTGTCTGCCTCCAGGCTTTGTCATGGCGGCTGCTGCTGCACGCTGGAACCATGTGTGGGTCGGCACCGAGACTGGGATCTTGAAAGGTGGGTGGCAGGCTCGGGCGTCGGGAAGTGCAGGGGTGCACTCGCGCCCCTGGCGTGACTGACGCCTTCGTCTCTCAGGGGTAAATCTTCAGCGAAAACAGGCGGCGAACTTCACGGCCGGAGGACAGCCGCGGCGCGAGGAGGCAGTGAGCGCCCTGTGTTGGGGCACCGGCGGCGAGACCCAGGTGAGTGGCCCCTGGTCGGGCCGGAGCTGGGGGCCTGGGGCGCAGCAGCCTCGCTCTCCTCGCCATCTTGCCCTTCTTTGCCGCAGATGCTGGTGGGCTGCGCGGACAGGACGGTGAAGCACTTCAGCACCGAGGATGGCATATTCCAGGGTCAGAGACACTGCCCGGGCGGGGAGGGCATGTTCCGTGGCCTCGCCCAGGCCGACGGGTAAGACCAATCCCCTCGCTAAACTCAGGGCCGAAGGGAGAGCGTTGATGCTCCCTGAGGATACTGGAATGATGGCGACAGGCAAACTCTTAGTGACACGGCTTTGAATGGGTGACAGGGACCTGGGTTTCTGCCTTATGTAGTTCATACCTGTAACACACATTTATTGAACACCTACTGAATTCCAGGCACTGGGAGAAGTACAGGGGCTGCCGGTAAAATTTCTGCCTTCAAAAAGTTCTCATCCTCTAAGGTTTTTCACCTGACTCCATTATAATCCTCTAAGTAACCATGGGCAAGTCATTTAATAGTTTTGTGTGTGTGTGTGTTTGTTTTTTGTTTTTTTTTTTTTTGGAGACGGAGTTTTCGCTCTTGTTGCCCAGGCTGGAGTGCAGTGGCGCGATCTCGGCTCACTGCAACCTCCGCCTCCCGGGTTCAAGCGATACTCCTGCCTCAGCCTCCCAAGTACCTGGGATTACAGGCGTCTGCCACCACGCGCGGCTATTTTTGTATCTTTAGTAGAGACGGGGTTTCACCGTATTGGCTAGGCTGGTCTCGAACTCCTGACCTCAGGTGATCCACCTGCCTCGGACTCCCAAAGTGCTGGGATTACAGGCGTGAGCCACTGTGCCTGCTTGTCATTTAATAGTTTTAAGCAAGGCTGGGTGTGGTGGCTCATGCCTGTCATCCCAGCACTTTGGAAGGCCGAGATAGGTGGATCACTTGAGGTCAGGAGTTCAAGACCAGCCTGGCCAGCACGGTAAAACCCCTTCTCTACTAAAAAAATACAAAAATTATCCGGGTGTGGTGGCTCATGCCTGTAATCCCAGCTACTTGGGAGGCCGAGGCTGGAGAATCGCTTGAATCCGTCCCGCAGAGGTTGCAGTGAGCAGAGATCGCACCAGTGCACTCCAGTCTGTGAAACAGAGCAAGACTCCATCTCAAAAAAAACAACAAAAAAAGTTTTAAGCATGCATTCATTAATTCATTATTAATTCATTTATATTTTTTGAGACAGAGCCTCACTGTGTCACCTAGGCTTGAGTGCAGTGGTGCATTCATGGCTCACTACAGCCTCAACCTCCCGGGGTCAAACGATCCTCCCGCCTCAACCTCCTGAGTACCTGGGACCACAGGCAGGTGTCACCCTGCCCAGCTAAATTTTTAAGTTTTTTATAGAGATGGGGTCTCACTGTGTGCCCAGGCCAGTCTCAAACTCCTGGGCTCAACTTGAGCTCAACCACCAACAAGGTGATGTAGCTCTGAAAGCAAAGATTAGGAAGGTGCTAAGTGGTTGGATGACTGGCCTTGCTTTCTTCCAAAGATGATGAAAGAGGGCTGTGAAGCAGGCTGCATAGGTTTGGTGGTGGTAATTCTGACAGGTGAGGTCTGGAAAGCCTGTGGGGGGGACTGGATGTCTGAACTGGTTCTTGAGGGATGGGTAGAATTTTGACTGGTGGAGAAGGGGATAAGGGTATTCTAGAAAGAGGGTACTGCCTGGGAGAGGCCAAGGACTGGAGGCATGCTACAGGGTACATAAATAGGATAAATAGCATTTGATTTGGAAGTTGATAACAAGGAAGCGTTTTTTTTTTTTTGTTTTTTGTTTTTTTTTTATATACGGAGTCTCACTCTGTTGCCCAGGCTGGAGTGCAGTGGCACAGTCTCGGCTCACTGCAACTTCTGCCTCCCAGGCTCAAGCGATTCTCTTGCCTCAGCCTCCTGAGTAGCTGGGATTACAGGCATCCGCCACCACGCCCAGCTAAGTTTTTTTTGTATTTTTATTAGAGACAGGGTTTCACTATGTTGGCCAGGCTAGTCTGGAACTCCTGACCTCAGGCAATCCGCCCACCTCAGCCTCCCAAAATGCTGGGATTACAGGCGTGAACCACTGCACCCGGCCAAGGAAGCATTTTAATACAAGATGAACACTATATTAGGTTGGGATTAAATGTAAAGGGCTTTAAGTGCTAGGTTGAGAGATGTGCACTTTTATTGGTGTTGGTGAGTTATTCATTTATTGTTTTTGTTTTTCTGAGAGACGGAGTCTTGCTCTGTCACTGAGGCTGAAGTGCAGTGGCATGATCTCGGCTCACTGCAACCTCCACCTCCCTGGTTCAGGCGATTCTCCTGCCTCAACTTCCCAAGTAGCTAGGACTACAGGCATGTACCACCACACCCAGCTAATTTTTGTATTTTTTAGTAGAGACAAGATTTCACTATATGTTGGCCAGGCTGGTCTGGAACTCCTGACCTCAGGTGATCTGCCTGCCTTGGCCTCCCAAAGTGCTGGGATTATAGGCGTGAGCCACTGTGCCTGGCCAAGTTATCAGTTTTTGAATAGGAAGTACCATAGTCAGCACTGGGAGCCTGTAGGAGTATGGAGGATGGATTGGAGACAGCAACTGGGAGACTTTTGCCACAGGTCAGGCAAGTCGATACAGAGCCCGAACCCAGCTAGGGAGGGTTGGCAGGTGTGAGAAAGAACATAGGCGCAGGCTGTGCAGATCCTGGGGAGAGACTTGCTTGGACTTCTCGGGAGGGATATTTTAAGCAAGAGACTGACATTTAGTGCCTGAAACTCAGAGCAAGGAACCCAAGAAGTTGGTGTTTGACTTTGACCAAGCCCTAAATTCAGACCAGCCCTAGTAAGCAACTCAAGATTCAGACAGACCAGTACAGCCAGATGCTAGACATAGCTGTGAACAGCAAAAGCACTCTGGAATATCACAGAGTTGATTTCTAGCTGTGGTTGTAACATAGCTGAGTGGCAAATTAGTTTCTCAGCGCTTCTATTTCCTCACTTGGTAAACCCTCACCCTGTTGAGAAAGTTGAATTAACAGATTAGGAAGCTGGAAGCTGTCAAGCCCTGCCTAGAGCCCAGTGACCTAGAGGCTTCCTTCTAAACTGGACTGTTAGTAGGGAATCTGGTTGATATGAGTTTGGGGCCTAGAGAATACTTTTATACTTTTTTTTTTCTTTAAACATTAGTCAACTGTAGTAGTAAGGAGGAGAGAAAGATTAGAACAAGGAGTTTAAGCACTTAAAAAATCCCAACTCTATCCTTTCTCTGCAGCACCCTCATCACATGTGTGGATTCTGGGATTCTCAGAGTCTGGCATGACAAGGACAAGGACACATCCTCTGACCCAGTGAGGCTCCCCTGCCCTGATGGTTGGGGGAGGTGGGCTGGGGTAGGTGCCTAATGATCACGCTGGGGAAGGGAGGATTAAGGACTCTGGAACGGACTCTTATCTCCTATTCTTTACAGCTCCTGGAACTGAGAGTGGGCCCTGGGGTGTGTAGGATGCGCCAAGACCCAGCACACCCCCATGTGGTTGCCACAGGTGGGAAAGAGAATGCTTTGAAGATATGGGACCTGCAGGGCTCTGAGGAACCTGTGTTCAGGGCCAAGAACGTGAGTGACAAGAGTGTGAAGGAGCTGTTCCTGAAGTCGAGGGAGGCTGAGGCCACTGACGATGCATTAGAGACTAGATGGACTTAGGGGGCGAAGGAGGGCTGAAAACAGGGGCACATCGAGCCCCCCATAGCCCTGTCCTCCATCTGCCCACCCCACCAGGTGCGGAATGACTGGCTGGACTTGCGGGTTCCCATCTGGGACCAGGACATACAGTTTCTCCCAGGATCACAGAAGCTTGTCACCTGCACAGGGTACCACCAGGTAAGGTGTCACCTCACACCTGCCTTCTCCTGGGATAAAGCAGCCTCCTGGAGAAATGGCCCCCACGGTTTGACACAACTGCTCTTCTCACCATTCTGAGTTCAGAGGAGCAAGCGCTTCCCCGTCTGTTCCAACCCTGTCCCTGAGCCCATGACCTTCCTCTACTGTATTCTAGGGTGGAGTTTCCTGAACTATGCCTGTTTTCCTCCCACCTGGAAGAGAGGAAAGGAGAGTGGATCCCCTTCACTGTGGGAATTATAGGGTGCAGGTGTCAGAGGACATTGGGCTGGGTGTTAAGAGAACTGGGTTCTGGTCCTGATGCAGCCTCTCTGATTTGCTTTGGGACCCAGGCCTGAGCCTCCCATCTCTGGCCTCAGCTCCTCAGCTTTACAGGAAGGGCCCGAATGGGGAATCTTTATGGTTTGTCTCATTTGAGGTCTTGAGACACGGGCGGGGCTGGGTCACTGTATTTGTCCTATTTTCTTTGCTTCTGCACATTGAAGTCTGATCTTGGTCATATGCCTCTGCTCAAAACACATATGAGGGCATCCTCTTTCCTCCTTCATTCAGGCTAACCCCTGCTTGAAATTTAGCACCTACTGACTACTAGACCAACTTGCTTTTCTGTCCCTCCATTTCCCCTAGATGGGAGTATGGGGGGATGGAATGCTCACACACTTCCAACCTAGGGGACCTCTCCCCTCAGCTCTGTCCATTTATGCTGCTAAGCAGCTCTCCTGACACCCTGATGCTCAGAGAAGAGGCATACATCTAAGATGAGAAAGTTTCTGGGAGTGGATCATAAATAAGAAAGCAGTGTGCAGGGAGGGGGTGAGGATGCAGAGACGCCAGAGGGTAGGTGCAGGGTGAGGATACTTTTGTGATGCTTCAGCCTTCCTCTAGGTCCGTGTTTATGATCCAGCATCCCCCCAGCGCCGGCCAGTCCTAGAGACCACCTATGGAGAGTACCCACTAACAGCCATGACCCTCACTCCGGGAGGCAAGTGAGTGTTTAGAGGGGAAGGGGTGGGAGGGTGGGGCTTGAGAAGGGCTCCAGGAGGTTACTGCTGATCCCACTTGCCTCTGGTCTCATCCTCAGCTCAGTGATTGTGGGAAACACTCATGGGCAGCTGGCAGAAATTGACCTTCGGCAAGGTGAGTGGACTAGGGTACATTGGGGGAAAGGAAGGAGCAGGGAGAAGGGTCAGGATTCCCTCTAAGGTGGTGCAGTGGGGCCAGTGAGGCCTCATTCAGGTGCCAGATTGCCTGGGTTTAAATCCTGGTTTCCCTAAAAGCTGTATGACCTTAAACTAATTATTTCAACTCCCTGTGCCTTAGTTTCCTCACCTGCGAAATGGAAATATTAGTAGAAGCTCCAGTCTCAGGGTTTTGTTGCAGATTAAATGTTGAAATGGAAAGTGATTGGAACAGGAAACAATGAATGGTTGGTTATTGGCCAGCCAGTTATCACGGATGCTTCCCCCCTTCTCTAGGGCGTCTACTGGGCTGTCTGAAGGGGCTGGCAGGCAGTGTGCGTGGGTTGCAGTGCCACCCTTCAAAGCCTCTACTAGCCTCCTGTGGCTTGGACAGAGTCTTGAGGATACACAGGATCCAGAATCCACGGGGTCTGGAGCATAAGGTAAGTTGTCTCTCCCACCTCCAACTCATGGTCTTGTGGAGGCCCCGCCTCCTGTGCCCTCCGTTCATGTTTCTGTCTCAGCATGCCTGGCTCCTTAAGGTCCCTCATCTTTTGCAGGTTTATCTCAAGTCTCAATTGAACTGCCTCCTCTTGTCAGGCAGGGACAACTGGGAGGTGAGCAGTTGGGCCCGGGAATGTGGGAGCCAAGGGCATAGATGTGAGGACCTCCCTATGGAGAGGAAAAGGAGGCAGCTGGAATGCAGACTTGGGACTATCTGTTTACCTGCCTGGTCACTTAATTTCTCTGAGAGGCATTAACAGTTAAAATCCTGAGAGGGTTATTGCCAACAGCATGGATGGGGTTGCTTTCTAGGAGCAGGGAATAAAGGTGGTGGTACCCAGAGGGATTCTTTCTCAGCCAGGGTCTCCTTCCCTGTGGGTTTGTCCCTGTGCCCCTGACTACTTTTCTTTTTTTTTTTTTTTTTTTTTTTTTTTAAACTTCTTTTTGTGGAGATGGGGTCTCCTTATGTTGCCCAGTCTGGTCGCTAAGTCCTGGGCTCAAGCAATCCTCCTGCCTTGGTCTCCCAAAGTGCTGAGATTACAGGTGGGAGCCACCGTGCCCGGCCCCCCTGACTCCTAAGCTTTCTTCCCACTCACCAGGATGAGCCCCAAGAGCCTCAAGAACCCAACAAGGTGCCCCTAGAAGACACAGAGACAGATGAACTTTGGGCATCCTTGGAGGCAGCTGCCAAGCGGAAGCTCTCGGGTTTGGAGCAGCCCCAAGGAGCTCTCCAAACGAGACGGAGAAAGAAGAAGCGGCCTGGGTCCACCAGCCCCTGACGCCCCTGTGCCCACTTTGTAAATAAACTGCTGAACACCCACCATGACCCTGAGCCTTTTGTGATGGGAGAAAGGAATGAGGGGTAGCTTGGGGTGGGGGCTGCCTGAGCTGGGGCGACGGGATATCTGATGTCACAAAAGCCGGGCCTGGAGGCAGGCAGGCTGGCGTGGGTGGCACGGAGTCCAGGGCCACGCGGGGCCATGGGCTGCTGCCAAGACAAGGACTTTGAGATGTCTGATGAGCAGTCCAAGGAGGAAGAGTCTGAGGACGGCAGGGAAGATGAGACCACAGACACACAAAGAGGGCCCAGGGAGTGTGAGAGGGGGCTTCCCGAGGGTAGGGGTGAGCTCAGAGGCCTCGTCGTCCCCTCAGGCGCCGAAGATATCGACTTGAACTCCCCGGACCATCCGAATCACAAGTCGAACGAAAGCCTTCTGATTACCGTGCTGTGGCGGCGACTATCCACGTTCGGTCGTCGGGGCTCCTCGCGGCCAAGCAAGAGGCAACCAGACCAGATTCGGAAGCAGGAGAGTCCGATCCGAGAAGGCAACCAGGAGGAGCCGGAGAAGGGATGACCCCAGACCTGCTCTCAGTCCGCCCCAACCTCCAGAGAATAAAATTTCTAACGTATACCTGCACGACCACTCTGGGGGACTGGGCGCGGACACCACCGGGCAGCTGGTTCTTTAAGGCTCCTTCCCGGAGGCGGGCCCAGCCCCCTGAGCGCCTGCTGTAGTACTCTGGGGCGGGGTCACGGTGGCGCCTTAGCCAATGGGAGGGCGGGATCGCTCTTGCGTTTGGGTGTGGGGCGTGTCTTTCGGGTCGCTGGGCTTGAAACGCGTGGGACCGCCCCCTCGTCACTGGGGGTGGGGTTACGTGTAGGTGACGTGGCCGCTTCCAGTCTTTGGTCGGGTTTCGGCGGCTTCAGTGCTCGGGGAGGAGGCAGTGACGGCCGGTGAGATTGGAAGTGGCGGCGGCGGCAGGCGGCAGAGGGGAGGTAAGATTCGCTTTAAGAGGGGATCTGGCCGCCGTGTCAGCTCTGGGGCAGTGGTTTTACGGGGGCGACGACTGGCGGGGGGAAGGGAATCAGGGGCGAGCGGGCAAGTCCTGCCGGCCCGGCTCCGGGTGAGCGAATTCCTTGCCGTCCAATCAGGAAAGCCTCTGTTGAGAGAGACGTCGGCCTTAGCTAATGAGTGGTTGAAGTCTTCCAGAAGGCGGACCTTGGGCGGGGGGTGGGACTTCCTGTTTCAAATAAACACCCAGAGGTTTTCCCCCTCCGCCCACCGAAGTGTGTCAGTCTTTGGAGGTCCGTCACTGGCCCTCCCGGAGGGGCCGAAGGAAACCGCGGAAACGAAAGGGCTGGGTTAGGGCCCGGGGCAGTTACACGGGCCGGGCCGGAGTCTCAGGACCACGGGGTTGGCTCTGGCCCTGTCTCTGCTTCAGGGTCCCCGGCCCGCGCTCTGGCCGCCAGAGCCAAGTTGGAAGAAGAGTCTGAAGCGGGTTCGACTTGGGACAGGGGAAAAGCGGGGCCCTTTCCGCTGCTGGTCCGCCCCAGGATTTGCGAGCGTCCTGGGCGCGAAAGTCCACGAGAAGTGCAGAAGGGGCTCGGGGATTTGTTGATTGGGGTGGGGCGGGGGAGTTTGGGTAAAGAAGTTGCCTGGGGAATGACACTCTCCCCTCCACAACAGTCCGAGGTTATGCGTCTCAATGATCCCGCGGAAACGCTACGGGTCTAAGAACACGGATCAGGGTGTCTACCTGGGTCTCTCAAAGACACAGGTCCTGTCCCCTGCAACTGCTGGCAGTAGCAGCAGCGACATCGCCCCTCTGCCCCCCCCAGTGACCCTCGTCCCTCCCCCTCCCGACACCATGTCCTGCCGGGATCGGACCCAGGAGTTTCTGTCTGCCTGCAAGTCGCTGCAGACCCGTCAGGTAAGGACCTGGAGTGGAAAAGGCGAGGAGTGAGCCTTACTCAAATCTAGGAAGGACTGTGCTCCACCACTGTTAACCGAAGTAATTTTGGGGGGTACCTGATGGAACTGATAGGCTTGGATGGGGCCTGTAGGGTCTGCTATAAGCAACAGAGAAGAGGTCGGCTGGCTAACTAGGGGCAAGGACTTAGACTTTTTTTTGTGAGGAATCCTTTGGAGGGCAGGATTGCTATTCTGGAGGGAGTACTTCAGAGAGTACTTGGCTGCAATATAATTGGTGTGAATAAGGAACAAGTTCTAGGAAGAGCCTTTAGCTGAGAAACATGCACCTTGAATTTTCCAATATACTTCTACCATAAGTTTGCTCTGTAACCATGAGAAAATTAGTTAATCTAGTTACATATTAGTTTTTATCTCTGTAAGATTAAGGACATTTTCTAGATAAGTAATTTGTTGTTTTTGTTTTGTTTTGAGATCTGTTTTTCAACTCTGTCAACAGGCTGGAGTGTAGTGGTGTGATGATAGCTCACTTGCAGTCTTGAACTCCTAGACTCAAGGGATCCTCTTTCCTCAGCCTCCTGAGCAGCTGGGACTACATGGATGCACCACTCAGCTAATTTTAAAATTTTTTCGTACAGGCAGTGTCTCACTATGTTGCCCAGGTTGGTCTGGACACCACACCTGGCCCTAGATCAGTAATTTGTATCAAAATCACTTAGGGTTGGATGTGGTGGCTCATACCTGTAATTCCAGCACTTTGGGAGGCCTAGGCCAGAGGATGACTTGAGGCCAGGAGTTAGAGACCAGCAGGAGCAACAAAGCAAGACCCTGTTTCTACAGGAAAAAAAAAAAAAAAAGCTGGACGTGGTGGCATGTGCCTGTAGTCCCAGCTACTTAGAAGGCTGAGCGAGGCCCAGTCTCTTCCTCTCTCTCTTTTTTTTTTTTTTTTTTTTTTGAGAAGGAATTTTGCCTTGTCGCCCAGACTGGGGTGCAATGGTGCAATCTCGGCTCACTGCAACCTCCTCTTCCTGGGTTCAAGCGATTCTCCTGCCTTAGCCTCTCGAGTAGCTGGGATTACAGGTGCCCGTCACCACGCCCGGCTAATTTTTGTATTTTTTTTTAGTAGAGATGGGGTTTCACCATGTCAGGCTGGCTTTGAACTCCTGACCTGAGGTGATCTGCCCTCCTCAGCCTCCCAAAGTGCTGGGATTACAGGTATGAGTCACCACACCTGGCCTCTCTCTCTCCTTTTTTGGAAACATGGTCTCACTCTGTCACCAAGGCTGGAGTACAATGGTTCTATCTCATCTCACTGCAACATCTGACCTCCTGGGCTCAAGCAACCCTCCTGCCTCAGGCTCCTCAGTAGCTGGGATTATAGGCATGTGCCACCACATCTGGCTAATTTCTGTTTTGTTAGTAGAGATGGGGTTTTACCATGTTGCCCAGGCTGGTCTCGAACTTCTGGGCTCAAGTGATCCGTCTGCTTTATCTTCTCAAAGTGCTGGGATTACAGGTGTCAGCCACTGCACTCAGCTCCTCTTAAAAAAAATTTGGGAGTGCTATTTATTTATTTATTTATTTATTTATTTTTGAGATGGGAATTTCGCTCTTGTTGCCCAGGCTGTAGTGCAGTGGCACGATCTTAGCTCACTGCAACCTCCGCCTCCCGGGTTCCAGTGATTCTCCTGCCTCAGCCTCCCAAGTAGCTGGGATTACAGACATGCGCCACCATGCCTGGCTAATTTTGTATTTTGAGTGGAGACGGGGTTTCTCCATATTGGTCAGGCTGGTCTCAAACTCCCGACCTCAGGTGCTCTGCCCGCCTCAGCCTTCCAAAGTGCTGGGATTGCAAGCGTGAGCCACCGTACCCAGCCGGGAGTGTTTTTTTCAACAATCCCAGTGGGACCCGAGTAAGCAGTTTGTGTTTGTTTGTTTGTTTGTTTGTTTGTTTGTTTTTGAGACAGTCTCTCTTTGTTGCCAGGCTGGAGTGCAGTGACGTGATCTGGGTTCACTGCAGCCTCCACCTCTGGGTTTAAGTGATTCTCCTGCCTCAGCCTCCCAAGTAGCTGGGAATACAGGCGGTGCCAGGACACCCAGCTAATTTTTGTATTTTTAGTAGAGACGGGGTTTCACTGTGTTCGCCAGGATGGTCTCTGTCTCTTGACCTCGTGATCTGCTTGCCTCGGCCTCCCAAAATGCTGGGATTACAGGTGTGAGCCACTGCACCTGGCCAAGTAACTGTATTTATTTATTTGTTTGTTTGTTTGTTTATTTATTTATTTATTTATTTTGAGACGGAGTCTCGCTCTGTCACCCAGGCTGGAGTGCAGTGGTGGGATCTTGGCTCACGGCAGCCTCCACCTCCCAGGTTCAAGTGATTCTCCGGCCTCAGCCTGCTGAGTAGCTGGGACTACAGGTGCATGCCACCACACCTGGCTAAATTTTTGTATTTTTAGTAGAGATGGGGTTTCACCATGTTAGCCAGGTTGGTCTCAATCTCTTGACCTCGTGATCCGCCTGCCTCAGCTTTCCAAAGTGCTGGGATTACAGGCGTGAGCCACTGCACCCGGCCGAGTAACTGTATTTTTAAATATTTTTACTGATGGCTGGACATGCTGGCTGGCACCTGTAATCCCAGCACTTTGGGAGGCTGAGGTGGGAGGATTGCGTGAGCCTAGGAGTTCAAGACCAGCCTGGGCAATATAGCAAGACCCTATCTCTACAAAAAGTTAAAAATTAGCTAGGTGTGGTGGTGTGCCCTGTAGTCCCAGCTACTTGGGAGGCTGAAGTTGGAGGATCACTTGAGCCCAGGATGTCGAGGCCGCAGTAAGTTATGATCATGCTACTATATTCCAACCTGGGAGACAGAGTGAGACCCTGTCTCAAAAACAGAAAAGTTATAAAGAAGTGTTTTTCAGCTCATGGTAAAGCTGCTCTTCTGTATGATCTCCAAGAGCTTTGCAATCATCCTTATTGATTTCCTGATTTGAGGAATAGAATGGCAATACTAGATACCATTTATTTAGTGCTTACTATGTACCAGGTAGTTGACTGAAGTACTTTTCAGCCTTTTTGTTATTTAACCTTAGCAACAATAGGAGATGTGTGGATTGTCTTCATTTTATAGAAGAGAAAGTAGAGATTTAGAATGTTTTAAGTAACTCGCCCCAAATCCACCAGCTAGTAGTAAGTGGTGAGTCAAGATTTGAACTCAGGTCTACCTGCTCTTCAAATCTGGACTCTAAACGACTACCACTCATAAATCTAGATCATCTGATGGATGCCACCAGCACTAGAGATAGGTTAGTGGACACCTCAGGAAGAGTGAAAGCTGGAACTGGGGAAGGGAGAACTAAAGTTGTCACCTCCTGCCATTGCTTTTCAGAATGGAATCCAGACAAATAAGCCAGCTTTGCGTGCTGTCCGACAACGCAGTGAATTCACCCTCATGGCCAAGTGAGTTGAGAGAAGCTTTCTGGTGGGGTGATACAGTGTCTGAAGAAAAGTAGACTTGCAATCAGTGGCCTTGGCTGTGAAGTCTGGGATTGGTTATGCTGGAGCTTATGTGGGAAAAGGCGTCCTGCCCTTTCCCACAGTCTGACTAGTGGTCATTTGCAGGCGCATTGGGAAAGACCTTAGCAACACATTTGCCAAGCTGGAGAAGCTGACAATCTGTGAGTGTTCTTGGGGTCTTTCAGAAGTGGGGCAGTAAATCAAAGAGGGTTGAGGACTATATTCCCTGAGCTTTGTCCTTGACCTCACCCATTGTGGCTTCTTGTTTGTCTCTGTAGTGGCAAAGCGCAAGTCCCTCTTTGATGATAAAGCAGTGGAAATTGAAGAGCTAACATATATCATCAAACAGGTGAGCTACTAGCCATCAGGAGAGCCCAGCATTCCAATCAGATCACTTCTGTCTTCCTGTCATTTTCCATTGCCATGGGGACCCAGAGCAAGTTTCTTTTTTTAGAGAGGGGGGTCTCACTGTGTTGACCAGTCTGGAGTGTAGTGGTGTGACCTAGCTCACTGCAGCCCTTAACTCCTGGCCTCAAGCTTTCCTCCAGCCTGAGCCTCCTGAGTGGTAGAGACTACAGGGACATGCCCTCATTCCTGGATAATTTTTTTTTTTTTTTTTTTTTTGAGGCAGAGTTTTGCTCTTTCACCCAGGCCGGAGTGCAGTGGTGCGATCTTGGCTCACTGCAACCTCCACCTCCCAGGTGCAAGCGATTCTCCTGCCTCAGCCTCCCCAGTAGCTGGGACTATAGGCACCCGCTACCAATGACTGGCTAATTGTTTTATCTTTAGTAGAGACGGGGTATGCCAGGCTGGTCTCGAACTCCTGACCTCAAGTGAGCCGCCCACCTTGGCCTCCCAAAGTGCTGGGATTACAGGTGTGAGCCACTGCACTCGACTGTAATAATAACTTTTATTTTATTTATTTATTTATTTATTATTATTTTTTGAGACAGAGTTTCACTCTTGTTGCTCAGGCTGGAGCACAGTGGCGCGATCTCAGCTCACTGCAACCTCTGTCTCCTGGGTTCAAGTGACTCCCCTGCCTCAGCCTCCCGAATAGCTGGGATTACAGGCACGTGCCACCGCGCCCGGCTAATTTTGTATTTTTAGTAGAGACAGGGTTTCTCCACGTTGGTCAGGCTGGTCTCAAACTCCTGACCTCAGGTGATCCGCCCACCTCAGCCTCCCAAAGTGATGGGATTACAGGCGTGAGCCACCGCGCCAGGCCAATAATAACTTTTTTTTTTTTTAAGACGGAGTCTCACTCTGTCGCCAGGCTGGAGTGCAGTGGCGCGATCTAGGCTCACTGCAACCTCCACCTCCCAGGTTCAAAACGATTCTTTTGCCTCAGCATCCCAAGTAGCTGGGATTATAGGCGCGCGCCACCACACCCAGCTAATTTTTGGTATTTTTAGTAGAGATGGCATTTCACCATGTTGGCCAGGATGGTCTCAATCTCTTGACCTCATGATCTGCCTGCCTTGGCCTCTCAAAGTGGTGGGTTTACAGACATTAGCCATTGAGGAATTGTGTGTATGAAAATAGTTCTGTTGATGCCTCTCGAAACTACAGTGCCTTTGACTCTTCCCTTTTCCTGAGTACTGTCCGGGGGCTTTGTTGGTCATGCCCTAGACCCGAGATTTTGGCCTTTGAAAGGGTTCTGTGGCCAAGAGCATGGCCTCACAGAATGGAGCAGGGCAGTAGGCTGGAGGAGTAAACAAGTTATTTACAATGGATGAAGGCCTATTTTGCCTCTTTGTAGCTCTTCTCTGCAGGGACTGAGCCAGAGCAAACACTAGACCTTGGAAAATCCTAGCAGGCCCATCTGGTCTGACTGTCTGAGATACTCTCACTCTGGCTAGTAACTTCCACCTTGTCCTTCCTACCAGAGATGGCCATCGTGAGAGATGCTGACTAAGGACTCCTTGGCTAATACTTTGTTTTTCCTTGGACTCTTTTACCAGGACATCAATAGCCTCAACAAACAAATTGCTCAGCTCCAGGATTTCGTGAGAGCCAAGGGCAGCCAGAGTGGCCGGCACCTGCAGACCCACTCCAACACCATTGTGGTCTCCTTGCAGGTGGGACCTGGGGAGGAAGGGAGGGAGGCAAAGAGGAAGAATGTGGAGCCTTCTTTGGTTGACCCTCTCTCCTTTTCTTCTAGTCGAAACTGGCTTCTATGTCCAATGACTTCAAATCGGTTTTAGAAGTGAGGACAGAGGTGAGAACAATCTGCGTAGGAGGGGTAGGAATATGGGAGTAAAGATCCAAGAGGGAAATGAAGAAGGGACAAGTTCTACAGGGTCATGGGGCCAATGGTGGGAGTCTCTTTAACATGCCTGCTTTCTAGTGGCTTCAGGTCCTTTGCGTTTTTCCCCAACCCCAGAACCTGAAGCAGCAGAGGAGCCGGAGAGAGCAGTTCTCCCGGGCACCTGTGTCAGCCCTGCCCCTTGCCCCTAACCACCTGGGTAAGTCACAGGTAAAACGGGGAGCCCTGGGAGGTAAGGTTACTTACTCTGGTTGTGATGGCATCCTCTAAAGGCACGGGTTGGGTAGGAGAGTGGAAGGTCAAGGAATTTTCTAGGCTTTATCTCTCAGAGGCCAAACCAGATGGTTGAGATTCGTGATCCACATTTAGACTCCCACATTCTCACTGTTGGGGTGAATTCAGTTATATTCAGAATAATGATAATTTCTAATTTTTTTTCGTACACTTTATTCACATTCTCTCATTTAATTTTCACAACCACCCTTTGAGAAAGCAACTATTATTATCCCCCATTTTACAGGTGAGGAAACTGAGGCTCAGAGAGGTTAAATGACCTGTCCAGGGTCACAAGGCTAGTAAGTGCTAGAGCTGGGATTCAAACCCAGAGCATGTGGGCTTTGAACCTGCTTTTAACTGTTAAGGTGTGCCACATCCTGTTTTCTCCCCCAGGCGGTGGTGCTGTGGTTCTGGGGGCAGAGTCCCATGCCTCCAAGGATGTCGCCATCGACATGATGGACTCTCGGACCAGCCAGCAGCTGCAGCTCATTGACGAGCAGGTACCCAGGCTCTGAACTAGGTAGAATCAGCTTCTCCATTATCCTCTGTGGTTCCCGAGAGAGTGTTTGGAGTGTGCCATGGGCAGAATGGCAAGCTGGGAGGGTTGTAAAAATGCAGGTCTGACCCTGAAGAAGCTGTTGGTGCTCATGTGCTCTCTCCCTCTCCTGAAGGATTCCTACATCCAGAGTCGGGCAGACACCATGCAGAACATTGAGTCGACAATTGTTGAGTTGGGCTCCATCTTTCAGCAGTTGGCACACATGGTTAAGGAACAGGAGGAAACCATTCAGAGGTGAGATACACTCTCTCGCCCCAAACAGAGGAGCTTTCTCTTCCCCGTGGATTGGCATCTTAAAGTCCCCAGGGACTGCTTGATGCCTTTTGGAAGATAGAGTGAATTCTGCCCACCCATGGGACCCAGTTCACCTGCTTCCATCCACCCAACAAGTTTTTATTGAGCACCTGTTCATGTGAGGCACTGTTCCAGGTGCGGGAGATACAGTGGCAAGTAGAACAGTAAAGTCTGTCTGGAGCTGCTTTGTAGCATGTGTAAGTGTATGGAATTTGATAGGGCAGATGAGGACAGCTGTGGAAAAGAACTGACAAGGCTGGCACAGTGACTCACACCTGTAATCCCATAGGCAGCACTTTGGGAGGCCGAGCAATGCAGATCGCTTGAGTTCAGGAATTCAAGACCAGTTTGGGCAACAAAGCAAGACCCTGTCTCTACAAAAAAATACAAAAACTAGCTGGGCATGGTGGCATGGGCCTGTAGTCCCAGCTACTCGAGAGGCTGAGGTGGGAGGATGGCTTGAGCCTGGGAGGCAGAGGTTGCAGTGAGCCAAGATCGTGCCACTGCACTCCAGCCTGGGTGACAGAGCCAGATTCTGTGTCAAAAAAATAAAAATAAAAAATTGACCAACAAAATTTCAGGGAGTAATAAAGGCTGTATACAGAGTTAAAATAGGATGATGTGTTAAGAAAGTAATGGATGGGTACGGTGGCTTACACCTGTAATTCCAGCACTTTGGGAGGCCCACACAGTCAGTTGAACTCAGGAGTTCAAGACCAGCCTGGGCAACATGGTGAAACCCCATCTCTACAAAAATAAAAAAATTAGCTGGACATGGTTGCGTGTGCCTGTGGTTCCAGCTACTCGGGAGGCTGAGGCGGGAGGATGACTTAAGCATGGGAGGTTGAGGCTGCAGTGAGCCATGATGGAACCACTGCGCTCCAGTCTGAGTGACAGAGCAAGACCCCATCTCAAAAAAAAAAAAGAAAGTGACTAAGTAGGTATATCAGATTGTGTGGTAGGGAATGCTGCTCTGAAGACATGACATTTAAGCAGAGACTTGAATGACAAGAGGGATCCAACCAGGCAAAGAACAGAGAGTGTTCTAGGCCGAGGAGACAGCTAGAGCAAAGCCTTGTGATGGGACAGTCTCACCATAGCAAGAATCAAGAAGGCCTGCGTGGCTAGAAAGTAATGAACAGGGATAGAGAAGTACAGGGTGTACTGGAGGGATGTAGGCAGAGGCCCAACAATGGGCTGGCCTCTCTGTTCCTCTGGTGCCTCCTGCTACTACAAGAGTTTTTATCTGCTCCTCCTCTGTGGTGCTTAGCATTCAGTCAGTCAGTTATGGGAATATAGCAGTGGACAAAAGAGACAAAATCCTTGCCCTTGTGGAACGTGTATCCTAATAGGGAGATAGATGTGAAAAAGTCATAATAAATAGTATGTTAAAAAAAAAAAAGGTCGTAAATGCCAAAAAAAAAAAAAAAGATAGTCAACACAGGATAAACTAATCAGGAGTGCCAGGTTTGGAGGGAGGTAGGCCCTATTAAGAAGGTGGCATCACACTTGGGAGAAGGTGAGGAAATTAGCTACATAGACCCTGGCAAAGGCCCGCAGGTGACAATATGTTTGATGAGTTAAAGGACAGCAGAGACTACTGCAGCTGGGATCAATGAGGAAGAGAGTTGTACAAGGTGTGGTCAGAGGGGAACTGTGAGACCTCTTGGGACCATTGGTAGGCTTTAGCTTTTACTCTGAGTGACATAGGGAGCCATTGCAGGGGTTAGTTTTTCTGTGTTTGAGACAGAGCCTTGCTGTGTCGCCCAGGCTGGAGTGCAGTGGCATGATCTTGGCTCACTGCAACCTCCACCTCCTAGGTTCAAGTGATTCTCATGCCTCAGTCTCCCGAGTACCTGGGACCACAGGTGTGCACCGCCATGCCCGGCTACTTTTTGTATTTTTAGTAGAGACAGAGTTTTGCCACATTGGCCAGGCTGGTCTTGGACTCCTGGCCTCCAGTAACCTGTCCACCTTGGCCTCCCAAAGTGCCGGGATTACAGGTGTGAGCCATCACAACTGGCCAAATACATTTAACTTTATTTATTTATGCATGTATTTATTTATTTATTTTTATTTTTGAGATGGAGTCTCACTCTGTCGCTAGGCTGGAGTGCAGTGGCAGAATCTCGGCCCACTGCAACCTCTGCCTCCTAGGTCCAAGTGATTCTCCTGCCTCAGCCTCCTGAGTAGCTGGGACTGCAAGTGCGTGAGACCACGCCCAGCTAATTTTTGTATTTTTAGTGGAGACAGGGTTTCACCATGTTGGCCAGGATGGTCTTAATCTCTTGATGTCATGATCCGCCCACTTCAGCTTCCCAAAGTGCTGGGATTACAGGCATGAGCCACCATGCCCGGTGTTAATTTTATTTTTATTTATTTATTTACTTTTGAGGTGGAGTTTCACTGTTGTCCAGGCTGGAGTGCAATGGCACCTCTCGCCTCACTGCACCCTCCGAGTTCAAGCAATTCTCCTGCCTCAGCCTCCCGAGTAGCTGGGATTACATGCACCCACACCACTCCCAGCTAATTTTTGTATTTTTAGCAGAGATGGGGTTTCAGCATGTTGGCCAGGCTGGTCTCGACCTCCTGACCTCAGGCAATCCGCCCACTTCGGCCTCCCAAAGTGCTGGGATTACAGATGTGAGCCACTGCGCCTGGCCACATTTAACTTTAAAACAAAAAGTATAATAGTGTATACTCTGGGATTTGTAAAGTACATAGATACAACAAATTTAACTGTAGAATAAAGGATGAAGCAAGAGGGTTTCAAGATTTTGACAGGTTTTTCTTTTTTTTGAAATGGAGTTTCGCTCTGTTGCCAGGCTAGAGTACAGTGGCTCGATCTCAGGTCACTGCAGCCTCCACCTTCCAGGTTCAAGTAATTCTCCTGCCTGAGCCTCCCGAGTAGTTGGGATTATAGGTGCCCACCACCATGCCCAGGTAATTTTTGTATTTTTAGTAGAGACAGGGTTTCACCATGTTGGCCAGGATGGTCTCGATTTCTTGACCTTGTGATCTGCCTGCCTCGGCCTCCCAGGGTGCTAGGATTACAGGTGTGAGCCACCGCACCTGGCCTATTTTGACAGTTTTTATGAAGTAGGCTGTGAAAAGTTAATAAGGTGTATTTTGTAATCCCTAGAGCAACCATTGAAATAAAACAGAAACTCAACAATGACATATAGCAAGAAGAGCAGCAACCAAATTGAAATGGAAATAGAATTTTAATCAAAATTTCAATTAATTCAAAAGAAGGACAAGAGAGGATAAACAGAGGAACGAAAAATAGAAAATAGTGCCGGGTGCAGTGGCTCACGCCTGTAATCCCAACACTTTGGGAGGCCGAGGCAGGCGGATCATGAGGTCAGGAGATCGAGACCATCCTGGCTAACATGGTGAAACCCCGTCTCTACTGAAAATAGACAAAAAATTAGCCGGGCGTGGTAGTGGGTACCTGCGCAGCTGCTTGGGAGGCTGAGGCAGAAGAATGGTGTGAACCCAGGAGGCGGAGCAGTGAGCTGAGATCGCGCCACTGCCCTCCAGCCTGGGCAACAGAGTGAGACTCCATCTCAAAAAAAAAAAAAAGAAAAAGAAAATAGTAAAATGGCAGCCCTAAATCCAACCTTATTAAAAATTACTGCTGGCCTCAAGTGATCTCCCCACCTTGGCCTCCAAAAGTGCTGGGATTACATATGTGAGCCACCACACCTGGCCAGATTCCGCCCTTTTTTTTTTTTTGAGACAGAGTCTCGTCGTGTTACCAGGCTGGAGTGCAGTCGCGTGATCTCGGCTCACTGCAAGCTCCACCTCACAGGTTCACGCCATTCTGCCTCAGCCTCCCGAGTAGCTGGTACTACAGGCTCCCGCCACCACGCCCGGCTAATTTTTTTTGTATTTTTAGTAGAGACAGGGTTTCACCATGTTAGCCAGGATGGTCTCGATCTCCTGACCTTGTGATCCGCCCGCCTCGGCCTCCCAAAGTTCTGGGATTACAGGCATGAGCCACCGCACCCGGCCGATTCTGCCCATATTTTAATCTCCGTCCCAGACCTGTCTCCTAAACTCCATATATCCATATTCCTGTTCAACAACTCCACTTACTGGCCTGGGAGCGGTGGCTCATGCCTGTATTCCTAACACTTTGGGAGGTTGAGGCGGGTGGATCATTTGAGGTTCAGGAGTTTGAGACCTGCTTGGCCAAAATGGTGAAACCGCATCTCAACTAAAAATACAAAAAAAAAAAAAATAGCTGGGCATGGTGACACATGCCTGTAATCCCAACTACTCAGGAGCCAGAGGTGGGAGAATCACTTTAACCTTAGAGGCGGAGGTTGCAGTGAGCCGAGATCGTGCCATTGCATTCCAGCCTGGGCAGCAAGAGCAAAACTCTGAAAAAACAAAAACAAAAACACAAGCTGGGCGTGGTGATGCACATCTTGGTCCCAGCTACTGTTCCCAGTAGCTGAAGTCTGAGGCAGGAGGATCTCCTGAGCCCTGGGGGCGGAGGTTGCAGTGAGCAGAGATTGGGCCACTGCACTCCAGCCTGGGTGACAGCAACACCCTGTCTCAAAAAAAAAAAAGTATTAAAAAGTTAAATGTATTTTAAAGAAATTAAGAGGAAGACTTGGTAATAGTGCTCACATATTTACCATCTTCAGTGTTCTTCATTCCTCCTTGAATAGATCTAAGTTTTCCACTGGTATCTCTTCCCTTTATCCTGAAGAAGCACTTCCTTTGGTTTTTTTTTTGTAGTGGAGATCTGCTGACAACAATTTCTTTCAGTTTTCTTTCATCTGAAAACTGAAATCTTTTTCACTAACTAAATCAAAACTAAACTTTTTTCACCTTCTTTTTTTTTTTTTTTTTTTTTTTTTTTTTTTTTTTTCAGACAGAGTCTCACTCTGTTGCCCAGGCTGGAGTACAGTGGCACGATCTCGGCTTACTGCAAGCTCTGTCTCCTGGGTTCACACCATTCTCCTGCCTCAGCCTCCTGAGTAGCTGGGACTACAGGCGCCCACCACCATGCCCGGCTAATTTTTTTTGTATTTTTAGTAGAGACGGGGTTTCACCGTGTTAGCCAGGATGGTCTCGATCTCCTGACCTCGTGATCCACCTGCCTCGGCCTCCCAAAGTGCTGGGATTACAGGCACGAGCCACCGCACCCGGCCTCACCTTCATTTTTGAAGGATGTTTTCTCTGGATATAGAATTCTGGATATACAGTTGTTTTTTCTTTTTTTTAACTTTTTATTTATTTTTTCCTGAGACAGGGTCTCACTCTCTTGCCCATGCTGGAGTGCAGTGGCACGATCATGGCTCACTGCAGCCTTGACCTCCCACCTCAGCCTCCTGAGTAGCTGGAGCTACAGGCATACACCACCACACCAGGCTGATTTTTTTTCTTTTTTTTTTTTTTTGGTAGAGACGGGGATCTCACATGTTGCCCAGGCAGGTCTCAAACTCCTGGGCTCAAGAAATCTTCCCACCTTGACCTCCCAATGTGCCTGGCTCATACAGATTTATTCTTTTTTTTTTTTTTTTCTGAGACAGAGTTTTTGCTCTTGTTGCCCAGGCTGGAGTGCAGTGGTGCGATCTCGGCTCATTGCAGTCTCCACTTCCTGGATTCAAGTGATTCTTGTGCCTCAGCTTACCGAGTAGCTGGGATTACAGGCAACCACTAGCATACCCAGCTAATTTTTTTTTTGTATTTTTAGTAGAAATGGGGTTTCACTATGTTGGCCAGGCTGGTTTTGAACTCCTGACCTCAAGTGATCCTCCCACTTCCGCCTCCCAAAATGCTGGGATCACAGGCATGAGCCACAGCACCTGGCCCTATCATGTCTTTTTTTTTTTTTTTTTTTGAGATGGAGTTTCACTCTTGTCACCCAGGCCAGCATGCAGTGGTGCGATCTTGGCTCACTGCAACCTCTGCCTCCTGGATTCAAGTGATTCTCCTGCCTCAGCCTCCTGAGTAGCTGGGATTACAGGTGCCCGCCACCACGCCTGGCTAATTTTTTGTATTTTTAGGAGAGATGGGGTTTTGCCATGTTGGGCAGTCTGGTCTCGAACTACTGACCTCAGGTGATCCGCCCACCACGTGAGCCACCACACCCAGCCTCTGAGTTTCTTTTATGTGTAAATTTGTCTTTAAATTTAGGAAGTATTTGGCTATTATTACTTTAAACATTTTTCTGCCTCTTTCTGTCCTTACCATCTGGAAATATATACATATATATGTTTCCAGGTACATGTCTTATATAATAAGTTTATATTTATTTTATGTATATTTTCAGGTCAATCTGCTGTTAAGCCCATTTGGTGAATTTTTTTAGATAATTTTCAGTTTCAAATTTACACTTGGTTCTTTTTTAGAGATTATGTTTCTCTGCTGTGATTTACTACCTTCTTAGTGAGTACAAGCATATTTTCCCTCAGTTATAATAGCTGCCTTAAAATTTAATTCTCATCATCTGGATTATCCTAGGGATGGGGCCATTCATTGCCTTTTCTCTTCTGTATGGGTCACAGTTCCCTGTTTCATTGTATATCTACTAATTGAGGATTTTATCGTACATGTTATTGATATGAAGAGTCTGGATTATGTTATGTTTCTATAAAGAATGTTGACTTTTTTGTTTTCGCAGGCAGTTAACTTGGCTGAACTAAGATCATTGTTTTTTATATTTCCTCTGTGGTTTATGTAATTTATGGAATGATTGGTATAATAGGAGGTACCCAGGCATTACTGGAAGCAGAACCTCGAGGATTGAGAAATAGTCATTGGATTCAGCAATGTAGATATTGTTGGTGACTTTGAGTCAGATTCAATAGAGGGATGGAAGCAAAAGCTCGAATGCAGTGGCGTTTAAGAGAGAATGAAGCTAGCCATGGTGGCTCTTGCCTGTAATCCTAGCACTTTGGGAGGCTGAGGCAGGTGGATCACTTGAGGCCAGGAGTTCAAGACCACCCTGGGCAACATGGTGAAACCCCGTCTCCACTAAAAATACAAAAAAATTAGCTGGGCATGGTGGCGTGTGCCTGTTATCCCCAGGAGGCTGAGGTTGCAGTGAGCCGAGATCCCGCCACTGCACTCCAGCCTGAGTGACAGAGCAAGACTCTGTCTCAAAACAGAAAAACAAACAAACAAGAATGAGAGAGAGCAATTAGAAAGAGTAGGAATAGATGAATAGACAGCTCTTTCTTTCTTTTTTTTGAGACAGAGTCTTGCTGTGTTGCCAGGCTGGAGTGTAGTGGCGCAATCTCGGCTCACTGCAACCTTCGCCTCCCAGGTTCAAGCGATTCTCTTTCCTCAGCCTCCCGAGTACAGTCACGTACCACCACACCCCATACCCAGCTAATTCTTCTTTTTTTTTTTTTTTTTTTTCAGTAAAGGCGGGTTTCACCATGTTAGCCAGGGTGGAGAATGGACAGCTCTAAGAGTTTTGCTTCAAAATGGAGAAAGGAAATGGAGTAATAGCTGATAGGAGGAAGTTATTCAGAAGTTTTCTTTTTTCGTTTTTTTACTATGAAAATTTGGGGGTTAGGCAAAGTTAATCCTAGTGCTCTGGGAGTTCAAGGCGGGAGGATTGCTTGAGGCCAGAAGCTCAGGACCAGCCTAGGCAACATAGCAAGACCCTATCTCTCCAAGAAAATGAAAAATTAGCCTGGCATGGTGACATGCCTGTAGTCCTAGCTATTTAGGAGGCTCAGCGGAGAAGATCACTTGAGTCTAGGAGTAGGAGGTTACAATAGGCTATGATGGTGCCATTGTACTACAGCCTGGGCAATAGAGTGAGACCGTATCTCTAAAAAATTTTTTAAAATAAAAATTTTAAGTTTACCAGTAAGTTGAAAGAACCATAATAAACACTAATATAGCTGCAACCTACATTCAACAGTTAACAGTTGGCCAGATTAGCTTTATCTTTATTTTTCTGAACCATTTCACAGTAGGTTGCCGATATCGTGACACTTAATCCTTAAATATTTTAACATGCGTCTCCTAAGAATACACAAATTCTTTTTAAAAACCACATCCAGTACTCACTTCAGCAGGACATATATTAAAATTTGAATAATACAGAGGTTAGCATGGCCTCTGCACATGGATGGCACAAATTTGTGAAGCTTTCTGTATTTTTTATTACCTGGGTGATGAGATAATATGTATACCAAGCCCCAAGACACGCAATTTATTTATAGAACCAACCTACACATGTACCCCTGAAACTAGAATAAAATTTAAAAATTAAATAAAAAAATAAAAACCAGACTGGGCGCGGTGGCTCACACCTGTAATCCTAGCACTTCGGGAGGCCAAAGCGGGCGGATCACCTGAGGTCAGGAGTTTGAGACCAGCCTGGCCAACATGGAGAAACCCCATCTCTACTAAAAATACAAAAATCAGCTGGGCATAGTGGTGCATGCCTGTGGTCCCAGCTACTTGGGAGGCTGAGGCAGGAGCAGTGCTTGAACCTGGGAGGCAGAGGTTGCAGTGAGCCGAGATTGTGCCACTGCACTCCAGCCTGGGCGACAGAGCGAGACTCTGTCTCAAAAAATAAAAAAAAAAAAACCACGCCGTTATCCTATCTATGAAAATTAGCGATTTCCTAATATTATGTATTATTCAGTGAGTGTCACAACAGAGTGATACTCTGTCTCAAAAAATAAAAACCACACCCAGTTATGTCTGTGAAAATTAATGATTTCCTAATATTATGTATTATCCAGTGAGTGTTACGACAGAGCGATACTCTGTCCTAAAAAATAAAAAATAAATAAAATAAAAACCACACCCGGTTGGCTGGGCATGGTGGCTCATGCCTGTAATCCCAGTACTTTGGGAGGCCAAGGCGGGCGGATCACAAGCTCAAGAGATCAAGACCATCTTGGCCAACATGGTGAAACCCCATCTCTACTGAAAACAGAAAAATTAACTGGGCGTGGTGCTGCGTGCCTGTAGTCCCAGCTACTCGGGAGGCTGAGGCAGGAGAATCGCTTGAACCTGGGAGGTGTAGGTTTCAGTGAGCCGAGATCGTACCACTGCACTGCAGCCTGGCAAGAGAGCAAGACTCCATCTCAAAAAAAAAAAAGACACCCAGTTATCCTATCTGTTAGAATTAACTATTTCCTAATATGTGATATCCAGTGAGGGTTTACATTTTCCCAGTTGTCCCCAAACTGTTTAATAGCTTTTTAAATATTAAATCAGAAAGCCAGGCATAGTGGCTCACACCTGTAATCCCAGCACTCTGGGAGGCCGAGGCAGGCGGATCACCTGAGGTCGGGAGCTGGAGACCAGCCTGACCAACATGGAGCAACCCCGTTTCTACTAAAAACACAAAATTTGCTGAGCGTGGTGGCGCATGCAGGAAAATCACCTGAACCCGGGAGGCAGCGGTTGCGGTGAGCCAAGATTGCGCCATTACACTCCAGCCTGGGCAACGAGCGAAACTCCATCTCAAAAAAAAAAAAAAAATTAGCTGAGCGTGGTGGCACCTGCCTGTAATCCCAACTATTTGGCATGCTGAGGCAGGAGAATCTCTTGAACCTGGGAGGCGGAAGTTGGGTGAGCCGAGATCACGCCGTTGCACTCCAGCCTGGGCAACAGAGTGAGACTCTTATCTAAAAAAAAAAAAAGGAAGAGTCCCGGGTGCGGTGGCTCACACCTGTAATCCCAGCACTTTGGGAGGCAGAAGTGGGTGGATCACCTAAGGTCGGGAGTTCGAGACCAGGCTGATCAACATGGTGAAACCCATCTCTGCCAAAAATACAAAATTAGGGCGTGGTGGTGCATGCCTGTAATGCTAGCTACTTGGGAGGCTGAGGCACTAAAATCACTTGAACCCAGGAGGTGGAGGTTGCAATGAGCCAAGGTTGTGCCATTGCACTTCATCCTGAGCAACAAGAGCGAAACTCCATCTCAAGTAAATTAATTAAATTCTTCCTCTTTTCTGAGCATCGCTATAGGCTTTAATTATAGGTTTTAATGTATTGGTTGTCTTATTATTAGTTAGGGCAATGATTATTGTGAGTGCTCAAGTTGTTCCAAATATGTCTGGTGGGAGCCTAGAGGGTTTAAAAGGCTGAGAGAAAATAAAGGTATGTTAGCATGCCAATGGAAATGATGCAACGGATAAATTTAAAAATGATAATATAGGAGAAAGATGGGAGAATTCTTGAAATGATGTCCTTGAGAAGGTGAAAGGAAGTGGGCTCCGGGGCATAAATCAAGGCTTGGCTCTAAGAGGAGCTGGCGATAGGTGGGAAGACAGAGGCTATTGTAGCAATGCTCGGGGTGGAGCGGCATTTATCTTCAGACCACTTCAGTCTTCTCAGCTCATTAAGAAGAAAAGCCAGTAGAGGAGAGGAGGTGTAGGAGGTTTTAGGAATCCACTCCTGCCCACTTGATCTTATCCCTTTAGCAGGGTCCAACCCTGATTGATCTTTATTCCCCACGGTATCTAGCAGAGTGCTTTTACTCTACGTTGTTGATCATGTGAAACTGAGTGAACACCTACATTTGTATAAAGCCGGTTTCTGAACATCAATCCACTAAGCAGCCTCACACATTTAACTGGCCAAGGTAAAAGAAAACACTTGGAGATTCTGATTCGAGAGATGTGAATGGAGTGGGCTTTTCAGGGAGCTTCATTTTTACAAATTCCATAGGGGGTTCTGATGAGCATCCAGGTTTGGGAACTACTGATTAAAAGAAAGTTTGTTTATTCAACTACTATATGTTGAGCACCAGCCATTTATAAGGTACCGTGAGTACAGCTGTCTTGATCCTAGAGTCAGGAGAATTGACTGATTTTTTTTGTTGTTGTTTGTTTGAGACAGTCTCACTCTGTCACCCAGGCTGCAGTGCAGTGGCATTATCTTGGCTCACTGCAACCCCTTCCTCCCAGGTTCAAGTGATTCTCCTGCCTCAGCCTCCCGAGTAGCTGGGATTACAGGCATGCACCACCATGCCTGGCTAATAATTGACTGATTTTTTTTTTTTTTTTTTTTGAGACGGAGTCTCACTCTGCCACCCAGGCTGGAGTGCAGTGGCAACCTCCGCCTCCTGGGTTCAAATGATTCTTCTGCCTCAGCCTCCCAAGTAGCTGGGACTACAGGCACGAGCCACCATGTCCGGATAATTTTTGTATTTTTAGTAGAGATGGGGTGTCACCATATTGGCCAGGCTGGTCTTGAACTCCTAGACCTCGTGATCCGCCCACCTCGGCCTCCCAAAGTGCTGGGATTACAGGCGTGAGCCACCGCACCCGGCCTAATTGATTTTTATCTATTTCAGCTGAGACCTAGGGAACCCCTTGCAGAATTATGCCATAAACACCATAGCTCCCTGAGCTATGTTGTATTTTGAATATTAGAATATTAAGTCTGGGCGTGGTGGCTCACGCCTGTAATCTCAGCTCTTTGGGAGGCGAGACAGGCGAATCACGAGGTCAGGAGATCGAGACCATCCTGGCTAACACGGTGAAACCCCATCTCTACTAAAAAAAATACAAAAAAATTAGCCGGGTGTGGTGACCGGCGCCTGTAGTCCCAGCTACTAGGGAGGCTGAGGCAGGAGAATGGCGTGAACCCAGGAGGCGGAGCTTGCAGTGAGCCCAGATCACGCCACACGCCACTGCACTCCAACCTGGGCAACAGAGTGAGACACCGTTTCCAAAAAAAAGAATATTATAGAGTCAGTGAAACAGAATTATAAAAGATATGGAGGGCCAGGCGCAGTGGCTCATGCCTGTAATCCCAGCACTTTGGGAGGCCGAGGCGGGCGGACCACCTGAGGTCCAGAGTTTGAAACCAGCCTGACCAACATGGAGAAACCCTGTCTCTACTAAAAATACAAAATTAGCCAGGCATGGTGGCGCATGCCTGTAATCCCAGCTACTCTGGAGGCTGAGGCAGGAGAATGGTTTGAACCCGGGAGGCGGAGGTTGCTGTGAGCTGAGATCGCACCATTGCACTCCAGCCTGGGCAACAAGAGCAAAACTCCATCTCAAAAAAAAAAAAAAAAAAAAAGGTATTTGAGTTCTTTCCTCAATCCATATACATCTAAAATAAAGTTATAGCATATAGGCAACTTTACATTCTAGTCTTCCTTGAAACAGTGTCATAAGTATTTTTCACTGTTAGCATGTGTTTGCTCATTGGTTTAGCAAACATTTGTTGCTGCTGTGAGCTAATCCTGCTGGGTCTGAGGATAAAAGGGTGAAAGACCATTCTGGTCCTCCTGGAGCTCACTAGTAGGAGAGACATAAGTTGACAGTGACAGCTCAGTATGATAGGGCAAGAAGAGAAGGGGATGAGGCTGGGTGTGGTGGCTCATCCCTGTAATCCTAGCACTTTGGGAGGCCGAGGCAGATTACTTGAGGCCAGCAGTTCAAGAAAGCCTGTGCAACACAGAGACCCCGTGTCTATTAAAAAAAAAAAAAAAGGGATGAGAGAACTCAGAGTAGGTACTGCTCCTAGATGGGGCCAAGGGGCCTTCCCAGAAGTGATACCAAGCTAAGACTTGGAGGGAATGCCAGCCCAAAAAGGGGAAAGGAGAAGCTGTTCCATGTGAGGAAAAAACAGCACAGAAATGAGAAAGAACTTGGTAGATACAGGAGTGCAGAATTATTCAGCATGGCTGGGGGAGTGGTGAGAGGCAAGGCCAGGTCACAGATAACCTGTGTGTCACAGCAAGAAATTTGGTGTCAGGGAGAGAACATAAGAAGAAGCAAGCGGATTGATGCTGGGTGAGAATTAGGTTTGTTCTGGGTGTGCTGAGTGCCTCAGACTTCATGGGACAGCTAAATGACAGAGTTTAGTAGGCATTTCATGTTCTGATGTTTGGAAGAGAAGGCAGTGCTAGAGGTAAGGACTTAGGACAGTGGCCTCTTGGTGAAACCCTGGGCATAGACCACCCAGAGACTGGGTAAAGTGAAAAAAAGGTCAGGACAGATCCCCCATGGAGTCAGGGGGTATGTAGAGAAGGGAAGAATCTGGCCAGACTGAGGAGGAAGGTTGAGGAAGATGAGAGAAGAAAGCAGAGAGAGAAATGTGTCCTTAGAACTTGGGATAGAAGAATTTTAAGGAGTGGTTATTTCTCCTTGCTCCTGAGAAAGAAAGTTCGAGGTAAGGATGTGTTTGAGTCAGGAGGGGCTTGAATTAATTGGATCAGTGCCAGTATTTTCAGTGGAATGGCTCAGTAGCAATTTTACAGTATGTTGGAGCATAAAAGAAATAAGGAAGTAGAATTTATGGGCAACCATATACAAAATAAATTTATGAAAGGATGCCATCTTTAAAATAGGTGTAGACATTCATATGCTTCCTCCCTGCATGCCAGTGGATCTGGGTTTCAGCACTTGCTCTAGAAACCACTGATTAAGTCTGAAGTTTTTTGGGATGCAGATTCTTGGGCCCCAACCTAGAATTTCTGGTTGTGACACTTGAGAATTTTTATATTTGAGAATTCAACAGGTGATTCTTATTTTTCCTAAGGTGTGAAAACCACTGATCTAATGTTGCTCAGTCATTTTCCTTTTCACCTCATAAAATATTCAAACTACAGAAAAGTTGGGAGGATAGCACAATAAACACTCATATTCCCTTCACCTGTAGTCACTAACTTTTTTTGTTTTCATATTTGTTTTTTTCTTTTCTTTTGAGACAAGGTGACACTCTGTCACTCAGGCTATAGTGCAGTAGCGCAATAATGGCTCACTGCAGCCTCAAACTCCTGGGCACAAGTGATCCCCCCACCTCAGCCTCCCCAGTAGCTGGGATAACAGGTACATGCCACCATGTCCAGCTAATTTTTAAATTTTTTTGTAGAGACAGAGTCTCCTATATTCCCCAGGCTGTTCTTGAACTCCTGAACTCAAGCAATCCAGCCACCTTGGCTTCCCAAAGTGCTGGGATTACAGGCGTTGGCCAGATCTGGCCACCAATTGTTAACATTTTGTCACTTTTTTTCTTTTTCTTTCTTTTTTTTTTTTTTTTTTGAGATGGAGTCTTGCTCTGTCACCCAGGTTGGAGTGCAGTGGTGCGAGATCTCAGCTCACTGCAATCTCCGCCTCCCGGGTTCAAGTGGTTCTCCTGCCTCAGCCTCCTGAGTAGCTGGGGTTACAGGTGCACGTCACCACATCCAGCTAATTTTTGTATTTTTAGTAGAGACAGGTTTTCACTATGTTGGTCAGGCGGGTCTCAAACCCCTGAACTTGTGATCCGCCCACCTCAGCCTCCCAGAGTGCTGGGATTATCGGCGTGAGCCACCACATTCAGCCTTTCCCCTCTTTCTTTTGCCGAATTATTTGAAAGTAGGTGCAAATTTCATGCTGTTTTATTCCTAGATACTACAGCATGCTAATAATAAGGCATTCTCCTGAACAGCCATAATGTCTTTTTTTTTTTTTTTTTTTTTTTTTTTTTTTTGAGACAGAGTCTTGCTCTGTTTCCCAGGCTGGAGTGCAATGGTGCGATCTCCACTCACTGCAAGCTCTGCCTCCCAGGTTCACACCATTCTCCTGCCTCAGCCTCCTGAGTAGCTGGGACTACAGGCGCCCGCCACCACGCCTGGCTAATTTTTTGTATTTTTAGTAGAGACGGGGTTTCACCGTGTTAGCCAGGATGGTCTCCATCTCCTGACCTCGTGATGCACCCACCTCGGCCTCCCAAAGTGCTGGGATTACAGGTGTGAGCCACCACGCCCTGCCCATAATGTCATTTTCAAACTAAGAAAATTAACAGTTCTCCAACATGATCCAGTAATCAGCCCATGTTCAAGTTTCCCCATCTGATTTTTTTTTTTTTTTTTTTTTGAGACGGAGTCTCGCTCTGTCACCCAGGCTGGAGTGCAGTGGCACGATCTCGGCTCACTGCAAGCTCCACCTCCTGGGTTCAAGCCATTCTCCTGCCTCAGCCTCCCGAATAGCCGGGACTACAGGTGCCCGCCACCATGCCCGGCTAATTTTTTGTATTTTTAGTAGAGACAGTGTTTCACCATGTTAGCCTGAATGGTCTCAATCTCCTGACTTCGTGATCGGCCTGCCTCGGCCTCCCAAAGTGCTGGGATTACAGGTGTGAGCCACCATGTCCGGCCCCCATTTGATATTTAAAACAAAAGTTTTTATCTTTTTTCTTTCAATTTAAGACCCAGGAAGATTCACATTTTGTATTTGATGTGTGTCTTCAGTGGGCCTTTTGTTTTATTTTTCATGACATCAACTTGTTTTGTTCAATGTTAAATTAAATCTAACACTGATTAAATTAGTGCTGCGATGATTACATTAGTAGGCACTTGATGAGGTTATCCCTTTTATTGCTGATGTCAATTTAATCACTTGTTCAAGGTGCTAACTATCAGATTAAGCACACTCATCCCTTGGTATTGTGGGGCATTGGCTCCAAGAGCCCCAGAGGAAACCAAAATCCATGCATCCGCAAGTCCCATAAAATCTTGTCATATTTGCATGTAATCTACTCACATCCTCCAATATACTTATTTATTATTATTTTTTTAGTAGAGACAAGTGTCTTACCATGTTGTTCAAGCTGGTCTCCAACTCCTAGGCTCAAGTGATCCTCCTGCCTGGGCCTACCAAAGTGCTGGGATTACAGCCTGGCCAAAACTAGGGTCCATATACCTTTTTTTTTGGTGTTTTTTTTTTTTTTTCCCCCTGAGGCAGTCTTGCTATGTCACCCATGCTGGAGTGCAGTGGCACAATCTCACTGCAGCATCAAGCTCCTCAACCTCCTGGGTTCAAGCTATCCTCCCACCTCAGCCTCCCGAGTAGCTGGGACTGTAGGGTCACACCAGCACACCCAGCTAATTTTTGTATTTTTTGCAGAGATGGGGTTTTGCCATGTTGCCTAGGCTGGTCTCAAACTCGTGAGCTCAAGCCATCTGCCCACCTCAGCCTCCCAAAGTGCTGGGATTACTGGCCTGAGCCACCATGGTTGGCCATAGAGCTTTTTTTATCCCCTGATTTCCTGTCCGTGTCATTATGTTTTCCTTTTTCACTCAGAACCATGATTTCCTGACTGCAATGGTCTGTGAACATTTTTCCCCTTACAATAAATATAATACATACTCACCAGATAAAAATGTAAATACTGATGAGGAAAAATTGTAACTAACATTTTCGGGGCTCTTGTGGGTTAGGGACTTTATACTAACTCATTGAAGACAGACAGTAGCCTGAGAGAAGGTAGGGTTTGGGTTATCCTCATTTTGCCGGTGAGGAAAATGAAGCTTGAAGTTAGACTAACTTAGAGTCTTAAGCTAATAAATGGCAGAGTTGGTTTTCAAACCAGAAATAACTTGTTTATAGTACCCTTCCAAAGCCTTTTCTATACACAAATATATATAAGAATGGGATCATATTGTGACCATCTTTCCATGTCAATAAATGGACTTCAACAGCATTCTTTTTAATCCAGTGTCCTTTTGTTTCCTCTTCTCCCGGCCTTGTCCCCAGGATCGACGAGAACGTGCTAGGAGCCCAGCTGGACGTTGAGGCCGCCCATTCAGAGATCCTCAAGTACTTCCAGTCTGTCACCTCCAACCGGTGGCTCATGGTCAAAATCTTCCTCATCCTCATTGTCTTCTTCATCATCTTTGTGGTCTTCCTTGCTTGAACCCTCTCTACTCTGAGGCACTCTGTTGGGGTTTGGGACCCTCCTGGGAAGGCAAGTGGCCAGTGCTGCCACTGAGCCTGTGCAGGGTACTTGGGAGAAAGGCCCTGTTTCCCTGGAACTGCTAAGAATGACCACTGCCCCTGATCCCCCACCCCTTGCCTCTGGCCACCCTGTCCTCCCCCCACCACCCTCAGGCCTATGAAACACACAGGGTTCTAGATTTGAACTCTGCTGTGAAGTGACTGGAAGGGAGCAGAGGCCAGCTGGGGGCCAGTGGGGGAGGTTGTTTCCACTAGGAGATTTTTATAAACCCTCTCCAGCCTCTCCCAAAGGAAGCGTTGGCAGCAAAGGGAGATGATGCCCTTACCCACCTTCCTGTGAGTGAAGAGAGGAAGCAGCCCCAGGGACCAATTTTCCCAATTGACCTCTTTCTTCCTCTTTCACCATGTGAGGCAGGGAGCCCTGAGCCCTTCAGCTGCCTGCACAACCCCTGACATTGGCTGCTGGTGACTCAATCTGCCAAATGTGCTGCAGCTCGTTTTCTCCCAATTACAGCAAGACTGTCAGCCTCACTAGCCATGTCATCATTTCTGGGTGGGAGCGTCGAAGGGCCTAGGCAGCGAGTGGAGAGAGCCCACTGCCCAGTACCAGAACTGAAAGGGTTGGGCTAATGGCTCTGCCAGGTATCACTGCTGACACAGGCTATTTTGGGCTCTGACACACAGCTGCCTCTAGGCAGGGGAGAACCAAGTGTTGCAACACTTCATTAGCGTGGAAACTTCCTTTCACACAGGGGAGCAGGATCCCAGAGGGGGTCCCTGATTGGGGGCAACTTCCAGGACTATCTCAAGCAGTGTTTGGACCTGTTTCATCTGTATCCTCCAACTATTTGGCCGTAATTCTTCCTTGAGCTAAGCGAGGCAGAAGCTCTGCCTGCTTCCAGGAGTGGAAGGTGAAGAATTTGTTCCCAACTCCAGTTGAGGCTTTTGATTCCCTCCAAGCACTTCACCAAATCAAAGCCAGTCACAGAGAATGGAGACACCTGCCCAGAATACCCACCGTCCAGGGAGATTAGTGTGCTTTGTTCTTCCTGACCGAGACTCACAACCACATTCTGAGGTCACTCGAGTGCCCCTGTCTCATACATTCCAAAGGAAGTTGAAGCTATAGAGACAACAGTCAGGGGCTGGTGGTGGTGCTTTTGGGGGTCTAGGAGAGCCCAAGGCCCTGATATTTTAAAATGTCCTCCTCGGCATCTCCAGCAAGTTGCCACTGCTGGTGAGCTTCACTGTCTGCCCCGTTGACACGATGGGTTTCTAGTAGGGGACGCCATTGATGGAAGGTCTGTGAAGACAATGCTCGCCAAACCCCTGACAGATGTCGTATCATTTGACTCAGCAACTCAGGGCGGGGCGGGGTGGGGGAAATTCATAACACAAATTCATTTATTTCACAAATATATGTTGAGTTTTTACCATGTGCCAGGCATAGTACCTGCCGAGTCAAGCCCTCGAGGAAAAAAAGCCCTTAATTAGTCAACGTTCGAGCTCACATTCTAATTCTCAACTTCGTGATTTGTTAATCCATCTTATAGGCGAAGAAAGCGAGGTATAGACAAGGAGCCGAGCTGAAACACTGGCTAGATTCCGGTAGGGGTCTGAGCCATCACTCCCACCTGGAGGCGCGGTCTCCATTCCTCTGAAGCCCTTTGTGCGGCCCCCTTCCTCACTGAGTTCTGGGCTGCGGCGGCAGCACTGTGCTCTAGCACTAACTCTGAAGCTGCCAGGGCAGCGTCAGCGGACAGATGAAAAGGTGCGGGGACATGCTGGCTGCCAGCCGGGGTTCCGCAAGTTCAGGTCTTGGGCGGGGCGTGGAGGGCCAGGCCCCGCCCCTCGAACGACGGCCTTAAGTGTGCGCACGCGCAGGGGGCCGCGCTTTCTCCGGGCGGCGGCACCGCCCACAGCCTGGGACGTCAGCGGCGCGCGACGTGCTTTGCTGTATAAATGCGGTGGCGCCCGGCGTAGGGACACTTCGGTCCTGAGCGCTTGGGAGTTAGGTTGTTTGCCGGCGTAGCGGCCAGCGCCTGAGCCCGCCCTTGATCTTCGCTGTGGCATGGCGGACGAGGGGAAGTCGTACAGCGGTAAGTGCTGGTCTTCGGGTCGGGAACTGGCTATCTGGGGCGCGGGTGGGCGGCGCCGGCCTAGGCCTCAGCCCCCGGGGCGTGAGGCCGCTAGGGGCCCGGCGTCCGCGGGGAGCGGCGCGCGGGGGGCCGGGCACTCGAGGTGGACACCCGAGTTGTTGACTCCTGGATTCCTGCTGGCATCCTGGTGTTGGGGGACCTGCGGCTCGGAGCGGATGGCTCGGGGGTAGGGTGACGGGATTCCTTTGAACTTTGTGGGTGGTTGATGCCTGTCAGTTAGGTTTGGCGGCCTGACTCTTCCTTTAATGTGAGTGAGTGCCCTGCTCGTGGGCTGCCCTGATGCCCTATTTTTTACTGCGTCCAGTCGGTCTTGAACTCTCGGGCCTGGGCTTTGGCTTAATATTCGAGACTTACACATCAACTGGATATTCTAGTCTGAACACTACACTGGGTGTTAGTTCTTTGTAGTAAGTTAGGAGTGCGTGGTGGAGGTTGAAACCGTGAATTTAAAACTCTCGTTTTCCACCCCCTTAATGTGGAATAACAACAGCATTTCTTAAGAGTGTGTGTGGGGAGGGGAAATGAGATCATTCCTATCAAGTGCCTGAAGCATAGTGGCCGGCACTGGAGAAAGTTCTCAGTGAATGTTAGCTGCGCCTTCTATGTTCTTTTTTCCTAGGGTCATTTGTTGAGATTCATTGTTTACAGAGTGCTGGGTATTAGGCAGACCTCTTTTGGGAGTTAGGGACCTTTTTTAAGACGCCAGTCCTACACAGCATGAATCAGAAGGTCATCTTCCTGGAGAGCATTCCAGGGTCCCTGGTTAAGCACCCTAGCCTGGCACTGCCACTAGAGCCTGAGTCTAGAATTTGTCTCCTGAGTTAAAGGACATTTCTGGCCATGGAAACGAAGAGCTCCTCACAAAACTTCAAAGTGGCAGTTTGAGAACAAGGAGAATTTTTAGAGGATCCTTAAACTGGTCATATTTGTAACTGGCGTCTGCACTGTATAGACAAAGTACTGAGTGGCAGATTTCAGGTGGCTTTCAGAGGTCTGATTTGTGTTCAGTTACACTTTTGGGTCTCACATTTCTACATCCTGCTTCTCTCTAATTCCAGTTTCTACTTCATTTTTCAAAAGCCCTACACAGTTTTCCAGTAACTTTTCCCTGATGCTGCCCTCCCACAGAGAGGGTTCTTTCCTGTGGATAGGGAGCGGAGTTTGCATGGAGATGGCCTCTGTCGTTAGTATGTATCTCTTCCAATAGTTCAGAGTACTAGAAGCTATGATTGCCACACCAAACCGGACCAGTTACTTACTTCTAATTTGTGTTCCTGTTTCTAACTCTAGAACACGATGATGAACGCGTTAATTTCCCTCAAAGAAAGAAGAAAGGCCGGGGTCCCTTCCGGTGGAAATATGGTGAAGGAAACCGTAGGTCTGGAAGAGGCGGTTCTGGTATTCGGTCTTCCCGCCTTGAGGAAGATGATGGAGATGTGGCAATGAGTGATGCCCAGGATGGTCCCCGAGTACGATAGTGAGTGACCAGTTGGTCTGGTTTGAATTTAGTGGCTCATGAGATTATATGGCCCTTTTACTGTCCATGTCATTTCCTTTCCCACCTGTTAGAGTGAGAAATGCCAGGACTAGCTTAGTGATTAAACAGTCTTAGTTGTAGTCCCACTAACAGTGCAGGAAGGCCTTTGAGAAGACTTTCCTAGCATTTGTGGTCATTTTATTCTCTGCTTACCCACAGCAACCCCTATACCACCCGACCTAACCGTCGGGGTGATACTTGGCATGATCGAGATCGCATTCATGTTACTGTGCGGAGAGACAGAGCTCCTCCAGAGAGAGGAGGGGCTGGCACCAGCCAGGATGGGACCTCAAAGAACTGGTTCAAGATTACAGTGAGTACTTTGAGAAAGTAGATGGTACAGTAGAGATAGGAGGCCACGCTGAGAGTGGAGATGTTTAATTTTATTCCACAAAAATTATTATTATTATTTTTTTTAAATGGAGTCTTGCTCTGTCACCCAGGCTGGAGTACAGTGGCGTGATCTCGGCTCACTGCAGCCTCCGCCTCCCGGGTTCAAGCTATTCTGCCTCAGTCTCCCGAGTAGCTGGGACTACAGACACCCACCACCACGCCCGGCTAATTTTTGTATTTTTAGTAGAGACGGGGTTTCACTGTATTGGCCAGGCTGGTCTCGAACTCCTGACGTCATGATCTGCCCGCCTTGGCCCCCCAAAGTGCTGGGATTATAGGCATGAGCCACCGCACCCAGCCCAAAAATTCTCCTTGTCATCTGATTACTCCACACTCAAGTATCTATCTTTTCTCCTAGGAATCAGTATCTTCCAACACCTTAGAGCAGGTTCAGAGAAGGGGTGGAAGAGAAATATGAAAATTTTGGTTGGGGGAGGGAGTAATTCCTCTGGATGTCTTCATTTGGCTCAGGCTGAGTGTGGGGCTTGGAGTCCCTGGAGTGCCCTGGAGTTCTCTGAGGGGCAGGCAAGGTGTAAATAATATCTTGGAACTTTTAGAATAAATAAAATTGATTTTTTTTTGAGAGATTATAAGTGTAAATGGGCTGGGTACAGTGGCTCATGCCTGTAATCCCAGCACTTTGAGAGGCCGAGGTGGAGGATCACTTGAGGCTGGGAGTTCAAGACCAGTCTGGGAAATACAGCAAGACCCCTTCTCTACAGAAAATTTTAAAATTAGCCGGGCATGGTAGTACATGCCTGTAGTCCTAGCTACTCCAGAAAGCTGAGACAGGAGGATCGCTTGAGCCTAGGAAATGAAGGCTGCAGTGAGCTATGATCGCACCACTGCACTCCAGCCTGAGTGACAGAGTGAGGCCCTGTTACTAAGAAAAAATAGTAAGTGTAAGTAGACAGAAAGGAGTTAAAGAATCTATGTGTATCTCAAGTAGAAAACCTAGTACTGGTCCTTTCTTTAGATAGTCTTTAAAAGTTTGGTAGAAGGTATAAAAGGCATTGTATTGGGTCTGCTATTCAGCCTTACTTATCATTCCCTTCTTTTCTCTTTCTCTCATTTCTAGATTCCTTATGGCAGAAAGTATGACAAGGCATGGCTCCTGAGCATGATTCAGAGCAAGTGCAGTGTGCCCTTCACCCCTATTGAGGTAAGACAAGGCCTGAGTGGCTGGCTGGCCAGGCACCAGGGATGGTGAAGGGGCAAGCTGGACTCCCAGCGTAATGCCCCTCCCCAAGGGCTCTGGACTCCCAGTGTAATGCTCCTGTTTCCTCTTGTAGTTTCACTATGAGAATACACGGGCCCAGTTCTTCGTTGAAGACGCCAGTACTGCCTCTGCATTGAAGGCTGTCAACTATAAGATTTTGGATCGGGAGAACCGAAGGGTGTGTTTAAAGGGCCTGGCTTGGCTGGAGGTGGAGGTTGGTGCTCAGAGCAGGGACTGGGTCTTGTTCTTGCGGCTTAGGCTTCCCTAGAGTTTTCTGTGCCCTCTGTGTCTTCCCTCCAGATATCTATCATCATCAACTCTTCTGCTCCACCCCACACTATACTGAATGAACTGAAGCCAGAACAAGTAGAACAGCTAAAGGTGAGGCAGGCTCAAATTAGATGTTTCCAACCCAGTCTTACTACTTCTCACACCCCCACCCCCCACACACAAACCCAGTGACCACTAAACCCTTCTTTTTCCTCTAGCTGATCATGAGCAAACGATACGATGGCTCCCAACAAGCCCTTGACCTCAAAGGCCTCCGTTCAGACCCAGGTATGGTTGACAGCAGTAGTTCTCAGATAGGTGGTGATAAGGTGGGATCTGTCAGGGAGGGAAAGTTTGAGGATGTTTTACTGCTAATGCTGGCATGGGCAAACCCTCTCAGTCTTCCCTTTCCTTCCCTTCTGCTTCCTGAAGATTTGGTGGCCCAGAACATTGACGTTGTCCTGAATCGCAGAAGCTGTATGGCAGCTACCCTGAGGATCATTGAAGAGAACATCCCTGAGGTAAGGCCTTTGGCCCAGTATTAGGCATGAGGAAGCAGGGTGTGTTAGATAGGAAGTGGCTGGAGGGCAGATTCGTCTCTGATCCACTTGCTGGTGGTGCCTCCTCTAAACTCTTCTCTCCTCACAGCTATTGTCCTTGAACTTGAGCAACAACAGGCTGTACAGGCTGGATGACATGTCTAGCATTGTTCAGAAGGCACCCAACCTGAAGATCCTAAACCTTTCTGGAAATGAAGTGAGAATTGATAGCTCGGCTATATTTTTGAAGGGGTGGGTAGAGGGTGTAGAGAGTTTGTCCAGTGATGGCAAGAGGCAAGAGAGAGAACTCAGGCCAGATGTGCTGGTTTGCAACTCTAATCCTAACACTTTGGGAGGCCAAGGCAGGAGGATCACTTAAGGCTAGGAGTTTGCACGCCTCTAGTCCAAGCTGCCCCAGGGGGCTGAGGTGGGAGGATTGCTTGAGCTCAGGAGTTCAAGGCTGCAGTGAGTTATGATTGTGCCGTTGCATTCTAGCCTGAGCAACCTGTCTCAAAAAAATTTTTTTAATTTAAAAAATAAATTAGTCGAGCATGATGTCACATGCCTGTAGTCCTAGCTACCCAGGAGTCTGAGGTGGGAGGATCTCTTGAGTCCAGGAGTTTGAGGCTGCAGTGAACTATGATCATGCCACGGCACTGAACTTGGGTGACAGAGTGAGACCCTGTCCCAAAAAAAAAAAAAAAAGAAAAAATTTTAAAAGATTAGAAAAGATCTCAGAGCTAAGCGTAGGGACTGGGGGTATGGGGAGCCAGCTGGCTGTCTTCACCAGGGTCTCCTCCCTTTGTTCCTTCCACCCTTTGCAGTTGAAGTCTGAGCGGGAATTGGACAAGATAAAGGGGCTGAAGCTAGAAGAGCTCTGGCTCGATGGAAACTCCCTGTGTGACACCTTCCGAGACCAGTCCACCTACATCAGGTCAGTTGTAGCCTGTGTCTCCCCTCCTGGGGACCTTCACCCCCTGGGAGGCTGAGCTAATGCATCCTGACCAGGGCCCGTCTGCGGAGATGTGCAGCCCTGAGCTGGAACCACCTGTCCTTTGAGAGGATCGCGTGCTCCCCACTTTGGTCTGTCTGTGTCTTCCAGCTTTGTCCTGAGATGTTCTCTCTTCTCTTCTGACTTGACTATCTGTTTGCTGGGTCTGTGGCCTTTCTCTTTCTTCCTGAACACAACCTTTTCTAGAATCTCCCTACCCTGTTGTTCCAGGAAAGGCATCTCCCCTTTCTACTCTAACCAGAGGGTATCTTGTACATACCCTATAGATGGGGTTGCCTTGTGCCAAGAGCCTGGTGTCCATGGGTTGAGGAAGCCCTCCCTACCTGGGACTTCCTACTGAGATGGGCCTTCCCTCCTTTGTACTGTGATGGCCCCTCTTGCCCTTGCGCCAAGAGGGACCCTTTTCTCAGGATCCACTTGCCCAGGGCTGTTGCTGTCCATGCTGAGGTTGAGGCCTCCTAGGGGCTGGTGGCATGCAATCTGTCTCTCTTGCCCAGTGCTATGAGCTGGGCTCTCCCTGAAGAAGAAACCTGGGTTCCCCAAGATGTGACCAGAGCTGGGGCCCCGCCAGCAGGCGAGGGAATCCCAAGGCAGGTGCTGGGCGTGGAGGCCACGGGGGCATAGGCTACCAAGGAGACAGAGAACTGACCCCCTCGGGGGCGCTGCCTCTCCCTCACTCACACACTGCACGTCACCCTGTTTGGCCCCGGTGGATGGCTGGTTAGCCAGAGACGGGTAAGATTCCTCAGGGAAGGAACAACCTAAGACAGGCACAGTCGCAGAGGGGCCATCAGGAGAGAACTTGGGGGCAACAGAGGTGGGGCATGGACCCTCACCCCCACAATCCTACAGGGGCCTGAACCCTCACACCTTCTGAGGGAGGTCTCCTGCCCCCATGGCTGCTTTGCTTCCCACGCCCAGTTCAGATCGGGACCCAGGTAGCAGACAGAGACCTGGCCAACAGCAAGTGCCCACTCACCACAGCAAGGATTTGTTTCTCATTTCTACCTTGGACCACAGGGATGGGGCAGCTGAAAGAAAGGGCTGTGTCAGGGTGTCTTTCTCCCTTTTCTCCCTCATTTTTCTAGATGCTTTTTTGCCTTGTAGTTCTTTCTCTTTTTCTTTGCTTTCTCTTTCCTTTTTCTGTCTGTCTCCTATACCTCCCCATCTCTCCCTTGCCCCTGCCCCATCTTGCCTTTTTCTCTTTTTCCTCCTTTTCCTTTCTTATTCCTTTGCCTCTCCTCTTCCTGAGCCCCACCTGCTCATCTCCCTGCCCCAACATCCTGTGCCATCCCTGTGGTGTGTTTGGGTCTTGGCCAAAGCCAGACCTGGCAGAACTGATGGATACCTGGTGAGGCAGCGGAGCCCCTGGGCTCCCACCCCATTCCCTCCTCCCGGGGCTGCACAGGTGAGTAGGTGGAAGGTAAGGGGGGCAGGGAGGGGAAAGAGGTCCTGGGCTTAAAGCCTGGGCTTGGAGTACTGCTCCTTGACACTCAGGGTCAGGCAGAGAGAAAAGAGACAGCCTTCAAGGCAGTCCATGTCTGGGTGCCCCGGGTCAGGTGGGGAGTGGGGGCCATTTTTCCCTGAGCACAGGCTGGGAGGGAGTGGAGGGATGAGCAGGATGGGATGGGCTGTCCCTCGGGTTTGGTATATTTGCTCCTAGAGCAGCCCAGGAGGCACGGTGGCTCTGAAGCATCACTCACTTCTGTCCCGTTCTTGACAGCGCCATTCGCGAACGATTTCCCAAGTTACTACGCCTGGTAAGTCCATAATTTTTTCATTCTAACAAGCACAGCATCTCTCACTCACAAGGATTCCTGGATAGGTTTCTTTTTCTTTTTCTTTTTCTTTTTTTTTTTTTTATTTGAGACGGAGTTTCACTCGTCGCCCAGGCTGGAGTGCAACAGCATGATTTCAGCTCACCGCAACCTCTGCCTCCCAGGTTCAAGCGATTCTCCTGCCTCAGCCTCCTGAGCCCAAGTAGCTGGGATTACAGGCATGTGCTACCACACCTGGCTAATTTTTGTATTTTTAGTAGAGACAGGGTTTCACCATGTTCGCCAGGCTGGCCTTGAATTCCTGACCTCAGGTGATCCACCTACCTCGGCCTCCCAAAGTGCTGGGATTACAGACGTGAGCCACTCGCACCAGGCCCTTTTTTTTTTTTTTTTTGGATGGAGTCTTGCTCTGTTACCCAGAGTGCAGTGGTGCAATCTTGACTCACTGCACCGTTTGCCTCCTGGGTTCAAGTGATTCTCCTGCCTCAGCCTCCTGAGTAGCTGGGATTACAGGCATGTGCCACAATGCCCGGCTAATTTCTTTGTGTATTTTTAGTAGAGATGGGGGTTTCATCTTGTTGGCCAGGATGGTCTTGAACTCCTGACCTCAACTAATCCATCCACCTTGGCCTCCCAGTGTGCTGGGATTACAGGTGTGAGCCACTGCGCCCAGCCTGGATCCCTGGATACTTTTCATGATGCGTTTACACTTGACTTCTGACCCTTCTCTCTTAGTTCTTCAGTCTACTTATGCACCCAGCCTTTTTCTCTCTGGTTTAAACTGTCAACTTTCTTTTTTGTTTGTTTTGTTTTTTGAGACAGGGTCTGGCTCTGTCATCCAGGCTGGAGTGCAGTGGCACAATCGTAGCTTACTGCAACCTTCGCCTGCCAGGCTCAAGTGATCCTCCCACTTCAGCCTCCCAAGTAGCTAGGACTCCAGGCACGCACCACCATGCCCAGCTAATTTTTGTATTTTTTTTGGTAGAGATGGGTTTTGCCACGTTGTCCAGCCAGGCTGGTCTCAAACTCCTGAGCTCAAGCCATCTGCCTGCCTCGGCCTCCCAAAGTTCTGGGATCACAGGTGTGAGCCACTGGGCCCAGTCTACACTGTCAACTTTTACTTCCTTTCCACAGGATGGCCATGAGCTACCCCCACCAATTGCCTTTGATGTTGAAGCCCCCACGACGTTACCGCCCTGCAAGGTAGGAAGCATGGACAGAGTAAGAACTTGTGTGTGGAGAGAATACTGCTTCCATGTTCCTAATACCTGTTTGATTTCAGGGAAGCTATTTTGGAACAGAAAACTTGAAGAGTCTGGTCTTGCACTTCCTGCAACAGTAAGTATCCCAGGGTCCCCCCTCCCCACCCCGAGGTTGAGGGGGAATGGTGGGCAGACCCAGGCACACATCAATCTTTTTGTTTTGTTTTTTGTTTTGTTTTTTTTTTTTTTTTTGGACAGTGTCTCACTGTGTCACCCAGGCTGGAGTGCAATGGTGTGATCTTGGCTCACTGCAACCTCTGCCTCCCAGGGTTCAAGTGATTCTCCTGCCTCAGCCTCCCCAGTAGCTGGGACTACAGGTGTGTGCCACTGCACCTGGCTAATTTTTGTATTTTTCGTACAGATGGGATTTCACTATGTTGGCCAGGCTGGTCTCCAACTCCTGACCTCATGATCCACCTGCCTCTTCCTCCCAAAGTGTTGGGATTAGAGGCGTGAGCCACCGCACCTAGCCATTTTTTTTGTATTTTTAGTAGAGACAGGGTTTCGCCATGTTGCCCAGGCTGGTCTTGAACTCCTGGGCTCAAGCTATTCACCCATCTCAGCCTCCCAAAGTGCTGGGATTACAGGCATGAGCTTCCATGCCCGGCCACAACTCACTCTTGGGAGCTACTGGGTCCTTGTATGGCTGTAGACCACAGAGCCCATACTTTCTTTTTTGTTTTTCCCATAGGTACTATGCAATTTACGACTCTGGAGACCGACAAGGGCTCCTGGATGCCTACCATGATGGGGCCTGCTGTTCCCTGAGCATTCCTTTCATTCCTCAGAACCCTGCCCGGTTAGTATCACATCCCAGAATCTGCCCGGGACCACTGGGTTTCCCAGCAGATACAGGGCACACCTGCTGGCAGCACTGCTCTGAACACCACGTCCATTCCTTTTATTCCCCCAGAAGCAGCTTAGCCGAGTATTTCAAGGATAGCAGAAATGTGAAGAAGCTTAAAGACCCTAGTAAGTGTGTGATACGAACAAAATATGGGAAAAGGGCATGGGAAGGAATCAGTCAGAACTCAGGAGTGTGTGGCAGCACCACTGAGCTTTCTCCTCTACCCACAGCCTTGCGGTTCCGGCTGCTGAAGCACACGCGTCTCAACGTTGTTGCCTTCCTCAATGAGTTGCCCAAAACCCAGCACGACGTCAATTCCTTCGTGGTAGACATAAGCGCCCAGACAGTAAGCTCCTGCTTGCGCCTGACAGAAGCCTAGAATTGGGGTGGGGGTGGCATTTAATAGGCAAGGGGGGGCACTCAGGCTCTGAGAAGTGTACATTGTACCTGATGCTGCTTCTCTTTCAGAGCACATTGCTGTGTTTTTCTGTCAATGGAGTCTTCAAGGAAGGTAAGAATCTTTAGAGTCCCGAGTTTGTAGCGTGGTCCCACCCCCAGCTGGAATTTTCCTCAGCACTCTTAGCTTCCCAGCTACTTTCTCTCCCATTTTCTTTTTGAGCTCCTTCTCCCATTCTGCCCCCAAGCCGTCTTGGCTTGGCCTACCTCTCCACCTGTCCTGTCTGGATGTGGGAAAAGCCTGGGGATTAGGAGGACTTTGGAGTCAGGCAGTTCTTAGTTTCCATCCTAGTTTTGGTTGTGCGGGGCTGTGGACAAGTAACATTACCTCTAAGACAGATTCTTTATTTGTAAGATGGGGTTAGTAATAGCCGTCTCATAGTGGTGCTATAGGAAGTAAACTGAAGTGACTTACAAAGTGCTTGGCCTGGGGCCTGGCATACAGATGCTATCAGTGGATTAGTAGTTATTACTTTTTTTTGAGATGGAGTCACACTCTATCACCAGGCTGGAGTGCAGTGGCGCAATCTTGGCTCACTGCAACCTCCGTCTCCTGGGTTCAAGTGGTTCTCCTGCTTCAGCCTCCCGAGTAGCTGGGACTACAGGTGCGCACTACCACGCCCAGCTAATTTTTGTATTTTTAGTAGAGAAGGGGTTTCGCCATGTTGGACAGGATGGTCTCGATCTCTTGACCTCGTGATCTGCCCACCTCAGCCTCCCAAAGTGCTGGGATTATACGCATGAGACACTGTGCCCGGCCGTAGTTATTACTATTGTCCTTTCTGACCTGACCCTTCACCCCACCTGTGCTTCCCTTATACCCTTATATACTTAATCATTCCTCTCTGACTTGCTAGGATTCTTTATATCAAAGACCATGATTCAAGAAGCTGTTTGTAAACATAAAGCACTAGTGACCCTAAGGTGTTGTTGCTGTTCTTATTGCAGTGGACGGAAAGTCCCGGGATTCTTTGCGAGCCTTCACCCGGACATTCATTGCTGTTCCTGCTAGCAATTCAGGGTAAGTATTCTGCTTTTCGCATTGGATACCAGTCCTAATCCATGGCCAACAGTGTGGTAATTGGAGGGTAGAGTCAGTCTTTGGGGTGATTTCAGAAAGGCAACAGGAAATCAGAGAAAGCTCACATAGTAGTTAAGAGCCAGTTAATAGCTTGGCTCTGGAATTGTACCGTCTGGGTTTTCATCCTGGCTCCACCACTTCTAGCAAGTAGGCTGCTGCCTCATCTGAAAATTCATATAACAATATTCATTTCCTAAGTTTGTTGTGAGGATGAATTAAAAGAGCTAAAGTCCATGCGTTGGGAGAACCCTAGTGTGTTTAGTAGATAATCCTTCCAAACATTGATTCCATGGGAGGGGATAAATGATAAAAGGTAACAATAGCTAAGAGTGGGAGGGGGACCTTGTGGATATTGAAAGAATCAGAGAATAGGAATGATGTTGGGAGGATGATGTTATCTCTGTCTAGCTTTTTAAGTGCTCTTTGTCCTCAAGGCTATGTATTGTAAATGATGAGCTATTTGTGCGGAATGCCAGTTCTGAAGAGATCCAAAGAGCCTTCGCTATGCCTGCACCCACGCCTTCCTCCAGCCCGGTGCCCACCCTCTCTCCAGAGCAGCAGGAAATGTTGCAAGCATTCTCTACCCAGTCTGGCATGAACCTCGAGTGGTCCCAGAAGTGAGTGCGGGGCATGTGTAGGATGGGGATGCACTGAAGTAGGGCTAGTAGTAAATAATGAGGGCTCCTGACAGTTTTTTTGTTTTTTTTTTGGAGACAAGTTCTTGCGCTGTCATCCAGGCTGGAGTATAGTGGTGATCATAACTCACTGTAGCCTCTAATTCCTGGGCACAAGCTGTCCTCCCACCTCAGCCTCCAGAGTAGCTGGGCCTATAGGCATGTGCCACCTTATTTTATTTTATTATTTTTTTTTTTTGGAGGTGGAGTCTTGCTATGTTGCCCAGGCTGGAGTGCAGTGGTGCGATCTTGGCTCATTGTAACCTCTGCCTCCCGGGTTCAAGCAATTCTCCAATCTCAGCCTCCCGAGTAGCTGGGATTACAGGCACACACCACCATGCCTGGCTAATTTTTGTATTTTTTTTTTTTTTTTTTTTTTTTAGTAGAGACGGGCTTTCATCATGTTGGCCAGGCTGGTCTCGAACTCCTGACCTTGTGATCTGCCTACCTCGGCCTCCCAAAGTGCTGGGATTACAGGCATGAGGCACTGCACCCAGCCAAATTTTTATTTGCTTGTTTGTTTTGAGACAGGGTCTCACTCTGATGCCCAGGCTGGAGTACAGTGGTGTGATCACAGTTCACTGCAGCCTCAACTGCTAGGGCTCAGGTGATTCTCCCACCTCAGCCACCTGAGTAGCTGGGACTACAGGCATAGGCCACAGCACCTGGCTAATTTTTTTGTATTTCTTTGCAGAGATGGGGTTTCACCATGTTGCCCACCTAGGCCTCCCAAAGTGCTGCGGTTATAGGTGTGAGTTACTGTGCCTGGGCTCCTGAAATTTTAAAAGGCAAAACTTTTGGCTGCTTAAAAAAACCTAATAGTTGGCTGGGAGAGGTGGCTCACACCTGTAATCCCAGCACTTTGGGAGGCTGAGGCGGCCAGATCACGAGGTCAAGAGATCAAGACCATCCTGGACAACATGGTGAAATCTCGTCTCTACTAAAAATACAAAAATTAGCGGGGCTTGGCGTTCCACGCCTGTAGTCCCAACTACTCGGGAGGCTGAGGCAGGAGAATTGCTTGAACCTGGAAGGCGGAGGTTGCAGTGAGCCGAGATCACGCCACTGCACTCCAGCCTGGTGACAGAGCAAGACTCGGTCTCAAAAAAAAAAAAAAAGCAAACAGAAAAACACAAACCTGATAGTCTATAAAAAATTTGCCTGTGTATAAATTAACATAAAAAACTTTAAAGGTAAAATGGAAGTTCCTTTTCATATACTGTTCTGCAACTTAGTTTCTTTACTTACACCATGAACATCTTTCCCTACCACTGTAAAAACTATCTTGAGCTTCTTGACAGCTATTTAATATTCCTTATCTTTGAGAAGCCATTGGTAGAACATCTGGACTTTTACTAATGTCTCATTTGTATAAATAGTGCAAGGATGTATAAGAATGTACATATTTGTTGGCAAACTTGGGTGCTTTTATGGAGTGGACTTTCAGCTGGCATTTACGAGTCAGAGTTCTTACAGAGCTGCCTGTTCTTCCACTCCAGGTGCCTTCAGGACAACAACTGGGACTACACCAGATCTGCCCAGGCCTTCACTCATCTCAAGGTAAGGTCTGGAAATACAGTGGCAAAAAGACTAGGATCTCTGGGCCTCCAGGAGGTCAGGTTAGCTGAGTGGGGTTGCTGAGTGGCGAGGGTAGGCCTACCTCTACTGACCTTCATTTTTCTCCAGGCCAAGGGCGAGATCCCAGAAGTGGCATTCATGAAGTGATCGTAGTCATGCCTCAGAAGCAGTCCCCCCTGTAAATAGTCCTTGGATATTACCGTCTGGTTGTCGTCTGTCATCTCCTCCTGTCTGGCCCGAGGCCGCCCCGTGACTGTGACCGAGGGAGGGAGGGCTGCCTGATCCCTCTCCTCGCCTGCCTTCTGGAAGACTTCAGAAGATTGAGCCTCACTGGTGCCAGGAAGCCAAAGCTTACTTTGTAGAACTGACACTAAACTACCCGAAGGACTTAGGTGCTTTGTGTACTTAACCCCAGGACCTCCTTACTTTTTAATATAAAGAGTGATGTTGTATTTCGTGTTCTGCACTTTTTAATATAAAGAGTGATGTTGTATTTCGTGTTCTGCGTGCTGGATTGGTTGTCTCCTCCCAGCCCTGAGCGAGGGGGGCGGGCCCTCTAGCGGGGGCGCCCAGGGAGGGCGGAAGGCGGCTCTGCGGCAGGAAGCCCCACCCCGGAAGTCGGCTGGCCATGGCGGCGCCTTGGAGGCGATGGCCCACGGGGCTGCTAGCCGTGCTGCGGCCCCTGCTCACCTGCCGGCCCCTGCAAGGCACGACGCTGCAACGGGATGTGCTGCTCTTTGAGCATGATCGGGGCCGCTTCTTCACCATCCTCGGGCTGTTCTGCGCGGGCCAGGGCGTCTTCTGGGCTTCCATGGCTGTGGCAGCCGTGTCCCGGCCCCCGGTTCCGGTGCAGCCTCTGGATGCGGAGGTCCCAAATCGTGGCCCCTTCGACCTGCGCTCCGCGCTCTGGCGCTACGGTCTGGCCGTCGGCTGCGGCGCCATCGGTAAGACGTGGGCTGGCTTCCCACTGTGACAACGTGGGGTGGCGGGACACGACCTTCCCTATACAGGCAGGGAGAGTCAGGGACTCCCTATCCGAGAGTGGCGGGCGGGCTTTACCCCACAGAAATGTGAAACACTGGCCGGGCGCGGCGGCTCAAATGCTGGGAGGCCGGAGGCGGGCGGATCACTAGGTCAGGACATCCAGACCATCCTGGCTAACACCGTCAAACCCTGTGTCTACTAAAAATACAAAAAATTAGCTGGGCGTGGTAGCAAGCGCCTGTAGTCCCAGCTACTCGGGAGGCTGAGGCAGGAGAATCAATTGAACCTGGGAGGCGGAGGTTGCAGTGAGCCGAGATGACGCCACTGCACTCCAGCCTAAGCGACCGAGCGAGACTCCCCTCTCAAAAAAAAAAATTGGGAAACAGTGATGTCTCCGAGCGCCGTGCCCTGTCATAGCCTAGGCTGAGGGCTGCCCTTCACTCTGCGACCTTGAGCAAGGTCCTTAAAGCTCTCCATCTTCCCATTAAAATGGAAACGGACATCTATTAAGGTTGTTGGGAGGAATAACAAGATTACTGGGTATAACAGGAGCTCAGTACTGCACTCCAGCCTGGCCGGCAGAGTGAGACTCAGTCTCAAAAAAAAAAGCGCTCAGTAAATACTACTTTCATCCCACAAATTTCTTATTCAGAGGGCACTGGAAAGGTCGGTACTTAGATGCCCAGTGAAAACCCCTCACCCCAATCTCTGCCCTGCCTGCAGGAGCCCTCGTACTCGGTGCTGGTCTTCTCTTCTCTCTCCGGTCTGTGCGCTCAGTGGTGCTTCGAGCTGGAGGGCAGCAGGTGACCCTCACCACTCATGCCCCCTTTGGCTTGGGGGCCCATTTCACAGTTCCTTTGAAGCAGGTATCTTGCATGGCCCACCGGGGTGAAGTCCCTGCCATGCTACCTCTGAAAGTCAAAGGCCGACGCTTCTATTTCCTCTTGGACAAAACTGGACACTTCCCTAACACAAAACTCTTTGACAATACTGTGGGTGCCTACCGGAGCTTGTGAAGAAATGACCTCAAGTCACTCACCTCTCCAAGAGGAGGATAAAAACTGAACCTTGGGGAGCCAGGTGTGTTGGTTCACACCTGTTGTAATCCCAGCACTTTGGGAGGGTGAGGCAGGAGCACTGCTCGAGCCCAGGCTGGGCAACATAGCGAGACCTTGTCTCTATTTACAAAAAAAAAAACAAAAAAAAACGCCAATCTTAGAATGGAGTAACAACCAGGGTCACACAAGGAGGTCAAGATTCATTAACAACAAATAAAGGAGCAGTCATCCCTAGGGCAGCTGCCTAACAGTACCTCTAAGTTTCAGTCCATGTCTGCTTAGCCTTCACTCCTTCCTCCTATCTAGTTGTACTTTAACATCAAAAACTCACTACTAAGATGAAGACAGTAATATAATATTTTGGTACAAAAACAGCTGCAGGAAGAGGTGGAGGGGGGCCTGTCATTATGTTTCCCCCCCACCCCCCAACGAAAGGAAAACTAAGACTCCCAACATAAACAGGGCCTTGAGGGGGGGGATTACAGGCACTTGGGCATGGAGTCTTCGGCTGCAGGAAGCACTCCGCTTATTCTTCAGGAATGGGAAAGGCGTGACCCAACGAGAGCATCTGTCTCAGAGCTCCACTCAGGGTCACCCCTCTCCAGAGGCCGGTATGGGGTGGCTTCAGACTTCCACTGCACGACCTGGAGCACCAAGACCACACACCACAATACCAAATTCACCCAAGAAGAGGTCTGTAGGAGACAGGGACAGGATCGTCAGGAGTGGGACCATTTCAAATCCAGTCCTTCCCACCCACACACCACTCTGAACTGCTGAATTTTAAGCTGACAACCCCTTCAGCTCCTCTCACTGGTAGGCCAAGCTCACAATACACTGGTGAGCACCCACACAGCTACAGATATTTATGTCAGTTTTTCCTCCTATCCTTGGGTCTCACTTCAGCATTGTGTAGGTTGGAGTAAAACTGCAGAGCAGTTCCAGGGGGTGTCCATGGAATTTTCTGGGCTTCAGAACAGCTGTGAGGTCAAAGAGACAGTTGTGAGAAAGCGTGATAGTTTATATCCGAGGCACACCTGTGCCCAGTGCCCTGTGAGTTGAGAGCAACTGATGGGGATAAAAGGAAATTATAGGACCCCGCTGCAGAGGGAAGGTAGTCAGCCCCAGCCAGGCTTCCCTCCCTCTCCCATTACCTAATTGTAGTGTTCAAGGAGATGATGGAGTTGCAGAGAGACCTGGTGCCAAATCGAAGGATACAGGCAGACACCAAGACCAGGAAGACGGCTATAGCTGAGATGGCCAGTGCAATGCGCAGCCCTATAGCACCTCTGAAAGGGAGAGAACAAGCCTTGTGGTGGAGGTGAGGCTCATCCTACCTCAGCCCCTGGCCCTCAGGGTTAGGCAGTCACCTGTGGGAGTCCTCGATGCAGCTGCTGTAGATCCAGAAGAGCAAAAGCAGGAGGCAGTAGAGGGCCAAGAGGCCAGAGGCCCCAGCTACAAAGTAGCACAGGGATGGTGCTGAGGGACGGGATAAGGCCAGGGAGGAGCCATTCAGGGTGGCCACACCATACAGGGGACATCTACCACTGAAGGAGCCCTGTGGAGAGAAGCTGCTGAGTCCTAGATTTCAGGTTAATGTCTCTAGATACAGTCTCTTGGTAGGGTGTTAGTGATAACTTAGGAATGGTCCTGCATTCCAGGAAGTTATTTGTGCACCGTCAATTCCTATTTCTGGGACAGGGATATTGATGGAGAGGGCCTGCTGGGGAATCACACCGGCAGTGGCCAGAAGGATCAGAAAATAGGCAATGAATATAGAATGCAATGAGCTTCAGAGAAGCCTCACAAGTTATGGTCTCTGTGCAGAAACCTTAGAGTAAACCCAGGCCTTGTATATCCTTCAACAAATAACTATCTGTGAGGTGCTTTTTTTTTTTTTTTTTGCTGGAGTGCAGTGGCGCCATCTCGGCTCACTGCACGCTCTGCCTTCTGGGTTCATGCCATTCTCCTGCCTCAGCCTCCTGAGTAGCTGGGACTACAGGCACCCGCCACCATGCCTGGCTAATTGTTTGTATTTTTAGTAGAGACAGGGTTTCACCGTGTTGGCCAGGATGGTCTTGATCTCCTGACCTCGTGATCCGCCTGCCACGGCCTCCCAAAGTGCTGGGATTACAGGCGTGAGCCACCAGGCCCGGCCAGTGTTTTTGTTTTTGTTTTTGCGATGGAGATTCGCTCGTCACCCAGGCTGGAGTGCAATGGCACGATCTCGACTCACTGCAACCTCCGCCTCCCAGGTTCAAGCGATTCTCCTGCCTCAGCCTCCGAAGTAGCTGGGATTACAGGCATGAGCCACCACACCCGGCTAATTTTTGTATTTTTAGTAGAGACAGAGTTTTGCCATGTTGGCCAGGCTGGTCTCGAACTCCTGACCTCAAGTGATCCGCCTGCCTCAGCCTCCCAAAGTGCTGGGATTACAGGCGTGAGTCACCGCGCCCGGCGGATCTCTGAGGTTTTCTCATGGTGTAAAATAGGCACACTAGTGCCTACTTTATAGGCATTAAATGAACCCATGTTTATTAACCAGATTACCTGGCTGGGGTAAACGATGTAAATTATTGGCTTCTACCTTTACGTCAGCGTTTTCTCCATCTCTCATTTTGTCATTTAACACACTGTGCTACAATCATGTGGCAGCTTGATCATCTCCACTACACTATGCTTTATTTCTCGACAAAGCTCAGCACAAATGGCTTCTGATTTAACGGATGGACGCAGGTTCTGCACTGACTTCTGTTTCGGAACCACAGTAAGGCTGTGCAGCAGGAGCCACGAAACCCGACTCCACCTAGTGCTTTAAGACGCTACTGACCCGTCCCTTTGGCGAGGGGACAACTTCGAAGTATGACCTGGCCAGGAGGAGCCACAAAGCGCGATTAGCCTCGCTGCATTTCAGGTACAGGCCGGCGCCAGCCGTGCCTCACCAGGTCCACCGGCTCCGAGCAGCAGCAAGCCCGGTCGGAAAGCGAAAGTGGCCTCGCCATGTCCAGACCGGCCAGCTCCCCCGCCTACCTGACCCCGCCCCGCAGCCGCACCTGGGTCCGAGTCATCGCCGCGGCCGCCACGGCCCCGCACAGGAAGGCGGCAGCAAAGAGCGCAAGCTCGACGCGCTGCAGCCAGGACAGCGCCATGGCGCCCTGACCACCAGGAAGCGCCGCTGCAGCAGCACCCCGCCCAAAGCCCACCTTATCCGGCGCGACCCACGAAGGTGGAGACGTCATTTCCGGGGGCGGGATTTATTTACAAGGAACGAAGGGGCCACTGACTCAGAGCGGCAAGTACAGCGAGTAGTCCGAGAGCGCCCACCGGCGGGCGGGGCGGCTGGTACGGCCGATCATGGGCAGTTTCTGCACGTAGCGCGAGGCCGGGCTAGGCCCGTACGGCGCGGGGAAGGCAGTCTGGAAAAGGCGCCCGCGGCAGCGCCTCCCAGCCTGCCGCCCGGCTATGATGAAACGAAAGTGCGGGGCGCCGCGCGGGGCGAAACGGCTCTTCTGGAAAACGTCGCGGGTGCCGGTCCCGGGGCCCTGCTGCCGGGGTGCCCCGCGCGCCCGATGCACGCGCGGCAAGGGCCTGCTCTCAGAGGCGGCGGGCCCAGAGGCCGACGCGGGGCCGCCTCCGCCGCTGCCCCGGGGGCTCTCGTCGCCGTGCGGGCTGACTATGGCGCTTGCCGTCAGCTGCGGCATCTTCCGCACCGAGTCCGGGGCTGCCGCCGGCTCCTTCTTGTCCCCGGGCGGCCGCGGAGCCGTGGGTGCAGGCTGGCCGGTGCCAAAGCGTGTGGCCAAGCTGTCACCGAAGAAGGCGTAGAGCTCCCGGTAGATGTCGGCCAGGGTCACCGAAAGAGAAGGGTCCTCCGGCCCCGCGCCCCCTGGCGGCAGCGGGAGGCCGGACCCAAAGCTGGGTTCTGCACCGCCCCCGGAGGACGACTCTTGAAAGAGAAGGCTGTCCCATGGCAGGTCGTCCAGGCGCCGGCACCCCCTGCCACCTGGGCCACCCCTGTTGGGCTCTGCTGCCTGGGCCTTCATCTTCAGCAGTCGCTCTACCGCCACCTGTAAGAGCCAAGGACTAAGATAGGCAAAAAATTCGAGGAACCTGGGCCCATCAAATATTCCAAAGTAAGCCTGCTTGGCTGCTAAGCTCATGCAGGGAAGGGAGGCTGGAAGGGGACGGTACTCACCAGAATGGCTCCATAGACTTTGTGTCCATCTGCTTTGACCTGGGCATTAGATACTGAATAATCATCCAGCACAGCCTGCAAGTTTGTCCAGTAGGTGGACAGGTGTGGGTACAGGACTCGTTCTACTGCCTGGAAGGAAGAGAAGGAATACAGTTAGCATGTCTTTGATACTTATTCCCTCTCAAGGACCCTTTCCCATGAAAGACCTACCTTTATCTCTGATCCTAGACAGGGCTCAATCCTCCTAAATTCCCTGATTGGCATATTCAACCATATATTTATTTGGAACCTACTGTATACCTAAGCTAGGCATTGGGAATAAAGATAAGGTACAAAGGGAGACAATAAAAAATATACCCAATATCACTGCCCTGTGTGCTAAATAATGCTCATTACTGACAACTCCAAAATTTAGTTTGCATACTGCTACCCTATACAATCAGGCAAGTACTGGCTTCACTTAGATGTAAACTGAGACTCAGTTCAAACAATCTGCATAAAAACAACCAACCAGAGACTTGGACTCTGATTATACAATTTAAAATCCTGTGATTGGACAGGCGCTGTGGCTCACGCCTGTAATCCCAGCACTTTGGGAGGCCGAGGCCAGTGGATCACCTGAGGTCAGGAGTTCAAGACCAGCTTGGCCAAGATGGTGAAACCCCATCTCTACTAAAAATACAAAAATTAGCTGGGCGCAGTAGCAGTTGCCTGTAATCTCAACTACTTGGGAGGCTGAGGCAGGAGAATCACTTGAACTCGGGGGGCAGAGGTTGCAGTGAGCCGAGATCACACCACCGCACTCCACCCTGGGAAGCAAAGTGAGACTCCGTCTCAAAAAAAAAAAAAAGAATTAACTATAAGGAAAATACCAGCTGGGCCTATAAGGAAAATACCAGCCGGGCGCTGTGGCTCACGCCTGTAATCCCAGCACTTTGGGAGGCCAAGGCAGGCGGATCAGGAGGTCAGGAGTTCGAGACGAGCCCTGGCCAGCACAGTGAAACCCCGTCTCTACTAAAAATACAAAAAATTAGCCAGGTATGGTGGTGAGCGCCTGTAATCCCAGCTACTCGGGAGGCTGAAGCAGGAGAATCGCTTGAACCCAGGAGGCAGAGGTTGCAGTGAGCCGAGGTCGCGCCATTGCACTCCAGCCTGGGTGACAGTGTGAGACTCTGTCTCGAAAAAAAAAAAAAGGAAAGAAAATACCATGCCAGAATTTACAAAAGTCTACAGACACTCAAGAAAAAGATAGGCGAGGTGCAGTGCCTCACGCTTGTAATCCCAGCACTTTGGGAAGGCCAAAGGATCACTTAAACCAAGGAGTTTGAGACCAGCCTGGGCAATGTAGGAAGACCTCATCTCTATTAAATAAAAAAAGAAAAGAAAAAGATGATCTAAATCTTATTAAAGTAAATATAAAAAAGAAATACTCCCCACATCATTCTGTAAGGCCAGTATAACCCTGATTCTAAAACCAGACAAGGACAGTACATGAGAGGAAACATGTTTAATTTCACTCCTGAATATAAACCCTTTTAAAATTTAGCAGACCCACAAGTAAATTAAAATGCATTACAGTCCAATAAAAGCTTTGGGTTTTTTCTTTACGACTATCCCATGACATAGTTTAGTGTATCATGGAACTATAAAGATTGTTTACTATCAGGAAATCTGTAATAACATTGGAAAACAAAAGCTGAAAAGCCTTCGGATCATTTCAAAAGATGCAGAAAAACCATCTGATAAAAATCCAATATAAATTGATGATAAAATTAAGAATATAGGCCAGGCACGGTGGCTCACACCTGTAATCCCAACACTTTGGGAGGCCAAGGCGGGCGGATCATGAGGCCAGGAGATCGAGACCATCCTGGCTAACACGGTGAAACGCTGTCTCTACTAAAAATACAAAAAATTAGCCGGGCATGGTGGCGGGCGCCTGTAGTCCCAGCTACTCTCGGGAGGCTGAGGCAGGAGAATGGCGTGAACCCGGGAGGCGGAGGTTGCAGTTAGCCAAGATGGCGCCACTGGACTCCAGCCTGGGTGTCAGAGCGAGACTCCGTCTCAAAAAAAAAAAAAAAATTAAGAATATATATATATGGCCAGGCACCGGTGGCTCACGCCTGTAATCCCAGCACTTTGGGAAGCCGAGGCGGGCGGAACACGAGGTCCAGAGATTGAGACCATCCTGGCCAACATTGTGAAACCCCGTCTCTACTAAAAATACAAAAATTAACTGGCCCTGGTGGTGCGTGCCTGTAAGTCCCAGCTACTCAGGAGGCTGAGGCAGGAGAATCACTTGAACCCGGGAGGTGGAGGTTGCAGTGAGCCGAGATCACGCCACTGCACTCCAGCCCGGGCGACAGTGTGAGACTCTGTCGCCCGGGCTGGAGTGTAGTGGCGCCATCTTGGCAAGATTCCATCTCAAAAAAACAAAAATCTCAAAAGCAACAAATAGAACTTATTCCAGGTATACAAAAGTGGTTCAGAAGAAGAATCCATTAATACACCTAGCATATCAACAGAATAGAACTTGTCATATTAAACCACATAATCGGCTGGGCGTGGTGGCTCATGCCTATAATCCCAGCACTATGGGAAGCCGAGGCAGGCAGACCACTTGAGGCTAGGAGTTTGAGACCAGCCTGGCTAACATGATGAAACTGCCTCTCTACTAAAAATACAAGTTAGGTGGGCATGGTGGCACGTGCCTGTAATCCCAGCTACTCGGGAGGGTGAGGTGGAAGAATTGCTTAAATCCAAGAGGGAGAGGTTGCAGTGAGCTGAGATCATGCCACTGTACTCTAGCCTGGGCGACAAGAGCAAAACTCCGTCTCAAAAAAAAAAAAAAAAGATCCTCCCTCTTAATATTATCACAGTGGCAACACCTAACTTTTTTTTTTTTTTGAGACAGAGTCTCGCTCTGTCGCCCAGGCTGCAGTGTAGTGGCGCAATCTCGGCTCACTGCAAGCTCCGCCTCCCGGGTTCACGCCATTCTCCTGCCTCAGCCTCCCGAGTAGCTGGGACTACAGGCGCCCGCCACCACACCAGGCTAATTGTTTGTATTTTTAGTAGAGATGGGGTTTCACCGTGTTAGCCAGGATGGTTTCGATCTCCTGACCTTGTGATCCGCCCACCTCAGCCTCCCAAAGTGCTGGGATTACAGGCGTGAGCCACTGCGCCCGGCGCCAACACCTAATTTTTAAAGCGTATAATCATTTGATAATTTCTACAGATGCTAAAAAGGTATGACAAAATTCAGTATCTATTCATGTGTAAAATGCTCAATACAACAGGAATTGAAGGTATTTCTTAATGTGATAATATAGAACGGGCAGGAATTTATAAAATGTGGGGACATCAGTATCTGCCATATAGGACTTTCGAAAGGATAAGACATTTACATTCAGAAAGTCAAGTATCACTGAGCCTGGCCTAAGGCCAGAACTCAATACATGGCAGTGGCAGGCACACACTATTTTGGAGATAACGATGCACAAGTACTATTTTTCTAACACAAATGGGAGTTCTTACGGCTGTGTGAGAAAGGCCAGGGTGCTCACCTTCCAGCCAAGAGCATGCAGCCCCACCACGGCTCCATAGTGGCAGCAGAGCGGCCGCACAGGATCTGCCAGGATCTTCTGCAGGGATAGCAGGATATGCTGATAGAGGCCACTTACAAGGTCCCCATGAGTCCTGTGGGAGCACCATTCAGTTAGGGAGGGGAATGAGGCATGGTGCCACCCAACAGGGCACAAGACAACACAAAGAGAATAGCATCTGTACAGCACACTCGGGAGTGCTGGGGTTAAGTGAAGAAGGCTGCCAGGGGTGACTGGCCTAGGACCTGAGGGCTGAAGAACCAATACCTTGGCGTATTTGTAATCCATTTTCAGAATCCCAGTGTGTCACAGCACACCAGCTAGGACGCTCCTAGGGAAAAGGTTCCCCATCTTCTCATAGACTCTCAAAGCCAGAGGCTTCGCCCCATTTCCTTACCCCAACCCACTTGGCTCTGCAGCAATCCCACCCGCAGGTTTAGGCCCAGTGGCTACCAGAAGATGTGGCTGAGCAGGAGGGCAGCCCCATCCCGCAGAGTCCAGTGGTCATTCAGGGGGTTGATGGAGGCAGCCAGTGGCTCCAGGACACAGTAGAGGACACTGCCCACCAGACAGCGGACATAGGGCCCCAAGCACAGGTGCGGATTACGAAATAGGCTCCGTGCCACCTGCAGCAGCCGGTGCAGTTGCTCCAGGTCATGGCTTACAGATTTCACCTGTTGGGAGAAGAGGGTAGCTTACAGGGACATGAGGGGACAGGCAGGAGCCCACCATTCTGACAGCACTTGCCATGAGCCCTACACCTGCTGGGTCATCTCTTCCTTATAAAACATTCTCCCTGTCCCAGCCTGGTCACTTACCCCACTGACCACATAAACAAAGTAAGGCAGGAGTGCCCCAATCTTGGAGTTCGTCTGCAAGTCCTGGAGTGCAACCTAAAAGGAAGGGCCCAGACTGCATTGGATCCACCAGAAAATTGTAAAACATGAATGCGGTATTCTTCTGGAAGACAGTGTATCACCTTATTCATGTTTTACAATTTTAATGTTCATATTCTTTGATCTAGCAATTCTATTTCTATAAATGTAACCTACAGAAACTCATTCACATATACCTGCATATGGCCCTGAATACAACCTGAATGTCCAACTTTTTTTTTTTTTTTTGAGACCGAGTCTCGCTCTGTCGCCCAGTGGCACGATCTTGGCTCACTGCAAGCTCCACCTCCCAGGTTTTACACCATTCTCCTGCCTCAGCCTCCCGAGTAGCTGGGACTACAGGCGCCTGCCACCACACCCGGCTAATTTTTTCTATTTTTTAGTAGAGACGGGGTTTCACCGTGTTAGCCAGGATGGTCGCGATCTCCTGACCTCGTGATCTGCCCACCTCAGCCTCCCAAAGTGCTGGGATTACAGGCGTGAGCCACCGCGCCCGGCCATCCAACATTTTTAACTGAGAAAGGCAATCTATAAAACCAGATGCTTAATATAATACCACTTAGGTTTTTATGAGAGTAATCATAGTTGATACAGAGAAAAAAAAGTAGGTGGAGGAATAGACTTTTCAGTTTCTTTTTCTTTTTTTTTTTTCTTTGAGATGGAGTCTCGCCCTGTCGCCCAGGCTGGAGTGCAGTGGCTCAATCTCAGCTCACTGCAACCTCTGCCTCCTGGGTTCAAGCAATTCTTCTGCCTCAGCCTCCCAAGTAGCTGGGATTACAGGCGCCCACCACCACGCCCAGCTAATTTTTGTATTTTTAGTAGAGACAGGGTTTTGCCATGTTGACCAGGCTAGTCTCGAACTCCCGGCCTCAAGCAATCCACCCGCCTCGGCCTCCCAAAGTGCTGAGATTACAGGCGTTAGCCACCGTGCCCGGCCCTTTTTTTTTTTTTTTTGAGATGGAGTCTCACTCTATTGCCCAGGCTGGAGTGCGGTGGCGCGATCTCGGCTCATTGCAACCTCTGCCTCTTGGGTTCAAGCGATTCTCCTGCATCAGCCTCGCAAGTAGCTAGGATTACAGACGCATGCCACCAAGCCCGGCTAATTTTCTGGTATTTTTAGTAGATATCCAACGGGAAATCACCATGTTGGCCAGGCTGGTCTCGAACTCCCGGCCTCACATGATCCACCCACCTCGGCCTCCCAAACTGCTGGGATTACAGGCGTGAACCACCGCACCCAGCCACTTTCTTTTTCTATGTTTTTATATTATATGTACTTCTACAGTAAACATGTACTAGTATTACTTTTTCGTTTTTCTTTGAGACGGAGTTTCGTTCTATCAGCCAGGCTGGAGTGCAGCAGCGTGATCTTTTTTTTTGAGATGAAGTTTTGTTCTTGTTGCCCAGGCTGGAGTGCAATGGCACAATCTCAGCTCACAGCAACCTCTGCCTCCCAGGTTCAAGCGATTCTCCTGCGTCAGCCTCCTGAGTAGCTGGGATTACAGGCGTCCACCACCACACGTGACTAATTTTTGTATTTTTAGTAGAGACGGGGTTTCACCATGTTAGCCAGGCTGGTCTTGAACTCCTGACCTCAGGTGATCCACCTGAGTGGTGTGATCTTGACTCACAGCAACCTCTGCCTCCTGGGTTCAAGCAATTCTCCTGCCTCAGCCTCCCGAGTAGCTGGGATTACAGGCACCCACCACAACAGCCAGTTAATTTTGTATTTTTAGTGAAGATGGGGTTTCACCATGTTGGACAGTCTGGTCTCGAACTCCTGACTTCAAGTGATCCGCCCACCTCTGCCTCCCAAAGTGCTGGGAGGCCAAGGAAGGATTGCTTGAGGGCAGGAGTTTCACCAGCCTGGGCAATACAGTGAGACCCTGTCTCTAAAAAAAAAAAAAAAAAAAATATATATATATATATATATATATAGGCTCACGCCTGTAATCCCACCACTTTGGGAGGCAGAGGCGGGTGGATCACCTGAGGTCAGGAGTTTGAGACCAGCCTGGCCAACACGGTGAAACCTCATCTCTACTAAAAATGCAAAAATTAGCCAGGCATGGTGGTATGCCCCTGTAATCCCAGCTACTTGGGAAGCTGAGGTGGGAGAATTGCTTGAACCCAAGAGGTAGAGGCTGCAGTGAGCCAACATCACACCACTGCACTCCGGCCTAGGTGACAGAGCAAGACCCCATCTTAAAAAAAATGTTTTTTTAATTAAAATAATAAATAAAAATTTAAATGTTCATAGAATTAGGCCGGGCACAGTGGCTCACACCTGTCATCCCAACACTTTGGGAGGCCAAGGCGGGTGGATCACCTGAGGTCGGGAGTTCGAGACCAGTCTGACCAACATGCTGAAACCCCCGTCTCTATTAAAAATATAAGGCTGGGCACGGTGGCTCACACTTGTAATCCCAGCACTTTAGGAGGCTGAGGCAGGTGGATCACAAGGTCAGGAGATCAAGACCATCCTGGCTAACACGGTGAAACCCCGTCTCTACTAAAAAATACAAAAAATTAGCCGGGTATGTTGGCGGGCACCTGTAGTCCCAGCTACTCGGGAGGCTAAGGCAGGAGAATGGCATGAACCCAGGAGACGGAGCTTGCAGTGAGCCGAGATCGCGCCACTGCACTCCAGCCTGGGTGACAATGCAAGACTCCGTTTCAAAAACAAAACAAAACAAAACAAAATTAGCCGGGCATGCTGGCACACGCCTGTAATCCCAGCTATTCAGGAGGCTGAGGCAGGAGAATCACTTGAACCTGGGAGGCAGAGGGTGCGGTGAGCTGAGATCATGCCATTGCACTCCAGCCTGGGCAACAAGAGCGAAACTCTGTCTCAAAAAAAAAAAAAAAAAACAGGTCTAGAATTTACAATTTCAACTTTGTGCCCCAACTTGGGCCCACTCGCTCACCTTCATCAGTTGCGGATCATCCCCTAGCACAGCACGAGTCACCTGGTGATAGTACTTGAGAAGGTCATCTGTCAGTGAAGACACAGCACTGGGCACTGCCAGAGGACAGGCAGGAAGCAGGGACAGGTGGAGAGCTGGCCCTCTCCTGGCCTCTCCAGCCTCCTCCCCCTCAACCACCATCCCCACACACATCCACAAGAAGCCTTTCTGACAGGACAACCAGGGCAAGAGACTGCTCTTAGAGCCTGCTCAGCCCTGACCATCTAGGCTCTGCACACCTCTGTGCTCTGTCCTGTCTTCCACCCACCCTCTGCCAGACGGACTCCTGAGAGCTTCAGGCTCTGTGAAGCTCTGCTCAGCATACCCTGGGGGTGAAACACCGCCCCAGCATGCTGCCCAGACTTCTGTCTTAGCATCCAACATGCTGCATTATGACTAGTTACAGGTCTGGGCCCCCATCTCCAACTCTGAGCCCTCCATGCAGAGCCCAGCGCCCACTCAGACCATGGCACAAGGCAGGCATGGGTAAACACATGTTAGACGCAGACTCGGGGGCACATAGGCACCACCCTCAGAACCTAAGGGAGAAAATTCATCCAAAGAGCCTGTTTCCTACATCACCCCTTACCCGATCCTTGAGGTGCCAGGTTCCCTTTGCCATCCAGGTAGGAGACATGAACTAGAAGCAGTGCAGAGAGATGTGTCAGCCTGGCGTTTTGCCCCTTAGAGTACCGCCTACCCCTCCAAGTTCTGCCTCTTCCACCAGCCAGCCCATCACCACTTCTCTTCACGGCCCAACTCCCATCCCCAACCCATGCAGGACCCCGGCAGCCACCTCTGACAGCTGTCTCAGCACAGCCTTTGGGGATGTTGGTAGCCAGGGCCAGCTCCACCAGGTTCACCTCTCGATCCTCAGGAAAGTAGAGTTCACCCTCCCTGGCGGGGCGCATGGGCAGTGCCTCCTGTGATCCGTAACCACACACAGCCTGAGGAAAAAGGGAATTGGAGAGCAGCCTGAATCCAGGGAGGGAGCAGGCGTCAGGATCCAGGATGAGGCTCCACTGACCAGAGCAGAGAGCCCACGTTTGAAGGAAGTCCAGAAGTCCCAAGAAAAGTGGTGGAAGCCTGGGACTCAGAGCCACCACTGGGGACTTGCCTGGAGCATCCGGGGCTCCCTGGGTCAAGGGAAAGAACATGGTCGCTCCTCCCATAACTGGAAGGGTCCTGAGCCCCACACCAAGCACTGGTCCTCCTTATTCACACTCACTCAACTTTGAAAACTCACTAATGTCTTCTAAACATAGCCTTCCTCTCTCAACTCACCGCTCCAGAAAAACCACACCATGAGGCCCTAACACCCACACTGTTGCTCAGGCTCCTCCCTTAGCCTGAATGCCTTCTTTTCCTCTTGGCCTAGTTTAAGCCAAGCTCAAGTTCTTCACCACCCTTTAAGGGCCAGCTCCAGTCCCACCTCCTCCAAAAAGCTTTCTCTAACCTCTGGGCCTCCAGTGGCCTCCTCTCCCTCTTTTCTGAACACATAGCCCAGGTGGGCTGGGCCTAGCACCTGGTCTGCTGTTGCTATCAGGGTCTTGCTTCCCTTATGTGTGCGTTTAGTCTTTTTTTCTTTTTTTTGTTTTGAGACAGAGTTTTGCTCTTTCGCCCAGGCTGGAATGCAGTGGCGTGATCTCGGCTCACTGCAACCTACGCCTTCCAGTTTCAAGCGATTCTCCTGCCTCAGCCTCCCAGGTAGTTGGGATTACAGGTGCCCACCACCACACCCAGCTAATTTTTGTGTTTTTTTGGTTGTTTTTTTTTTTGACATGGAGTCCTGCTCTGTCACCCAGGCTGGAGTACAGTGGCACAATCTCAGCTCACTGCAACCTCTGCCTCCCAGGTTCACGCGATTCTCCTGCCTCAGCATCCTGAGTAACTGGGGTTACAGGCGCCCACCGCCACGGCCAGCTAATTTTTGTATTTTTAGTAGAAACGAGGTTTCACCATGTTGGGCAGGTTGGTCTCAAACTCCTGACTTCGTGATCCGCCGGCCTCCACCTCCCAAAGTGCTGGGATTTTAGGTGTAAGCTCCTGTGCCCGGCCTTTTTTTTTTTTTTTTCTTTTTTTGAGACAGGGTCTTGCTCTGTTGCCCAGGCTGGAGTGCAATCTCAGCTCACCACAACCTCTGCCTGCTAGGTTCAAGCGATTCTCATGCCTCAGTTTCCTGACTAGATGGGATTACAGACATGTACCACCAGGCCCAGCTAATTTCTGTATTTTTAGTAAAGAAGGGGTTTCGCCATGTTGGCCAGGCTGGTCTTGAAGTCCTGGCCTCAAGTGATCCGCCCACCTCGGCCTCCCAAAGTGCTGGGATTACAGGCATGAGCCACCATGCCCGGCAGCGTTTGGTCTTAATGTCTCACCACATCGCCAGCCCTGAACTGGACATGGAAGTGGCCTCATGCCACCTGAGCCCTCTGTAGCCTGCACCCCACTCACCTCCACGCTGCTCCATCTGAGGGCCCTGTTGAAGTCCTCAACCGTCAGCTTCCGGCGTTTGGTGTGCTTCATGAACTGAGAGCTATTCTGGGAGGGAGGGAACAAAAGCCAGAGTCAAAGGATGTGAAGCAGGGGGCATGGGAAACCCCAAATGAAGTGGGCCAGACTGGAGAGAAGGCAAACAGGAGACCACGCTTAGGGATCAGAAGCCTAGATTCCGTCTCTGCTCCTGTACAAAAACACCCCCCGGGTGTCACATCTTCTGTCAACACCTCAGTTTCTCACATGCAGAATGTGAGTATCTACCCGCTCTGCCTGCCCAACAGGGCTGTTGTGAGGAGCACATGGGAAGATGCCTGGCAAGCGCTTTGTCTGCTGGAAGCCCAGACAGCTACAAGTAGAGTTCTGTAAAGGCATGGACTGTCTCTGTTGTATGGAGCAGGCACCCAGTGTACACTTGAATAAATCAGCGAGGGTGGAGGTTAGTAAAAAGGCAGAAACAAGGAAAGTTGGAGGTATCAGGGGGTGAGGGGAGTGTACCTGCGTGGCCTCTCTCAGACGATAGCACACGTCCTCTGCGAGCAGCGCCGCCACCTCATCGCTCAGCTCCAGGCCCGTGCTCTCCGCCATGAGCCGGACAGACTCCCGAGGGATCTCCACAAACCGCCGCTCTTCTCGCTCTGACATGGCCCCAGTGGAGCTGGGAGTGGAGAATGAAGACTGGAAAAGCTGCCCAGCCTCCCGGAGAGCCCAGGAGTGTGATCCAACACCCTCCACACCAGCCTTGCTGCTCGTGCTCTGGAGTTTCTAAACAAGGAGCTCTGAGTACCCAGATGAGGAAAGTGAGGCTCAGAGAAGGAAACAGACTGGCCAGTGGGTCAAGAACGGTGAAGCTAGACAAAGTCCAAAGTGTTGGGGTTCACAGAACTAGGTCCCATTCCTGCCCTGTCACCTTCTATGTGAATTTGGCCAAGGCCTTCATCAGTCTGAGCCCTTGTGTCCTAAACTGTAAAACAGGCACAATAATTCCTGCCCTCTCTAGCTCACAGGGTTGCTGTGAAAATGAGATGACTGATATGATTTGGCTGTGTCCCCGCACAAATCTCACCTTGAATTTTAATAATCCCCACGTGTCAAGAGCGGGACCAGGTGGAGATAACTGAATCAAGGGGACATTTTCCCCCATGCTGTTCTCCTGATAGTGAGTTCTCAAAAGATCTAATGGTTTTATAAAGAGCTTTTCCCCCTTTTGCTCGGCACTTCTCCTAGCTGCAGCCACATGAAGAAAGACATGTTTGCTTCCTCTTCCACCATGACTGTAAGTTTCCTGAGGCCTCCCCAGCATTGAGTCAGTTAAACCTCTTTCCTTTATACATTACCCAGTCTTTTCTTTTTTTTTTTTTTTTTTGAGACAGAGTCTCGCTCTGGCGCCAGGCTGGAGTGTAGCAGCGCGATCTCAGCTCACTGCAACCTCCGCCTCCCGGGTTCAAGTAATTATCTGCCTCAGCCTCCTGAGTAGCTGGGATTACAGGTACCTGCCACCACGCCCGGATGGCTAAATTTTTTTTTTTTTTTTTTTGAGACGGAGTTTTGTTCTTGTTGCCCCCAACTCTCCTGCCTCAGCCTCCCAAGTAGCTGGGATTACAGGCACGTGCCACCACGCCCAGCTAATTTTTGTATTTTTAGTAGAAACAAGATTTCGCCATGTTGGCCAGGCTGGATAGTAGCTGGGCTTTCTGCCTATGTGTTTGGTCTTCCCCAGTTTGGCTGCAGTGCCTAAATGCTGGAACCTGTTTTGTTCACAGGGTATAGCACAATAAGAAACCGACAAAAACAGCAGCTGATGACTCACTCCAACAACGCACAGCACCAGAAGGTAGGCTCCCGTGCGCCAAAGTGATGCATCCACACCTCAGACAGGAAGGCCCAGATCCAGGATGACCCACCCAGGCATTGCCCCCACTACTCCTCTGGCAGGGGATCAATGGGTCACCAGTGACGTCCAGGTCCCTACATCCAATGGACAGCTATGTGGCTTCTGTGCAGCACTCCTCCCAATGGCTCCCCATTGTCTTTGAAATAAAGAACAAATTTGGGCCGGGCGCGGTGGCTCACGCCTGTAATCCCAGCACTTTGGGAGGCCGAGGCAGGCGGATCACAAGGTCAGGAGATCCAGACCATCCTGGTTAACACGGTGAAACCCCATCTCTACTAAAAATACAAAAAATTAGCTGGGCTTGGTGGCGGGCGCCTGTAGTCCCAGCTACTCGGGAGGCTGAGGCAGGAGAATGGCGTGAACCCAGGAGGCGGAGATTGCAGTGAGCCGAGATCACGCCACTGCACTCCAGCCTGGGCAACAGAGCAAGACTCCGTCTCAAAAAAAAAAAGAAATAAAGAACAAATCTGAACAATGGCTCTGGAGGCTCTGCATGTACTGCCTACTTCTGCAATACCTCTTACCTCTTATCTCCTACTTTCTTGTGTTCTGTATTCCCACCTGTGTCCTCCTTTCAGTTCCTCAAATACACCTATTTTAGGACCTTTGAACACTGCTTCCTCCACTTGGAACTCTCTCCTCCCTGTCCTCCACCCCCAATCCCTTTGTCTAGTGAACTGCTACTCACTCCTTCAGATTTCAGTTCAAATGTCACTTGCTCAGGGATGTCTTCCTAGATCCTCCAATGTCCTTGCATTCTGCCTCCAAACCAGTCGTAAGAATTTGTAGCTGGACCCAGTGGCTCACGCCTCTAATCCCAGCACTTTCGGAGGCCAAGGCGGGCGAATCACCTGAGGTCAGGAGTTCAAGACCAGCCTGACCAACATAGAAAAACCCCCATCTCTACTACAAATACAAAATTAGCCAGGTGTGGTGGCACATGCCTGTAATCCCAGCTACTCGCAAGGCTGAGGCAGGAGAATCGCTTGAACCCGTGAGACAGAGGTTGCAGTGAGTCAAGATCGCACCAGTGCACTCCATTCTGGGTAACAAGGGGAAAACTCCGTCTCAAAAAAAAAAAAAAAATTGTAGGCCGGGCGCAGTGGCTCATCTGTAATCCCAGCACTTTGGGAAGCCAAGGCGGGTGGATCACAAGGTCAGGAGTTCTAGACCAGCCTGGACAATATGGTGAAACCTCGTCTCTACTAAAAATACAAAAATTAGCTAGGCATGGTGGTCCGCGCCTGTAGTCCCAGCTACTCCGGAGGCTGAGGCAGGAGAATTGCTTGAACCCGGGAGGTGGAGGTTGTAGTGAGCCAAGATCGCACCACTGCACTCCAGCCTGGGCGACAGAGCAAGACTCCATCTCAAAAAAAAAAAAATTTGTAATTATAGGCCAGGCATGGTGGCTCACGCCTGTAATCCCAGCACTTTGGGAGGCCGAAGCTGGTGGATCACGAGGTCAGGAGATGAAGACCATCCTGGCTAACACGGTGAAACCCTGTCTCTACTAAAAATACAAAAAATTACCCAGGAGGCTGAGGCAGGAGAATCACTTGAACCCAGGAGGCAGAGGCTGCAGTGAGCCGAGATTGCACCACTGCACTCCAGCCTGGATGACAGAGCTAAACTCAGTCTCAAAAAAAACACAAAACAAAAAACAAAAACAAACAAAAAAAAAAGATCTTCTAAAAGAAAGAAAGAAGAACTATTCTTTTTTTTTTTTTTTGGAGATGATGTCTGATGTCTCACTCTGTCACCCAGGCTGGAGTGCAGTGGCTTGATCTCGGCTCACTAAAACCTCCGCTTCCCGAGTAGCTGGGATTACAGGCCTGTGCCGCCACACCTGGCTAATTTTTGTATTTTTAGTAGGGATGGAGTTTCGCCATGGTAGCCAAGCTGGTCTGGAACTCCTGACCTCAGGTGATCCGCCCACCTCGGCCTCCAAAGTGCTGAAATTACAGGCGTGAGAGCCACCGCACCTGGCCCGACGAGCTTTTTTTTTTTTTTTGGAGACACAGTCTCGCTCTGTCACCCAGGCTGGAGTACAGTGGCGTGATCTCGGCTCACTACAACCTCTGCCTCCCTGGTTCAAGCAATTCTCCTGCCTCAGCCTCCCGAGTAGCTAGGACTACAGGCATACGCCGCCATGCCCAGCTAATTTTTTGTATTTTTAGTAGAGACGAGGTTTCACCGTGTTGCCCAGGCTGGCCTCGAACTCCTGAGCTCAGGCAATCCAGGTGCCTCGGCCTCCCAAAGTGCTAGGATTACAGGCGTGAGCCACCGCGCCCGGCCACGAATAGCACTGTACTATGCCTGAGACACAGCTAAGTGCTTTATATGGATTACTTCACTATATTCTCAATAATAAGATATTATTATGTATTTCGTCTATTTCACAGGCAAGGAAATCAAACCTCAGAGGCTAAATGTTCCATGACTTCTCCAAGATCATGAAGTAAGCACTGAGTAAGTAGGGAGGGGGAGCAAGGACTCAACCCCTTGCTCCTAATCTTTACTCTATACCGCATTCAGGAGCCGCCAGCTGTATGGGGAACAAGGCCTGGATCCCACCCCAAAGACATGGATTGGAGACCCACCCCTTGGTGACCCTAGACCCGCCAATAGATCGTTGTGAAGCTGCAGTTTCCCTATCTGTAAAATGGGAGCATTTAGTCCACCAGCGCGAAAGGCACGGAGGGAGTTTCCCTATTATATGACCGTACACGAAATCTAGACTGTGACCAAAGTCTCCCGCTCCTCAGCCTCCTCTCCTCCGCATCCTCAGCCACTAGTCACGCTGGAGAGGAGGCGTGGGAACTGACCTCCGCGGGCCGGGCCTCGGCAACGCGCATCCTCCCACCCGGCCTAGCCCAGCCCAGATCGGGGAGGGGGTGCGCGGGGGGAGGAGGTCAGGGGTCACTGAACTTGGGTCACGTGGTCAGCCAAGGGGGCGGGCCCTCGCGGTGCGGGCTCCAAGACTGGTGAGTAAGCAGTCGGCGTCGGGAATGGGGAGTCCTTGGACCAGAGCAAGGCCTGCTCACCTGAAGACCCCGGCGTGGCGAAGGCTGCTACCGAGACGACGGCGGCGGGGGCGGTGGCGGCGGCGCCCACTCACGAGCTCACACTCATTCCCTCTCCCGGGGCCCCGGCCCCGCCCTCCCCAATACAGCCAGTCGGCGGGCGCCTTGGAAAGTTTCCGGCCCTCCAGGAGGCTTCCTGGCTCTTGATTGGCCAGTGTGAACAGACTGTAGAGACCGGCGGTCACGTGACGCTGAAGATTCCCGCTTCTTAAAGCAACCTCTCTTGCTACGTTTGCGAGTAGGTGTGTATTGTTTTAACACACGTTTAATAAGCATATTTTATTTTTTTTACCACCACAATAGTAACGAGGAAATAAACAGTCTCAAAGACAGCGTCTTGATTTTCTTTGTCTTGTTTGCTCGCGAGTTTCTGAGCACCCGCATTTTCGCGACTGCAGCAAAGCTTTAGATTTTGGTGTCTGGCTTAGTTTTCCTGCCCGGCCTACCTCCCCAACATCACATGCCACTTCCCCTTCCTGAAGGGATAGATGGGGCTCTCGGTAGGTGTTCTCGGCAGGCAGAAGGGACTTCTGACCCGGCCGAACATCCCGTGCAAGCTCCGGACTCCAGGGTTCTGCTCTTTCTGCACCTACTTCGCATTCTCCCCACGCCTGTGAACCAAATACAAGCCCTGGCCTACCTCGCCTTGCATGACCGTTGGACACGCACACTGACAGCTCTCTTTCTCCAACTCCCACTGCAATAGCAGCTACTTGGGCAGTTCTTAATTGATAAGCAGTGGGCTTAGTGAGTAAAGGATGGTATTTGGAATCAGACCGACCTGGGTTAAAATTCTGACACTGCCTTTGGGCAAATTACCTAATATGGAGTAATAATGCGCACTTCACAGGGTTGTTGTAAATTAATGTCTGTGAGAGTCCCTGGCAGAGTTGGAGGTTAAACTTCTTTCCCGGCCGGGCGCGGTGGCTCACGCCTGTAATCCCAACATTTTGAGAGGCCGAGGCGGGGGATCACCTGGGGTCGGGAGTTCAAGACCAGCCTGATCAACATGGAGAAAAATCCATCTCAACTAAAAATACAAAATTAGCCGGGTGTGTTGGCACATGCCTGTAATCGCAGCTACTCGGGAGGCTGAGGCAGGAGAATTGCTTGAACCCGGGAGGCGGAGGTTGTGGTGAGCCGAGATCGCGCCACTGCACTCCAACCTGGCCAACAAGAGTGAATCTCCGTCTCAAAAAAAAAAGAGAGAAACTTTCTTTCCCTCACATGTCACAAGGCATACAGTGAATTCCTTTAAGTTCACCCAAGATGGGGTAGTTTGCACTGAGTGAACTGTGGGAACATTCTGCAAGGGAGCATGAATGTACACATTTTTTCTCTTTCCCCCTCTCAGGGTTAGATGCTGCTGCCGCTGGAAAAGAAAATCCCCTGGGACCCGAGCTGGCAAAGCCAGATGGATGCGACTGTGGTTGCCATGGCAACCCCACCTAAGGAGAATGTGACCCTGCTGAGTCTCTTCCACTCATATTCAGAACCATATTAGAAGTGGTTTCAAGTGTCTGCCCACCTGTGCGTTAAGGGAAAGAGAGAGGGCGCTCTCCTCTAAGGTCTGACTGAGCCTGAAGTCAGCTTAGCCAGACCTGGGCAGCTGGCTGACCTCCTTGCTTAGGTTTACTGTTCTGGACAGCCATCAGCAACCTTGGAGACACTAGAAGATGGGAGGGAGACCGGGACTGCCCGGGACCTATTAGATGTAGTGAACCTGTATCCAACCTGTCTGGAGCTCATTTGCTCCCAATCTGAGTGGAGGCAGGAACCAGGGAAGGCAGTAGTGAGACCTCCATGGCCACAGATGGGAGAAAGGTGGCTCGCTCCACACACCCAATGCCTGGCAAGAACTATGATGGCTTTGGTGTCAGACTTTTTTTCTTTTTTCCTTTTTTTGAGACGGAGTAACACCCTGTTGCCCAGGCTGGAGTGCAGTGGCGCAATCTTGGCTCACTACAACCTCCACCTCCCAGGTTCAAATGATTCTCCTGCCTCAACCTCCCAAGTAGCTGGGATTACAGGCACTTGCCACTACCACCAGCTAATTTTTGTGTTTTTAGTAGAGACAGGGTTTTCACCATGTTGGCTAGGCTGGTCTCCAACTCCTGACCTTGTGATCCACCCGCCTCTGCCTCCCAAAGTGCTGGGATTACAGGCATGAGCCACTGTGCCTGGTCAAAGTCAGACTGTTTTTATTCATTTATTTTTATTTTTATTTATTTTTTGAAACTGAGTCTCGCTCTGTCGCCCAGGTTGGAGTGCAGTGGCGTGATAGCTCACTGCAACCTCTGCCCTCCCAGTTTCAAGTGATTCTCCTGCCTTAGCCTCTGGAGGAGCTGGGATTACAGGTGTCCGACACCATGCCTGGCTAAGTGCTGTAAGTTTTGTATTTTTAGTAAAGATGGGGTTTCGCCATGTTGGCCAGGCTGGTCTTCAACTCCTGACCTTGTGATCCGCCCGCCTCAGCTTCCCGAAGTGCTGGGATTACAGGCATGAGCCACCATGCCCGGCCAATTTTTTTTTTTTTTTTTTTTTGAGACAGAGTCCTTGCTCTGTTGCTAAGGCTAGAATGCAGTGGAGCAATCTCAGCTTACTGCAACCTCCACCTCCCCGGTTCAAGCGATTCTTGTGCCTCAGCCTCCTGAGTAGCTGGGATTACAGGCACGCACCACCATACCTGGCTAATTGTCGTATTTTTAGTAGAGACTGGGTTTTGCCATGTTGGCTAGGCTGTTCTCAAACTCCTGACCTCAAGTGATCCGCGCACCTCGGCCTCTCAAAGTGCTGGGATTACAGGCATGAGCCACCACAACAAGCCCAGACTGTTTTTAAAAAATCACAGCTCACCAGCTGTGTGACCTTAGGCATATTAGTTCACCTGTCTGACCTGTCTCATCAACTATAAAGCGGGATAACGAAATCTACTCCATGGAACTGTTGTGAAGATTCAGAAAAGTGTGTAAAGGATTTAGCATGTTGCCAAGCACATGGTACTCTATTAGCCTGTGACCGCTTTAGGAGGCTGTAACTTTCAGAATCCCTTAGTACCAACCTTAAAAGCTCAGAAGAGGCGGGGCGCGGCGGCTCATGCCTGTAATCCCAGCACTTTGGGAGGCCGAGGCGGGCAGATCACCTGAGGTCAGGAGTTTGAGACCAGCCTGATCAACATGGAGATACCTTGTCTCTACTAAAAATACAAAATTAGTTGGGCGTGGTGGCACATGCCTGTAATCCCAGCTACTTGGGAGGCTGAGGCAGGAGAATCCCTTGAACCCAGGAGGCGGAGGTTTCGGTGAGCCAAGATCGTACCATTGCACTCCAGCCTGGGCGACAGAGTGAGACTCTGTCTCAAAAAAAAAAAAAAAAAAAAGCTCAGAAGAGTTCTGGAAACCATCTCCAGGGCATCCCCACTTGTTCCCTTCCCCACTAGAGTGCCAGGCTTTTTTTTTTTCCTTTTTTTTTTTAATTAGTGCCAGCCTTTTCGATGCCACACCCTACATCCTCACCAGCACCCACATGCTCAGGATCCATGAGCTGCTTCTCTGTCCATCAATTTCTTCCTTTCAGGCTTGGTGTTATTCCCCTATTTGAGAACTTAGGAAGAACTCCAGGACTCCAGTGATCCTCCCACCTCAGCCTCCTAAGTACCTGAGACTACAGATACACACCACTGCACTGGCTTTGGGATGCATTATATAATAATTATGATAATTAAAAGTTGAGTGCCCATCATGGACCAGGCTCTATGCCAGCCACTTGAACATATGATGTCTGATACAGCAGCCTCCAAAGAGGGTTTTCTGCCCATTTTATAATGAGGAAACAGAAGGTCATCCAGCTAAGACTCTTTTCTTTTCTTTTTTTTTTTTTTTGAGATGGAGTCTCACTCTGAAGCCCAAGCTGGAGTGCAGTGGAGGGATCTCAGCTCACTGCAACCTCCCCCTCCCGGGTTCAAGCAATTTACCTGCCTCATCTCTTATCCTCTTGAGTCCAGCTAAGACTTAAACCAGCTCTGTATCAATCCAAATACCATGCTTTCTTGTTTTCTGCCACAGAGCTCTGTTTCCCAGGGAAGTCAAAGAAAGTTAAAGAAAAAATAATAATAATAATTGAAATGAGATTTCATAGATTAGTAGATAGGAAATGGACAAGCTGGGAAAGGGCATTCCAAGGTAGACAAAATAGTATTGCAGAGGTATAGTGCCAGGGAAAATTGGCATGTTTCTTTAATCCTGTAGGCATTTCATACATTTTTTGTCACCCTAACTAGATTGTGAGCCCTTTTACATCTTCAGTTCAGTTTAGTATAGTGATATACTATTGTTTATATACCCAACTTAGGAAAGGCTGTGTTGAGATCCTACAGTCTGTGTCATTACTAGCCTCTTATTCATCTCTCCCTGTCTGCTGTCTCCTCTCCCTTCTTTCCCAGCTATGCTCTTGGTTACTTTTAAGGGCAGGAGAAGAGCAAACACTCTGGAACTAGATCAGGACCCAGAATGCCACTAATGATGGTATCATTTGCTGGAAGCCAAAGACCCAACATCAGAGCCTTGACTTCAGTGAGGTCACCTTTAAACCTGGACAAATGGGTTAGTCAGTTCCCCTGGGTGGCTGAGGCTAGTAGAGGCATCAGTCTAAGAAAAAGAGGGGCTAGTAAGCAGCCAACTCCACAGCCTCTTTAAAGAGTTATTGTTCCTGCTAAAAAAAAAAAAAGAAGATAACACTTCCATGAGAACCAAGGACTTTTTATACTTAGAACACATACTGAAAAATGAGGAGGCAGTAGTTAAGCTACAAGAAGCACCAGATGCCTTCTGGGATGAGTTGCCTTCCTTGCCTCCACAACAGCAGCCAGACTGGACCTCTGGACAACATGATAAGTGTGACAATCACACTTCCTAGAGTAGGACCAAGGGTAGGAGGCCACCAGGCTCAGCTTACAAGCCCTGCGAAACCAGAAAAAGCATATCAGTTAGAACCGGAATTTAGGGTAGCCACAACCATGTACTCCTCATCCCAAGGCAAATGTCCTGGATCTTTCAAGCAGACAGCATGAAAGTTTCTTCTGTCTCTCTGATTTGGGCATTGAATCCTATATTACTCCCCACCCCCACACATCCCTTCTCCAGGCAATAACCCCAGCACCTATGATCAGGCACTCACCCAAGTAATCGTCCATCAGGGAGCCAATAGCAAACTGCAAGAAAGATGGTAAAAAGAAAGTGAAGCCAAGATGAGCACAGAACCAACCTCCACCCTGCAGCCCCAGGCCTTCTGCCCATCCATCCCTTCTTCCTGGCAGAAGAGCACAGAACCCCCTGAAACTGTGGGTGGTAAGAAATCGACAGCTCTCGGCCAGGCGCGGTGGCTCACACCTGTAATCCCAGCACTTTGGGAGGCCGAGTCGGGTGGATCATTAGGTCAGGAGATCGAGACCATCCTGGCTAACATGGTGAAACCCTGTCTGTACTAAAAATATAAAAAATTAGCCAGGTGTGGTGGCGGGCGCCTGTAGTCCCAGCTACTCGGGAGGCTGAGGCAGGAGAATGGCATGAACCCGGGAGGCAGAGCTTGCAGTGAGCCGAGATCGCGCCACTGCACTCCAGCCTGGGTGACAGAGCAAGACTCCGTCTCAAAAAAAAAAAAAAAAGAAAAAAGAAATCGACAGTTCTCAGCTCAACCTGGTATAGGTAGAGAGGTGGGGAAAAGACTCACAATGTCATTCTTGTCCACACGGGTCCCCACAATCTTTAAGCGGATCTCATCGTCCTGCTGAATCACAATATCCTGAGGAGAGGAGGGAACAGTGTACAGATGCTCCTCAGTTTATGAGAAGTTACATCACAATCACTTCACTGTAAGCCCGGGGGCATATTGAATGCACATCACTTTCACACCATCGTAAAGTCATAAAATCATGAATCAAGCCATGGTAATTCGGGGACCATCTGTACTCAGCCATCCCCAGGCCAATATTCTCCCTCAGGATGGCTGATTCTCTCCTTGTCTCCCTGACTTCTTTCTGTCCACTCACCTCATCCATTGTCTTGTAACATGGTGGGTTGGAGTTAGGATCAAACTCCATCTCTGAAGGGATGGACTGAAAGGAAAGTGAGATCTAGGTTAGCACTTTAAATGGATGCTTCAATAGATGGTGATGAATGAGTATCTGTCTTCCTCAGCCCCACCCAGTGTGCCCAGACTTACATGTCGAGAGATGAAGCAAGACATGGGCCCAATTTCTGTGAAGAGTCCAACCTAGAAAAAAAATGAGTGATCTTACGGCCGTGCACGGTGGCTCACGCCTGTAATCCCAGCACTTTGGGAGGCCGAGGCCGGTGGATCACGAGGTCAGGAGTTTCAGACCAGCCTGACCAACATGGTGAAACCCCGTCATTACTAAAAATACAAAAATTAGCCGGGCATGGTGGCGTGCACCTCTAATCCCAGCTACTCAGGAGACTGAGGCAGGAGAATCGTTTGAACCCAGGAGGTGGAGGTTGCAGTGAGCCGAGATTGCACCATTGCACTTCAGCCTGGCAACAGAGCAAGACTCTGTCTCAAAAAAAAAAAACAAAAGAGTGATCTTGCCTTTTCTTTGTCCCCTCAAGTGTTGTGTTTTTGTTTTTTGCTTTTTAAATTTTGAGACAGGGTCTCACTCTGTTGCCCAGGTTGGAAAGTAGTGGTGCGATCACAGCTCACTGTAAATTTGAACTCCTGGGCTCAAGCGATCCTCCCACCTCAGCCTCCCAAGTTGCTGAAACCACAGGTGCACACCACCATGCTAGGCTAATTTTTAAAAACTTTTTGTAGAGACAGAGTCTTGATATGTTGCCCAGGCTGTCTCAAACTCCTAGGCTCAAGCAATCTTCCCACTTCTGCCCCCCAAAGCACTGGGATTATAGGTGTGAGCCAGCGCACCCAGCCCTTTTCTCTTTTTTTTTAAGCTTTCATTTGTATTTATTTACATATTTACTTTGAGACAGAATCTCACTCTGTTCTCCACTCTGGAGTGCAGTGATGCAATCTCAGCTCACTGCAACCTCCACCTCCCAGGTTCAAGTGATTCTCATGCCTCAGCCTCCCGAGTAGCAGGGACTACACGCACATGCCACAATGCCTGGCTAATTTTTGTATTTTTAGTAGAGATGGGGTTTCACCATATTGGCCAGGCTGGTCTTGAACTCCCACCCTCAGGTGATCTGCCCACCTCAGCCTCCCAAAGTGCTGGGATTACAGATGTGAGTCACCGCGCCCAGCCTAAGCTTTCATTTTAAAGTATTAAAGAGCTTAGGCCTGGGACGTGTTAGTCCAAGATTTGAACACCTGTTGGCCACATGATCTTGGCCAGTACACTTAATTTCTTCCAAGCTTCAGCTTCTGTAAAAAGCACCCACTGGCCGGGCACGGTGGCTCACGCCTATAATCCCAGCACTTTGGGTGGCTGAGCCAGGCAGATCACCTGAGGTCGGGAGTTCGAGACCAGCCTGACCAACATGGAGAAACCCCATCTCTACTAAAAATACAAAAATTAGCTGGGCATGGTGGCGCATGCCTATAGTCCCAGCTAGTTGGGAGGCTGAGGCAGGGGAATCGCTTGAACCCAGAGGCGGAGGTTGCAGCGAGCCGAGATTGCGCCACTGCACTCCAGCCTGGCAACAGAGCTAGACTCCGTCTCAAAAAAAAAAAAAAACCCACCTTTTAGAGTCATTGTGAGTCTCTGCACATCACCTAGCCCATAGTAACTACTCAATCAACACAGGCTTTTATTGTTATGACTATTAATACTGACTCTCTTGCCCTCTGAGTTAGGCAGGGCAAGATTACCATATAATTTGAAAGTGCAGGCCGGGCGCGGTGGCTCAAGCCTGCAATCCCAGCACTTTGGGAGGCCGAGGCGGGTGGATCACGAGGTCAGGAGATCGAGACCATCCTGGCTAACACAGTGAAACCCCGTCTGTACTAAAAATACAAAAAATTAGCCGGGCGTGGTGGTGGGCACCTGTAGACCCAGCTACTTGGGAGGCTGAGGCAGGAGAATGGTGTGAACCCGGGAGGCGGAGCTTGCAGTGAGTGGAGATCTCGCCACTGCACACCAGCCTGGGTGACAAAGCGAGACTCCGTCTCAAAAAAAAAAAAAAATAGCCGGCCATGGTGGCACGTGCCTTTAGTCCCAACTACTTGGGAGGCCGAGGCAGGAGAATCACTTGAACCTAGGAGGCAGAGGTGGCAGTGGCCAAGATCGCACCACTGCACTCCAGCCTGGGCAACAGAGCAAAACTCTCTCAAAAAAAAAAAAAAAAAAAAAAAGTGAAGTGACTTAGCCAAAGGCACAGAGTTATGAAGTGGAGCCAGAACCCAACCCAGATCTTCCGAGAGACTACCCCACTGCCTCCCCTATGTATGGTCTCACCTTGTTGACCTGAGTGACAACAGCATCCACGACCTCCCCTTTAAATGGCCGGAAAACAATGGCCTTGTACTTAACTGGATAAAGGACAAAGCCTCGGCCTGGCTGGATCACACCAGCACCAATATTGTCAATGGTGGTGACAGCAATTACAAAGCCATACCTGCAAGGAGGATGAGAAACAGGAAGACACTGTGTGTCCAAGAGCCTCTAAAGACATCTGCAATAAAAGTCGCTGAGCTCTTGGGGGTAGGGTCGGGGAGAGCAAAAGGACAAGTAGATAGCACCTCTGCTCCCAGAGAGCTTAATGACCAAAAGAAGACAGAACAGAGATCAGTATGTGTAAGACCAAATGCTGTTCTGGTAATTTCACAATAAATGTCCAAGAAGGCTGGAGTCCTTGAGGCAACAGATCTCAATCTTCGGGATGCCTGAGAATCATCTTCTTAAAATGCAGATTCTCAGGTCTGCCCCAGACAGTCTTGATTCTGTAGGGAATAAGGAGGCTCAGGAATCTGCATGTTCCTGCAGGTTTTTCTGATGCTGGAGGCCCAAGTACTCCACTGCCCTGAGCTGGGTCCCAGCTCATTAATATCAGAGAGGCCCCTCTGTGCAAAGCCCAGAGATGGTCAAATCCCAGGCTACTTCCTTCCTCCCCCAAACTCTCGATCTGCTTTTTCTGGTCATTCATTCAGAAGATATATAGAGGCCCATGGTGTGTGGTCCCTGGGCACAGGGGATAAGAGAAAACCAGCAGAATGACAGAGGGAGAGCAGACACAGGAACAATGATTACACTGTGAGCTCCACAGGGGCTGTCCTCATTCTATCTTGTTCCCATTCTACCTTGTTCTGAGCCCAACACGGGTCCTGGCACACACCAAGGGTTTTTAAAATGTTTGAGGAGTCAATGAATGACCCATCTCAGCTGAGAGAAGGAAGTCTTATTGTCCAGCATTGCAGAGGGCGCCCTGGGAACCCAAAGCAGGAAGCAACTGGCTGCCTGAGAGAGGAGAGGGGTCCCCAGAGTGGGTGGCAGGACGAGTAGGAGTTGGGGAGGGGTTGCAGGTATAGCGCCCCGTGTGCGCATCGAACGATCTGGCGGTGCGGTGAGCTCGACACTCACTTCCCTGTGCAGGTCCCCTCCACCTCGGTGAAGAGCTTCTGCTTCACCGTGTTGAGCAAGTTGGGGCCGAAGTAGCGCGGGTGCAGCAGGATTTCGTGCTCTAGGGAGATCTGCGGAGAAAAGTGGGATGGCGACCAGGCCAGGCGCTGGCAGGTTATTGGACGACAAGGGGAGTCTCGCGCCGGCGCCTGGCCTTGCTCTTCCTTTCCACCCAGCCCTTGCCGCCACCCTGAGCCCTGCTCACATGGTAGAACATCTTCCCAGACCAGGTAGGCAGGCAGAGTCCACACCTCCGACAGTCCCTGGGAATCCACCGGAAACACTTAGACGCCGCAACCCCAGTTCCGCGCTTGCTGCGACTAGGAGGGCGGAACACCACCTCCTCCGCGAGGGCGGAACTCCACCAGCTCCGCGGGTCTGATTGGGCCTCGCCGTCGTGGGCGAGAACCACTAAGCCCCGCCCCTCACCCCCGCCCCCCAGCCATCAAACGACAACTTTTTTTTTTGAGGCGGAGTCTCCCTCTGTTGCCCAGGCTGGAGTGCAGTGGCGCGATCTCGGCTCACTGCAACCTCCGCCTCCCGGGTTCAAGCGATTCTCCTGCCTCATCCTCCCGAGTAGCTGGGATTAAAGGCATGTGCCACCACACCTGACTAATTTTGTATTTTTAGTAGAGATGGGGTTTCTCCATGTTGGTCAGGCTGGTCTCAAACTCCCAACCTCAGGTGATCCACCCACCTCGGCCTCCCAAAGTGTTGGGATTACAGGAGTGAGCCACCGCGCCCGGTCGGCAACTATCTGAATTGCTTGAACCTGGGAGGCGGCCCGAGATCTTGCCACTGAACTCCAGCCTGGGCAACAAGAGCGAAACTCCATCTCAACAGATAGATAGATAGATAGATAGATAGATAGATAGATAGATAGATAGATAGATAATAGATAGATAGATAGATAGATAGATAGATTGATAAATGCTACCACTTACTGCTTTCTTCCTAGATGCCTGGGCAACAAGAGCGAAACTCCATCTCAATAAATAAAATAAATAAATAAATAAATGCTATCACTTACTACTTTCTTCCTAGATGCCAGACACTGTGCTAAGCGCTTGATATAATTCTCTCCCTTAATTCTCATAATAATCTACAGAAATTGGTGTAGAAATAAAAAAAAAATGTTTACGAGCCTTAGCCAAAAGGCCAAGAAGCTACAGAAAATAATGAAATTTAGGCCGGGCGCTGTGGTTTACGCCTGTAATACCAGCACTTTGAGAGGCCGAGGCGGGCAGATCATGAGGTCAGGAGATTGAGACCATCCTGGCTAACATGGCGAAACCCCGTCTCTACTAAAAATACAAAAAATTGGCCGGGCGTGGTGGCAGGCGTCTGTAGTCCCAGCTACTCAGGAGGCTGAGGCAGGAGAATCGCTTGAACCCGGGAGGCGGAGGGTGCAGTGAGTTGAGATCGCGCCACTGCACTCCAGCCTGGCGACAAAGCAAGACGGAGTCTCAAAAAAAAAAAAAAATTTAAGAGCTATTGGAAGCCCAAAAAACACTTTAAGCCTCGAGAGAGATATGACTGCGAGTCACATATAGTTTACAACTTCTGTTCTCAGATTATAGATTAACTCTTTTTTTTTTTTTTTTTTTTTTTGAGACGGAGTCTTGCTGTGTCGCCCAGGCTGAAGTGTAGGAAATCCATGACTATTTCATCCTCTGTTAAAAAATGTTACATGCGCCGGGCACTGGTGGCTCATGCCTGTAATCCCGGCTACTCGGCTACTGGGGAGGCTGGGGCAGGACAATTGCTTGAACCCGGGAAGCTGAGATTGCAAAGAGCCGAGATCGCTCCACTGCACTTCAGCCTGGGATGCAGAGCAAGACTCCCTCTCTCTTTTTTTTTTTTTAATAGAGACGGGGTTTCTCCATGTTGGTCAGGCTGGTCTCGAACTCCCGACCTCAGGTGATCCGCCCACCTCGGCCTCCCAAAGTGCTGGGATTACAGGCGTGAGCCACCGCGCCCGGCTGACTCCCTCTCAAAAAAAAAAAAAAAAAAAAAAAAAAAAAAAAAAAAAGTTACATGCAAATCACGAGATCAGAAGTTCAAGACCAGCCTGGCCAAAATAGTGAAAACCCATCTCTACTAAAAATACAAAAAATTAGCCGTGTGTGGTGGCAGGTGCCTGTAATCCCAGCTACTCCAGAGGCTGAGGCAGAAGAATGTCTTGAACCCGGGAGGCGGAGGTTGCAGTTAGGCAAGATCTTGACACTGCACTCCAGCCCAGGCAACAGTGCGAAACTCCAAATAAAAAAAAATTGGAAAAAAAAAGTTACATGTATACTTCCCAAAAAGAAACATTGTCTATAGCCAACCAAATTGCTATAACTATGTACCAATCTTCTGTGAAAAATGTAATCCTGCTAAAAAGTCATGTGTGCTTGCCTATATAAATGAAATCTTAACTTTCTTACTTCACAACACTGACTCCATTCTTCTGGAGTTGGTGGTTCCAGGTGTTCCATTCTCATACTTCGCACTTGAAAAAACTCTAAATTAGGTTCTGACCCGTCGGATTATTTTAGGTTGACACTGATACTATTATTATTCCTACCTTATACATAAGCCAGAAAAAGATTAAGGGGAGGTATTTGGGTATGAATAGCTGACCTGCTCCAAAGCTTGTGTTCCTTTTTTTTTTCTTTTTTCTTTCTTTCTTTTTTTTTTTGAGTTGGAGTCTCACTCTGTCGCCTAGGCTGGAACTTAGTGGTGCAATCTCGGCTCGCTGCAACCTCCGCCTCCCAGATTCAAGTGATTCTCCTGCCTCAGCCTCCCAAGTAGCTGGGATTACAGGCGCCCACCACCACGCCCAGCTAATTTTTTTTTTTTTTGTATTTTTAGTAGAGACCAGGTTTCACCATGTTGGCCAGGCTGGTCTCGAACTTCTGACCTTAGGTAATCCATCTGCCTCAGCCTCCCAAAATGCTGGGATTACAGGCCTGAGCCACTGCGCCCGGCCCCACCTTTTTTTTTTCTTGAGAAAGGGTCTCATTCTGTCACCCAGGCTGCCAGGCTGGAGTGCTCATTGCATTCCCCAGCTACAGGTATGGGTCACCATGCGCGGGTAATTTTTTATTTTTTGCAGAGATGTGGGTCTTACTCTGTTGACCAGGCTAGTCTTGAACTTCTGGCCTCAAGTGATCCTCTTGCTTTTGTCTCCCAAAGTGTTGGGATAACAAGTGTGAGCCCTCACACCTGGGAAAGTCGCATTCTTCACTACTGTAAACTCTACTGCCTGAGACTGAAACTTTGGATAAAAAAGACACCAAAGCAATGACAAGGATTGTTGTGTCTGCTCCTCAAAGTGTGTGCACGTAGAGCCTGAAAGCTCAGAACAGCAATTCTGAAGTTGTGGTCCCCAAAAGAACCTTTCAGGGGATTGGTGAAGTGCTCTTCTAGTTACATGTCTGTGTGAGACCAAATTTTCTTCATGTATTTCAATCAAAACAATATATCCTAATAGCTAATAGAAGCAGATGTGAAAATCGAGCTGTCTCCTATCGAAACAGTGTGATATTGTGAAATATACGTTTCTTTGACCCTATTTTCTGCCATACAACTCCTAAATCTCTAAAGTGATTTTTTTGGTATGCTAATGTTAACTGATGGCTGGCAGGCCCTAGGTAGCTTCCGGATGGGGGCTGGTCACCATAAAGAGCAGGGCATGATTGGAAGGTTGGGGTTTTCAGCCCACCCCCAACTTCTGGGGAGTGGAGGGGGTGCTGAACTGTTGAGTTGATCACCAATGGCCAATCGTTTCAGCAGTCATGCTTGCATAATGAAGCATCCACAAAAATCCAAAAGGACTGGGTTCAGAGATTCCACATAGCTGAACACCTGGAGGTTCCTGGAAGGTGGCACACCGGAAGAGGGCTCGGAAGCTCCACATCCCTTCCCCCATACCTCACCCTAGGCACCTCTTCATCTGCATCCTTTCAAATAGCCTCTATAATAAACCAGTAAAGGTAAGTAGGTGTTTCCCTGATTTCTATGAGCCACCCTAGCAAGTTAACCAAGCCCAAGTAGAGTTGTGGGGGCCTAGATTTACAGCTGGTCAGTCAGAGGCATAGGTAAAACAGCCTGGGGCTTTTGACTAGCATCAGAAGTCAGGGGCCATGTCTGGTAAACAATAATTTGATTTAAAAAAAAAAAAAAAGGAAGGGAGGGAGGGAGGGAGGCAGGGGAAAGAGAGAGACAAGAGAGAGAAAGAAGAAAAGAAAAAGGGGAAAAGAGAGAGAGAAAAGAAAGAGAGAGACAGAGAGAGACAAATAAAGAGACAAAGAAAGAAATAGAAAGAAAGGAAAGAAAGGAAGGAAGGAAGGAAGGAAGGAAGGAAGGAAGGAAGGAAGGAGAAAGGAAAAGAAAAGGAAGGAAAAGAAAAGAAATAAAAGAAAAAAGGAGAGAAAAGAAACTAGTACCGGGGGGCCGGTGGGGAGGGCGGTCTTGAGATCTGCACCCTAAACATTTGAGATCTGAGGTTATCTCCAGGTAGACAGTGTTGGCATTAAACAAGAGGACACCCAGCTGGAACTGCTTGCTTGTGGACTGGGGAAAAAACCAACACATTTGGTCACACAGTAGCCTTCTTTGTTGATTGTTGTGGTGGTGTGAGAGGAGAGAAAAACAGTGTCTCCCCCCAACCCCCCTGTAAAACAATGCCATTATTCTCACGACATATTTATTGATTTTGGTAAATAGTTATTTTTCCATCTCTATTTTAAAAAAATACATATATATATATATATATATATATATATATATATATATATATATATATGCCGGGGGCGGTGGCTGACGCCTGTAATCCCAACACTTTGGGAGGCCGAGACGGGCGGATCACCCGAGGTTGGGAGTTCGAGACCAGCCTGACCAACATGGAGAAACCTTGTCTCTACTAGAAATACAAAATTAGCCGGGTGTGGTGGCGCATGCCTGTAATCCCAGCACTTTGGGAGGCAGAGGCGGGTGGATCATGAGGTCAGGAGATCGAGACCATCCTGGCTAACACAGTGAAACCCCGTCTCTACTAATAATACAAAAAATTAGCTGGGCGTGGTGGCCGGCGCCTGTAGTCCCAGCTACTCAGGAGGCTGAGGCAGGAGAATGGCGTGAACCCGGGAGGCGGAGCTTCCAGTGAGCCAAGATCGTGCCACTGCACTCCAGCCTGGGCGACAGAGCGACACACTGTCTCAAAACAAACAAAACAAACAAATATAAATATATATGAGGCCAGGCAAGGTGGCTCATGCCTGTAATCACAACACTTTGGGAGGCCAAAGTGGGTGGATCACCTGAGGGGTCAGAACTGCAATGAGACAAGATCACCCCACCGCACTCCAGCCTGGGCAACAGAGCAAGACGCAAAAAAAGAAAAATAAATGAAAATTAAATTAAATTAAAAATTAAAAAGGTCAGGCTTGGTGGCTGACACCTGTAATCTCAGCATTTTGGGAGGCCAAGCTGGGAGGATCACGTGAGCCCAGGAGTTCAAGACCAGCCTGGGCAACACAGAGTCCCCCTTCTCTATTTACAACATATACATACATATATTTTTATATGTATATAATTTATATATTTATATTTACATATATGTATATATAAAAACATATATATATTTTTTGAGATGGATTCTCCTGCCTCAGCCTCCCAAGTAGCTGGGATTATAGGTGCCAAGCTAATTTTTATATTTTTATTATTATTATTTATTTATTCTTTTTTTTTTTGAGATGGAATTTCACTCTTGTTGCCCAGGCTGGAGTGCAACGGCACGATCTCGGCTCACTACAACCTCCGCCCCCCAAGTTCAAGTGATTCTCCCGTCTCAGCCTCCCAAGTAGCTGAGATTACAGACATGCGCCACCACACCCTGCTAATTTTTGTACTTTTAATAGAGACAGGGTTTCTCCATGTTGGTCAGGCTGGTCTCGAACTCTCGACCTCAGGTGATCCACCTGCCTCGGACTCCCAAAGTGCTGGGATTACAGGCATGAGCCACTGTGCCCGGCCCATTTCTTAGTTTTAATTCCTATACAGTAAATATTGTATGGCTTGTAAGAATGAACACAGTGTCTTGAAGAGGCATGATCTCAAGCTAAGGCCAACATATCCTGAATGTATGTAGCACAAGTTTGTTGTATAGATGAACTCTCCCTAATTCTGGTTAGGTCTGATCGGAGGGCCTGACTGCAGAATAAAGTAGAGATGCTTAGGGTGGTGGGTGAAGGAGTGAGGATTAGGGCACCGAGTTTACTCCTCTAGTAACACTACCTGGGTCAGACGGGGCAGTTATCAGTGACTCCCAACTTATAGCCTTTTCCTCTGGGTGTGTAGAGACTCTCAAAGATTTCTTCAGTAGACACGGTTTTTGCTTCTTCTCTCCTGTCCTGGGACATTTTATGATCCTGACCCCATTCTTACCCTTCCTACCAGCACCTGCTCAGCACGCTCTGGAAACAAAGAACACTCTATCCTCTCACTGTAAATTGACTGTAGAGTCCAGGCTAGGGACACCACGACATCATCCCTGTAGCTGCTAGTTCTTTCATGCCATCACTGAGCCGGGAGCCCCGGAAACTTAGCTTGGAGGAGTGGAGCAGTAGGGCATCTTAAAATGTTTTTTTGTTTGTTTGTTTTAGATGGAGTTTTGCTCTGTCTCCCAGGCTGGAGTGCAGTGGCGCTATCTTGGCTCACTGCAACCTCTGCCTCCTGGGTTCAAGAGATTCTCCTGCCTCAGCCTCCCTAGAAGCTGGGATTTCAGGCACGCGCCACCATGCCCAGCTGATTTTTGTATTTTTAGTAGAGATGGGGTTTCACTATGTTGGCCAGGCTGCTCTTGAACTCCGGACCTCAAGTGATCTGCCCGTCTCAGCCTCCCAAACTGCTGGGATTAAAGGCGTGAGCCACCGAACCCGGCAAATCTTAGAATTTTTGAGAGGAAGGGACCTTCAAGAGACAAACGCAGTTCAGGGACGTGGGGCTATTGCCCACAGTCACCAGTTGGTTCTCTTTTTTTGGGGGGGTGGGGGGATAGGGTCTTACTCTGTCGCCCAGGCTGGAGTGCAGTGGCACGATCTTGACTCACTGCAACCTCCGCCTCCCGGGTTCAAGTGATTCTCCTGCTTCAGCCTCCCCAGTAGCTGGGATTACAGGCGCGCGCCCCCAAGACCTGCTAATTTTTGTATTTTTAGTAGAGACGGGGTTTCAGCATGTTGGCCAGGCTGGTATCGAACTCCTGACCCCAAGTGATCCGCCCTCCTCGGCCTCCCAGAGTCCTGGGATTACAGGCGTGAAGCACTGCGCCTGGCCTAGTTGGTTCTCTTTTTCCCTGTCAGCCTGTAGCGGGAGTGGCTTGCTGTCAGCTCGGGTCCGACACTGCAGGGTTCCCGACCTCCAGCCTCGCCAGGAGAGCGCCGCGTTCAGCGACTCGGAGCCGGGTACCTCCTGCCTGCTGGATTAGGTAGAAGGAGAAGCTCAGCCAATCCTGAGGGCTCGGAGGCAAGGAAGGCGGGACGAAGAGGAAAAGTTGAGGACAGGAGCGTCACCCAATCCAACGCCTGACTGCAAAAGCGATGGCGGCGAGCACCCAATTGTAGACGGCAGTTAGAGGGAGGATGGTTAGTGGAGAGCGGACCAATCCGTGACAGGGGAGGGCAATCTTAAGCCAATTAAAGCTGAGAAGGTGGGAAGGGGCGGAGCTCGCCCTGTGGCTGCTCGGTGGTGGGTGAGGTATCAGCTTTCTCCGCTAGTTCCCACCCTGGTAGTCCTTAGCCCCTGGAATGCGTGAGGGAGATGCTTAGGGAGTTCTCGAAGTGGGGCGTAGAGGCATCGCCTGGCAAGGCCTGGGAGCGAAAAAGATCTCTACTTCGTGGAGCCGTTGGACGCTACCGGGTGGGCATCAAGGAAGCGGAGGGTGGCTAAGGGGCGGGACTTCCGGGGGCAGGGCTTATCGGACGGGGGTGGGGCCTGTTCTAAGGTTAGGCCGAGGTGGGCGGAGCTAATGGGAGAGCTTTGGGTGTGACCTAGGAGAAAGAAGGGCAGTAACTTAAGCGATTGTTTTGGAGTGGCAAGTGATAGTTAAGGGCTGATAAGGTTGCTGGGGAGGTTACCTGTCTTAACTCACTGCCCTTTTTTCTCAGGGAGCCACTGGTGGGGACCTTTTTTGGGCCCCCTTTCCTTCGTGGGGTACTATGGAGTTCCCAGAACACAGTCAGCAGCTGCTGCAGAGCCTCCGGGAGCAGCGGTCCCAGGGTTTCCTTTGTGACTGCACCGTGATGGTGGGTAGTACCCAGTTCTTGGCCCATCGGGCTGTGCTGGCCTCCTGCAGCCCATTCTTCCAGCTTTTCTACAAGGAGCGGGAATTGGACAAGAGGGATCTGGTGTGTATTCACAATGAAATTGTCACAGCCCCAGCCTTTGGGCTGCTTCTGGACTTTATGTATGCTGGCCAGCTGACCCTGAGAGGGGATACCCCTGTGGAGGATGTGCTGGCAGCTGCCAGCTACTTGCACATGAATGACATCGTCAAGGTGTGTAAGCGGCGGCTTCAAGCCCGGGCCCTGGCAGAGGCAGACAGTACCAAGAAGGAGGAGGAAACCAACTCACAGCTTCCTAGTTTGGAGTTTTTGTCTAGTACTTCCCGTGGCACCCAACCTTCGTTGGCATCTGCTGAGACATCAGGCCACTGGGGCAAAGGGGAATGGAAAGGCTCTGCTGCTCCCTCACCTACTGTCCGTCCTCCAGATGAGCCACCAATGTCTAGTGGGGCTGACACTACACAGCCTGGCATGGAGGTTGACGCACCACATCTGCGGGCACCTCATCCACCAGTGGCTGATGTCTCTCTTGCCAGCCCTAGTAGCTCCACTGAGACCATTCCTACAAACTACTTCTCTTCTGGCATCTCAGCAGTTTCATTGGAGCCACTGCCATCTCTTGATGTGGGTCCTGAGAGTCTGAGGGTGGTGGAACCAAAGGATCCTGGAGGACCACTGCAAGGCTTCTATCCCCCAGCCTCAGCCCCAACGTCAGCCCCAGCCCCTGTCTCAGCTCCAGTTCCATCCCAGGCTCCAGCCCCAGCTGAAGCTGAGCTGGTCCAGGTGAAAGTTGAAGCTATTGTGATCTCTGATGAAGAGACTGATGTGTCAGATGAACAGCCTCAGGGTCCTGAGAGAGCTTTCCCATCTGGAGGAGCAGTGTATGGGGCACAGCCCTCCCAGCCAGAGGCTTTTGAAGACCCAGGGGCAGCAGGACTGGAGGAGGTGGGGCCAAGTGACCACTTCCTGCCAACAGACCCTCATCTACCCTACCATCTGCTGCCAGGTGCAGGGCAGTATCATCGAGGACTGGTGACCTCACCTCTGCCTGCACCCGCATCCCTGCATGAGCCACTTTACCTGTCTTCTGAGTACGAAGCAGCTCCAGGAAGCTTTGGGGTTTTTACTGAGGATGTTCCCACCTGCAAGACATGTGGGAAGACCTTCTCATGCTCTTACACACTACGGCGACATGCCACGGTGCACACACGTGAGCGACCCTATGAGTGCCGCTACTGCCTGCGGAGCTACACGCAGTCAGGGGACCTCTACCGCCACATCCGCAAGGCTCACAATGAGGACCTGGCCAAACGCAGCAAACCAGATCCAGAAGTGGGACCCCTTCTAGGGGTGCAGCCTCTCCCTGGCTCCCCAACAGCAGACAGACAGAGCAGCAGTGGTGGAGGGCCACCTAAAGATTTTGTATTGGCCCCAAAAACTAACATCTAAGGGAGCATGAGCTGATGCTAGGCTGCTCTTACCATCCTTAGATGGCAGCTCAGAAGGTTGGTGGCACCTTATCACCCCTGCTGGGTGACAAGAATAAAGGCTCTGCCCAGGCTGAAAGTTCCTACCCTTTTTTTTTTTTAATCTTTTATTTTTTTGAGACAGAGTCTCACTCTGTCACCCAGACTGGAGTGCAGTGGCGCGATCTCGGCTCACTGCAAGCTCAGCCTCCCCGATTCACGCCATTCTCCTGCCTCAGCCTCCCGAGTAGCTGGGACTACAGGCGCCTATCACCATGCCTGGCTAATTTTTTTTGATTTTTAGTAGAGACAGGGTTTCACCGTGTTAGCCAGGATGGTCTCGATCTTCTGACAGATCTGACCTCGTGATCCGCCCATCTCCACCTCCCGCAGTGCTGGGATTACAGGCATGAGCCACCGCGCCCAGCTGCCTTTTTTTTTTTGAGTCTTGCTCTGTCACTGAGGCTGGAGTGCAGTGGCGCAATTTCAGCTCACTGCAACCTCTGCCTCCCAGGTTCAAGCGATTCCTTTTTTTTTTTTTTTTTTTGAGACAGAGTCTCACTCTGTCCCCCAGGCTGGAGTGCAGTGGCGCGATCTTGGCCCACCACGCCCGCCTAATTTTTTGTATTTTTTAGTAGAGACGGGGTTTCACCGTGTTAGTCAGGATGGTCTCGATCTCCTGACCTCGTGATCCACCCGCCTCAGCCTCCCAAAGTGCTGGGATTACAGGCTTGAGCCACCGTGCCTGGCCTCAAGCGATTCTCTTAACTCAGCCTCTTGAGTAGCTGGGATTACAGGAACGCGCCACCACGCCCAGCTAATTCCTGTATTTTTAGTAGAGACAGGGTTTCACCATGTTGGCCAGGCTGGTCTCAAATTCCTGACCCCAGGTGATCTGCCCACCTTGGCCTTAAAAAGTGCTGGGATTAAAGGCGTGAGCCACCATGCCCAGCCTCCTACCCTTTTCTTTGCCCAGCCAGATAAGCAGGACTTTATGGGGCAAAGCCTATGTCAGCTCTCTCCAAGGGCACTGGGAATTTTCCTGAGGTGTAATCGCTTCTCACTGTATGTTCTGGAACATAAAGCTAGCAATGAAGGTATTTCTTTGAACTGGTGTTGGCTGGTTTCTTCTAAAAACCTGCATGCTTTCATACCTCTCCTGCAGTTCTTTTTTTTTTTTTTTTTTTTTTTTTTGAGACGGAGTCTCTCTGTCACCCAGGCTGGAATGCAGTGGCGCGATCTCGGCTCACTGCCAGCTCCGCCTTCCTGGTTCACACCATTCTCCTGCCTCAGCCTCCCTAGTAGCTGGGACTACAGGCACCCACCACCAAGCCCGGCTAATTTTTTGTATTTTTAGTAGAGACAGGGTTTCACCGTGTTAGCCAGGATGGTCTCGATCTCCTGACCTCATGATCCGCCCGCCTCTGCCTCCCAAAGTGCTGGGATTACAGGCGTGAGCCACGGCTCTCCTTCAGTTCTTTTTGGAATGTTACATCTGTACTTGGGGTAGGGGTAGGGGTAGGGGTCAGACTGCTCATGAGGAAAAAAGTGGGACAGGCAGAGGGCGATGTAGCCTTTACTTAGGAGAAGTATAGAAATTAAGGAAGCTTATAAAATTATGATTTATTATTGCAGTCGAGCTGTCTTCTGGGCTTTATCAGACATTTCGTATAAATACTCATTTAATCCTCAACAACATTAGGAGGTATGAGGTCCACTTCCTGTTTTGTTTGTTGTTGTTCATAAACCTGAGACTTAGAAATCAAAGTTAACTTGTTCAGGGTCACAGAGGCTAGTTAAGGGGCAAGCCAGCATTTGAACCTGGCTTGCCACTGCAAACACCCTGCCTGCTATACTGGTTAAAAACATTGTTTCTTCCAGGTGTGGTGGCTCATGCCTGTAATACCAACACTTTGGGAGGCCGAGGTGACCAGCCTGCCCAACATGGTGAAACCCCATCTCTACTAAAAACACAAAAAAAATTGTCTAGGTATGGTGGCTCTCACCTGTAATTACAGCACTTTGGGAGGCCAATGCGGGCGGATCACTTGAGGTCAGGAGTTCAAGACCAGACTGGCCAACATGGTGAAACCGTCTCTACTAAAACTACAAAAATTAGCCAGGAGTGGTGGTGGGCGCCTGTAATCCCAGCTACCTGGGAGGCTGAGGCAGGAGAATCATTTGAACCCAGGAGGTAGAGGTTGCAGTGAGCTGAGATCACGCCACTGCACTTCAGCCTGGGTGACAAGACCGAAACTCCACCTCAAAAAAAAGAAAACAAAAATTATCCAGGCTTGGTGGCGGGTGCCTGTAATCCCAGCTACTCAGGAGGTTGAGGCAGGAGAATTGCTTGAACCTGGGAGGCGGAGGTTGCAGTGAGCCGAGATCGCATCATTGCATTCCAACCTGGGCAACAAGAGTGAGACTCTGTCTCAAAAAAAAAAAAAAAAACAACATTGTTTGAAGGGCTGTTGGGGTGGCTCATGCCTGTTCTCCCAGCACTTTGGGAGGCTGAGGTGAAGGATCGCTTGTGGCTAGGAGTTACAGATTAGCCTGGGCAACATAGTGAGGCCTGCCTGTCACTATAAAATAATAATGAAAAGTTGAACTTAGTTAACCAAGAACTGTAAGTTGTTTTCTTTTTCTGTCCTTTTGTGTATTTGGCTTTGTTGCCTTGTTACCTCTGCTTTCCCCACTGAAAGACCTTTTGTTGATAGAACAGGTACTGTATTGATGATCTGAAATTTTTGCCTCAAGTTGTAGATATGAATTGACTTCTTTGAAGATGAGAAACTGGAAGGCAGGAAACACTAAGGCCCATAGTGGCTGATTAGTGGTGGGAGGTTGAGGGTCTGAGGTGCTGTGGCAATGATGGGTACTTGCAAAACCTAAAGCGAGAAACTCAGGATGAGAGGATCTTACAGTTCATGTAGTCCAACTCCCTCACTTGAAAAGTGTGACGACAACAGTCTAGGGAGGTTTAGGTTACTCACCTAAGGTCACGCAGGTGGTTACTGACAGTGGAGATAGCAAAGAAATGGGAGTTTGGGGTGCCATCATGGGATGGGGGCAAAAAAGAGCTCTGGGAATGTGTGAGGAGTCTGGCCCCGCCTGTGCTGTAGGAGGGCCTAAAGGTTTGCCTACAAACTTTTTCTTGGTACGTAAGGACATGAGTGCAAATAAAGCAGGAAGGAAAACAGAAATACGCTGGTCGCGGTGGCTCACGCCTGTAATCCCAGCACTTTGGGAGGCCGAGGCGGGCGGATCACAAGGTCAGGAGTTGGAGACCAGGCTGGCCAACATAGTGAAACCCCATCTCTACTAAAAATACAAAAAATTAGCTGGGCGTGGTGGCAGGCGTCTGTAATCCCAGCTACTCGGGAGGCTGAGGCAGGAGAATTGCTTGAACCCGGGAGGCGGAGGTTGCAGTGAGCCGAGATCACGCCATTGCACTCCAACCCTGGGTGACAGTGCGAGACTCCATCTCAAAAAAGAAAAAAAGAAAAGGGGGAAAATGACAAGTAAATATTCTTCTCTCTTTTTGAGTCTGTGTCATATTCAGCACTGTGAACCCTTACCAGCAAGTGACTATTTTTGAGTTACAGGAAGGAAAGGTGAGCAGCCATGTGGCTAAAGAAAGCTCCTTAACTAGGACATATGGGAAGCAAAAGATGGTTAACATTTTTCTGCTGAATGAATTCTACATTCTTTCACATTCTTTGTGTTGAAATAAACTTCTAGCTTATCTTTCAAATGGCTCCTAATTTTATTTATGCAAGTACGTTACTGCTTTAATTCCTTGATGAAACAAGGCAAGATATAAATAAATACAATAAAAGCTATTCTAGCTGGGTAGAACACCTTTTCAAAAGTCTTCCCTAGAGTAAATATCAAATCAAAATGCCTTTATGAATCAGTTGCCCTTAAAAGGGTGGATTTTACGGTCTGAATATCTCAATTTCAACAGAAACACAAAACAGAAAAAAAAAAACCTGGTTGTCTCAGAACATCAGTTCTTAAAATCAAGGCATAATAAATGGTCTATATGTGTAGACAATTTTGATGTAGATGATCTCTCCAGACAGTCTGGGGAACACAGGAACCATTGTATTGATCAGACTGTGGTCACATGTACTACTTAGCTAAAGAGGTTCTGTTCCTGGTGAGATTCTCCTGAGAAGCAAGCATTTGCTTTCAATATCCAGCATAAAGGGCATGTTTTCTTGCAGGTGGCAGTCAGGAATTTGCAATATTTTAATTAATTAATTTATTTATTTATTTTGAGACAAGGTCTCTCTGTTTCCGAGGCTGGAGTGCAGTGGCACTATCACGACTCACTGCAGCCTCAACCCCTCTAGCTCCCAAGCAGCTGGAACTACAGGCATGCACTATCACGCATGGCTAATTTTTGTATCTTTTGTGGAGATGACGTTTCGCGCTGTTGCTCAGGCTGGTCTCAAACTCCTGGGCTCAAGCGATCCACCTGCCTTGGCCTCCCAAAGTGCTGGGATTTCAGGCATGAGCCATCATGCCCAGCCTGCAAGATATGTAAAGCAGTAGCTATCACAGTTACAGCCACTGTGGCCTCGTTATTATTACTATTTTTTGACGGAATTTCACTCTTGTTGCCCAGGCCAGAGTACAATGGCATGATCTTGGCTCAGTGCAATCTCGGCTCACTGCAACCTCCGCCTCCTGGGTTCAAGCGATTCTCCTGCCTCAGCCTCCCTAGTAGCTGGAATTACAGGCTGCGCCACCACGCCTGGTTAATTTTTTTTGTATTTTTAGTAGAGACGGGGTTTCTCCATGTTGGTCAGGCTGGTCTGGAACTCCCGACCTCAGATCCGCCCCGCCTCGGCCTCCCAAAGTGCTGGCATTATAGGTGTGAACCACCGCACCCAGCCTCATTTTATTTATTATTTTTTTTTTAGTTTGATTTTTTTTTTAGACAGAGTCTCCCTCTGTCACCCAGGCTGGAGTGCAGCGGTGGCTGGGATTACAGGAATAAGCCACCATACCCAGCCTGTGGCCTCAGTTTATCTACTGAATGGTAGGAACAGTTTATGCCCATTTGTAGAGATGTGATCAATAATTCTTTCTCATTTCCACTGGTCTTAATGCTCCCATTCAGGGATTCAAGGAACCATAGGCTCCTGGGGATCAGCTCATCTAATTTCTAGTCTAACACTGAATCCTCCTTTTGCCAGTTGTTATCAAACCTCCACTTGAGGCCGGGAATGGCACCTCACACCTAGAATTCCAGCACTCTGGGAGGCCGAGGTGGACAGATTATTGGGAGGTCAGGAGTTCAAGACCAGCCTGGCCAAGATGGTGAAACCCTGTCTCTACTAAAAATACAAAAATTAGGCAGGCATGTCAGTGTGCACACACCTGTGGTCCCAGCTAATTGCTTGGCGGCCAAGCCAGGAGAATTGCTTGAACCTGGGAGGCAGAGGTTGTAGCAAGCCAAGATCACACCACTGCATTCCAGCCTGGGGAACAGAGCGAGACTCCATCTCAAAAAACAAAAAACAAACAAAAAAAAAACAACCAGGCCAGGCACGGTGGCTCACACCTGTAATCCCAGCACTTTGGGAGGCTCAGTCTGGTGGATCACAAGGTCAGGAGTTCAAGACCAGCCTGGCCAAGATGGTGAAACCTCATCTCTACTAAAAATACAAAAATTAGCCGGGAGTGCTGGCGGGCACCTGTAATCCTAGCTACTCAGGAGGCTGGGGCAGGAGAATCGCTTGAACCTGCGAGGCGGAGGTTGCAGTGAGCTGAGATCGTGCCACTGTACTCAAGCCTGGGCTACAGAGCGAGACTCTGTCTCAAAAAAAAAAAAAAAAACCTCGGCCTGGCGTGGTGGCTCACGCCTGTAATCCCAGCACTTTGGGAGGCCGAGGCAGGCGGATCACAAGGTCAGGAGATCGAGACAATCCTGGCTAACACGGTGAAACCCCGTCTCTACTAAAAATGCAAAAAGTTAGCCAGGCGTGGTGGCGGGAGCCTGTAGTCCCAGCTACTCAGGAGGCTGAGGCAGGAGAATGGAGTGAACCTGGGAGGCGGAGCTTGCAGTGAGCCGAGATCACGCCACTGCACTCCAGTCTGGGCGACAGAGCGAGACTCTGTCTCAAAAAAAAAAAAAAAAAACCCAAAAAACTCTTTCCCAAAGGAAACCTATTGTTGGTGTCCTAGTTGTTGGATTTCCTTAGACTGAGCCAAAATCTGTCTCCCTTTATAGGAGTATGGACCAGGCCCCAGCCTATTAAGTTTCATACTGAAAATGTGTGCTTGTGAGCTATAAACTGACTTAGTTTTCTTTTTTCTTTTCTTTTTTTTTTTTTTTTTGAGACGGAGTCTAGCTCCGTAGCCCAGGCTGGAGTGCAGGGGCGTGATCTCGGCTCACTGTAAGCTCCGCCTCCTGAGTTCACGCCATTCTCCTGCCTCAGCTTCCCGAGTAGCTGGGATTACAGGCGTGTGCCACCACGCCTGACTAATTTTTTGTATTTTTTGTAGAGACGGGGTTTCACCGTGTTAGCCAGGATGGTCTCGATCTCCTGATCTCGTGATCTGCCCGCCTTGGCCTCCCAAAGTGCTGGGATTACAGGCGTGAGCCACCGCACCCGGCCACTTATTTTAGTTTTTCGAGATGGGGTCTATGTTGCCCAGGGTGCTCTTGAACTCCTAGGCTCAAGTGATTCTCCCACTTCAGACTCCTGAGTTTTTTTGTGTATTGGGTCAAGTGATATGAAGTGCTGTACAGTGCCCTGTACAATTTCATCAGCAAGCAATTTCAGCAGACTAAATACTATTATCACACTCAAGAAAACTGACAATAATTCTTTTTTTTTTTTTTTTTTTGAGACAGAGTCTTGCTCGGTCGCCCAGGCTGGAGTGCAGTGGTGTGATCTCGGCTCACTGCAAGCTCTGCCTCCCGGGCTCACACCATTCTCCTGCCTCAGCCTCCCAAGTAGCTGGGACTACAGGCGCCCGCCACCACGCCTAGCTCATTTTTTTTCTATTTTTAGTAGAGACGGTGTTTCACTGTGTTAGCCAGGATGGTCTGGATCTTCTGACCTCGTGATCCACCCGCCTCGGCCTCCCAAAGTGTTGGGATTACAGGCGTAAGCCAACGCACCCGGCCTTTTTTTTTTTTTTTTAGATAAGAGTTTTGCTCTTGCCCAGGCTGGAGTGCAGTTGCGCCATCTCGGCTCACCGCAACCTCCACCTCCCGGGTTCAAGCGATTCTCCTGCCTCAGTCTCCCGAGTAGCTGGAATTACAGGCGTCCGCCAACACATCCCGCTAATTCTGTATTTTCAGTACAGTCAGGGTTACACCGTGTTAGCCAGGATGGTCTCGATCTCTTGACCTTGGAATCCGCCCGCCTCAGCCTCCCAAAGTGCTGGGATTACAGGCATGAGCCACCACCCCTGGCTCCGACAATTATTTATTTATTTATTTATTTTTTGAGATGGAGTCTCGCTCTGTCACCCAGGCTGGAGTGCAGTGGCGCGATCTCGGCTCACTGCAAGCTCTGCCTCCCGGGTTCAAGCCATTCTCCTGCCTCAGCCTCCCAAGTAGCTGGGACTACAGGCGCCCCGCCACCACGCCCGGCTAATTTTTTTGTGTGTATTTTTAGTACAGACGGGGTTTCACCGTGGTCTCCATCTCCTGACCTTGTGATCCGCCCGCCTGGGCCTCCCAAAGTGCTGGGATTACAGGTGTGAGCCACCGCACCCGGCCCTGACAATAATTCTTACTCAAGTTTCTCTTTTTCCCAATGAGAATCCAATTAGAATCCAAAGTAGTGTCATGCATTTATTTGATTGATGTCTCTTAACTGTCTTTTTCTTTTTGAGACAGGGTCTCACTCTGTTGCCCAGGCTTCAGTGCAGTGGCACAATTTTAGCTCACTGCAACCTCAACCTTTTGGGCTCAAGTGATCCTCCCACCTTAGCCTCTTGAATATCTGGGATTACAGGCATGCACCCTAGTGGCAGCTAATTTTTCTATCTTTTGTAGACAGAGGGTTTTGCCATGTTGCCCACATTGGTCTCAAACTCCTGGGCTCAAAAGATCTGTCCCCTTCAGCCTCCCAAAGTTCTAGGATCATTGGCGTGCGCCACTGAACCTGGCCTTAAGTTTTACTAGGTTTCCCTTCCCTTTTTCCTTGCAATTTATTTGTTGAAGAAGCTGGGGTTGTTTTACGGGTTGAGGGTCTGGAGTTTGCTGCTTACATCCCCGTAGTTTCATTTAACATATTCCTCTGTCCAAAGGTTCCTTTAAAAATATTTATTTAGGGCCAGGCAAGGTGCTTCAAGCTGTAATCCCAGCTACTCAAGAGGTTGATGCAGGAGGATCCCTTGAGCCCAGGAGTTCAAGGCTATGATCACACCACTGCACTCCAGTCTGGGCTACAGAGCAAGACCCTGTCTCTAAAAAAAAAAAAAAAAAAAAAAAATAGGCCGGGGGTGGTGGCTCATGCCTGTAATCCTGGCACTTTGGGAGGCTGAGGTGGGCAGATCATGAGGTCAAGAGATCCAGACCATCCTGGCCAAGATGGTGAAACCCCTTCTCTACTAAAGACAAAAATTAGCTGGACATGGTGGTGGGTGCCTGTAGTCCCAGCTACTTGGGAGGCTGACACAGCAGAATCGCTTGAACCCAGGAGGCAGAGGTTGCAATGAGCCGAGATCGCACCACTGCACTCTAGCCTGGCAACAGAGTGAGACTCCGTCTCAAAAAAAAAAAAAAAAAAAAAAATACACTGGGCTCCATGGCTCACGCCTATAATCCCAGAACTTTAGGAGGCCGAGGTGGGTGGATCACCTGAAGTCAGGAGTTTGAAACCAGCCTGACCAACATGGTGAAACCCCGTATCTACTAAAAATACAAAAAGAATTTAGCCAGGCATGGTGGTGCATGCTACTTGGAAGGCTGAGGCAGAATTGCTTGAACCTGGGATGTGGAAGTTGCAGTGAGCCAAGATTGTGCCACTGCACTGCAGCCTGGGCAGCAGAGCCAGACTGTCTATATATATATATATACACACACACATATATTTCTACACACATCCATATATATTAGTACAGGTAGTGAGTGGTTTTGGCAACATTGTGAAGGTGGTGGGTATGAGTTTGGGAAACAGTGTCCCTCATGTGCCAAGGTATATAATCCTTCACATTCACCATGAATGCTTTTTCTTCATTCAAAATATTCAAATCCTCTGTGGAAACAAGGACTGATAAAGTGCGCAGCCTCTCCTTCCACAAACTTCTGAATACAGAGGTTGAGGCACTCTCTGGCTGGTTCCCTCAGGACCTTGAGGACGTCCTCAAGACCTGCATCAGACTGCCTTTGTCATTTCCCTGTTCATTAAGATTTCCATTAGGAGCTGGGCTTCTCAATAAAACACAAATGTAAGCCTGACCCTGTGCTATCTCTTAGCAGCGCTAATAAAAGGATTAGTGCAACAATTTTTTTTTTTTTTTTGAGACAGAGTCTTGCTATGTCGCCCAGGCTGGAGTGCAGTGGCGCAATCTCGGCTCACTGCAAGCTCTGCCTCCCGGGTTCATGCCATTCTCCTGCCTCAGCCTCCCGAGTAGCTGGGACTACAGGTGCCCGCCACCACGCCCGGCTAATTTTTTGTATTTTTAGCAGAGATGGGGTTTCACTGTGTTAGCTAGGATGGTCTCGATCTCCTGACCTTGTGATCCACCCGCCTCAGCCTCCCAAAGTGCTGGGATTACAGGCGTGAGCCACCGCGCCTGGCCACTGCACCAAATTTCTAAAATGCATTTTTAAATATCAGTTTTATTTTTTCCTCATTGATGCAGAAGATAGCTTACTATAACATCAAGTGTTTGAAATAAAATAAGACCACGAAACCATTGTAAAGCAAATAAAACATGCAATCATGACAATATTTTGTCAATAAACCAAGGCCTAGCAATTTAAGAAGCTTAGAAGAGGAATAAGGTATTTTACTTTTGTTTGTTCTGTCCTTGGACTTGATTGATTGATTGATTGATTGAGACGGTTTTGCTCTGGTTGACCAGGCTGGCGTGTAATGGCATGACCTTGGCTCACTGCATCCTCCACCTCCTGGGCTCAAACAATTCTCCTGCCTCAGCCTCCTGAGTAGCTGGGATTACAGGCACGTGCCACTACACCTGGCTAATTTTGTATTTTTTTTAGTAGCGATGGGGTTTCATTATGTCAGTCAGGCTGGTCTCGAACTCCTGACCTCAGGTGATCCACCCACCTTGGCCTCCCAAATTGCTGGAATTGCAGGGGTGAGCCACTGCGCCTCTCCTGTCCTTGGACTTAGGAAAAGTTTTTCTTGTAAGCTGATAGTTGTATTCTTTAAAGGTATAGGGAAGAACAAAGAGGAGTCTAGCCCATTGAGAAAGGGGGCGTTATTGATAAAGGACTAAAGTGTGTTTTTTTTTCCCTGAAATCTGTTTGCTCTGTGGTTGTATGACAGTTAATCACATGCTTATTGCCACCACTTATAAAGGTAGAGGCTGTGCTATATAGTCTCACCTATGTAGTACCCACAACATCATAGACATTATCCACCATGAAAAAACAGAAACAGAATAACAAAGGGGCTCCTGGTTGATGGAACCTCCTACTGAGCCAGGACTGCACCATACTGCAACTTGCACCCATGTCCAACACAGCTTCCAGAGAGTTCTATCAGGTGTTTAAAAGGCACTAAGCAAGAAATGCCCTTCCTCATTTTTTTTTTGTTTTGTTTTTTGAGATGGAGTTTCACTCTTGTTGCCCAGGCTGGAGTGCAGTGGCATGCAATCTCTGCTTACTGCAACCTCCGCCTCCTGCGTTTCAAGCGATTCTCCTGTCTCAGCCTCCTGAGTAGCTGGGGTTACAGAGTGCACACCACCACACCTGGTTATTTTTTTCTATTTTTAGTAGAGATGGGGTTTCACCATGTTGACCAGGCTGGTCTCAAACTCCTGACCTCAGGTGATCCAGCCTCCCAAAGTGCTGGGATTACAAGCATGAGCCACAGCGCCCAGCCTATTTCTCTTCTCTGTGAGGACCTCAGCCCTTGCAAAATATGAGATGACAGGTAAAGGACAGGTTTGTTTTTATTCTGCTCTATTATGTATGTTTCTTTTTTTTTTTTTTGAGACAGTCTCACTGCCGCAGGCTGGAGTGCAGTGGCGCAATCTCAGATCACCGCAACCTCCGGCTTCTAGGTTCAAGTGATCCTCCCGCCTCAGCCTCCCCAGCAGTTTAGTAGAGATGGGGTTTCGCCATGTTGGCCAGGCTGGTCTTGAACTCCGGACCTCAAGTGATCCACCCGCCTCAGACTCCCAATGTGTTGGGATTACAGGCATGAGCCACCGTACCCGGCTAGTATGTATGTTTTTAGAAGATGTGATAATCTTTTCTTTTTTTTGAGATGGAGTCTCTCTCTGTCACCCAGGCTGGAGTGCAGTGGCGTGATCTCGGCTCACTGCAAGCTCCACCTCCTGAGTTCACGCCATTCTCCTGCCTCAGCCTCCCGAGTAGCTGGGACTACAGGCACACGCTACCAAGCCCAGCTAATTTTTTTTTTTTGTATTTTTAGTAGAGACGGAGTTTCACCGTGTTAGCCAGGATGGTCTTTTTTTTTTTTTTTTTTTTTTTTTTTTTTTTTAAGAGAAATGAGGATACTATAGATAAGCACCTATTAAAATTTAAAATGTTCACTTAGGTGTTTTCTTTAGCATGAGGTCTGAAGGGTTTATTAAATAAATACTTAAATGCTTTACTCCAAAGGTTTTAAAATAGTTTAATGAAAAAATAAATATAGTGTATGAATGATCTAAGTATGAGAAATAGCAAGGACAAAATAGCAAATATTTTTGTAGGGGAGAAGGAATCTGAATGTGTATGGAATATTAAGGAGAATAAGAAATTAATTTAACAGGGGCTGTGGCGGGGGGTGGGAGAACATGAGGAAAAATAGCTAATACATGCTGGACTTAATACCGAGGTGATGTGTTGATAGGTGCAGCAAACCACCGAGGCACACGTTTCCCTATGTAACAAACCTGCATATCCTGCACATGGATCCTGGAACTTAAAATTAAAAGAAAAAGAAAAAATTAAACAAAATGGTTACTTTTGGCCAGGCATAGTGGCTCACACCTGTAATCCCAGCACTTTGGGAGCCCGAGTGGGTGGATCACTTGAGGCCAGGAGTTCAAGAGCACCCTGGCCAACATGGCAAAACCATGTCTCTACTAAAAAGGAAATACAAAAAAATTAGCCGGGCGTGGTGGCACATGCCTGTAATCCCAGCTGCTTGGGTGGCTCAGACACGAGAATCACTTGAACCTGGGAGGCAGAGGTTGCAGTGAGCCAAGATGGCACCACTGCACTCCAGACTGGGCAACAGAGTGAGACTCTGTCTCAAAAAACAAAAAGTTACTTTAGTATATTTGGGCTTATTTATTTATTGAGACACGTCACTCTGTCACCCAGGCTGGAGTGCTGTGTCAGGATCTTGGCTCACTGCAACCGCTGCCCTCCAGATTCAAGCAATCCTCCCACCTTAGCCTCCAGAATAGCTGGGACTACAGGTGAACACCTGGCCCAGCTAATCTTTGCATTTTTTTTTTTTTTTGAGACGGAGTCTCGCTCTGTTGCCCAGGCTGGAGTGCAGTGGCGTGATCTCTGCTCACTGCAAGCTCCACCTCCCGGGTTCATGCCATTCTCCTGCCTCAGCCTCCCGAGTAGCTGGGACTACAGGCGCCCACCACCACGCCCGGCTAATTTTTTGTATTTTTAGTAGAGACGGGGTTTCACTGTGTTAGCCAGGATGGTCTCAATCTCCTGACCTCATGATCTACCTGCCTCGGCCTCCCAAAGTGCTGGGATTACAGGCCTGACCCACCGTGCCCGGCCATCTTTGCATCTTTTATAGAGACAGGGTTTCACTGTGTTCCCCAGGCTGGTCTTGAACTCCTGGACTCAAGCTATCTATCTGTCTACCTCTGCCTTCCAAAGTGCTGGGATTACAGGCGTGAGCCACCATGCCCAGCCTGGCTCATTTATAATTGTCTAGTTTCCAGTACCTGAGACCACAGGCGTGTGTCATCTTGCCAGGCTAATTTTTGTATTTTTAGTAGAGACAGGGTTTTACCCTGTTGGTCAGGCTGGTCTTGAACTCCTGACCTCAGGTGATCCGCTGGCCTCAGCCTCCCAATGTGCTGGGATTACAGGCATGAGCTAGAGCGCCCGGCCATATTTCCCACTTTGGTTTGGGCTTCTGAAAAAATAAAGGAAGACAATTCTTTCTGCCTATCCTTACTATGTCGTCCTCTGCAAGCTGTCGCCTCTGTATATAAGTACATCTAACAACACTGTCATGAAAAATCTATACCAGAGATATGATTAATTCCACCCACAACTGATGTATGTTTTCTGATTATATTTCTCAAGCCAAATATCTGCAACAATAACATGTATTGAAAGGTATAGAAATAAACAGATGGATAGACAGAAAAAGACTCAGACTGTCTAAGTAGTGAAGTTTGTGCAGAACTAGAAACAAAAATCCACCTGGGTCAGAGGTATAGGGTTAATTTCTCTTGCTGAGGCTCAGATTTCTCCTTCATGCATGTTTAATGGTCCACCTAAGTTCAACTGGAGGAGCATCTTTCTTCTTTGTTAACCAAACATGCCCAGGTAGAGCTGCTTCTCTTTTCTATGGTAGCTGCTGAGTTCTGACTGTGTCAGCTGGAGGTACCGCCGGACGTTGGCATCTTGGAAGATGATGGAGAAGCAATTAGAAACAGTTAGAGTCAGTTAAGACCATAATCATACCTTGTGGCAGGAGAGAATGTTAACATGCTCCCATTTTAAAATCTCTCCAAGATCTGAATATATCGCAACCATTCTATGCAATAGTAAATCTCATTAATTAATAACATTTGGAATTGAAAAAAAACAATCTCTGTCCCGGCTGCTAATTTTTATTTATTTATTTATTTATTTATTTTATTTATTTACTTACTTTTGAGACAGGGTCTCGCTCTGTCACCCAGGCTAGAGTGCAATAGCATGGGATCTCCACTTACTGCAACCTCCGCCTCCCGGGTTCAAGCAATTCTCATGCCTCAGCCTCCCAAGTAGCTGAGATTACAGGCATGCACCACCATGCTTGGTTAATTTTTGTATTTTTAGTAGAGATGGGGTTTCACCATGTTGGCCAAGCTGGTCTGGAACTCCTGACCTCGTGATCCACCCGCCTTGGCCTCCCAAAGTGCTGGGATTACAGGTGTGAGCCACCATGCCTGGACACTGGTTGCTAATTTCATAATGAAAGCAAGATTGATGAAGCAGTTATCATTAAAATAGAGCCTCTAAAGATACTATTCATATAGGTGGCAGTTAATTTATGTATTGGATGCTGAGAAACATGAACAAATGGCTTATATTTTATATCTTTATTAATTCATAATGGCTTTCTCATTCATTTAGATGAGATTTTACTGCACTGCTATACATTTGGTGACTCTGCTACTAGTATCCAGTGGCTATTGTAAGCCAGAATGCAAAAGGGAGACAATTTTCAGTGCTCAACCAACCAACACAGGAATGAGTCTCTCATCTGCTTCACAATATCCTTTTTGCCTTGGAAACAAAGTAAGTCCCAAATTCTCTCTCAGCAGGACTGCCCTTTTTCTAGGTCATACCTGGGGTTAGCTGAGCTAAAGGATAAAAATGATAGCTAAACCAAAGGCCAGACCCCATTTGGAGAACTGGCAGAATGAAAATTATCAAGTGTATTTGTTGGCATTCACACATCCTATTCCAATCACTGTTTTTTTGTTTTGTTTTGTTTTGTTTTTGAGATGGAGTCTCCCTCTGTCTCCCAGGCTGGAGTGCAGTGGCGCGATCTTGGCTCACTGCAAGCTCTGCCTCTCGGGTTCACACTATTCTCCTGCCTCAGCCTCCCGAGTAGCTGGGATTACAGGCGCCCGCCACCACGCCCGGCTAATTTCTTGTATTTTTACTAGAAACGGGGTTTAATCATGTTAGCCAGGATGGTCTCGAACTCCTGGCCTCACATGATCCGCCCACCTTGGCCTCCCAAAGTGCTGGGATTACAGGCATAAGCCACCATGCCCAGCCTCCAATCACTCTTAAAGACCAGGAACAGAACTTGAAAAACGACACTCGCTTTTTTTTTTTTTGGGATGGAGTCTGGCTCTGTCGCCCAGGCTAGAGTGCGACACAATCTCAGCTCACCGAAACCTCTGCCTCCTGGGTTCAAGCGATTCTCCCTGCATCAGCCTCCTAAGTAGCTGGGATTACAGGGGCCTGCCATCACGCCCAGCTTTTTTTTTTTTTTCCGAGACGGAGCCGCCCTCTGTCCCCTAGGCTGGAATGCACCGGCAGGATCTCAGCTCACTGCAAGCTCCGCCTCCCAAGTTCATGCCATTCTCCTACCTCAGCCTCCTGAGTACCTGGGACTACAGGCCCTCACCACCACGTCCGGCTAATTTTTTGTATTTTTAATAGAGACGGAGTTTCCCCATGTTAGCCAGGATGGTCTCGATCTCCTGACCTCGTAATCCGCCCACCTCGGCCTCCCAAAGTGCTGGGATTACAGGTGTGAGCCACTGCGCCCGGCCACACCCGGCTGATTTTTGTATTTTTATTTTTTTTAGTAGAGATGGGTTCCGCCATGTTGGCCAGGCTGGTCTTGAAATCCTGACCTCAGGTGATCTGCCCGCCTTGGCCTCCCAAAGTGCTGGGATTACAAGTGTAAGCCACCGTACCCAGCCCCAAAAAACAACACTGTTTTTTTTTTTTTTTTTTTTTTTTGAGACAGAATCTCGTTCTTGTTGCCCAGGATCTCGGCTCACCGCAACCTCCGCCTCCTGGGTTCAAGCAATTCTCCTGCCTCAGCCTCCCGAGTAGCTGGGTTTACAGGCATGCGCCACCATGCCTGGCTAATTTTGTATTTTTAGTAGAGATGGGGTTTCTCCATGTTGGTCAGGCTGGTCTCAAACTCCTGACCTCAGGTGATCCACCCACTTTGGTCTCCCAAAGTGCTGAGATAACAGATGTGAGCCACCCCACCTGGCCTGCCTATTTTATATATATATTCATGTATATGTATAAATATATACACTGTATATTTATAAATAAAAGCACGTTGATATACATATATTTATATATTAGAATAGGCATACATACATATATGAAACAGACATACCAACATATATATTGTGTATGTCTGATTAAGCATCAACCCCCTACACATGAAACTAATAATACTGCTTTTCTGTGGAGACAAGAACACAAGAGTGGAAAAAGGTCTGTTCATCGTATACTTTTTCAGTTCGAATTCTCAACCATGTGAATGTATTACTTATTGAAAATAATACATTGGCAAAGTAAAATAAAACCCCCTTTCCACAGATCCACCCCAGCAAGACAATTTTGTCTTTACCATTTCAAAGCCCTTCTTGCTTACCTTTAGGCTGCCTATTCACGGCAGCCAGGAGGTAGTGGCGGGCCTGGTCATAGTCCTGCAGATGGAAAAAGGCCACTCCGGCCCGATACAAGGCCTTGGCATTATCAGGCTGTCGTTCCAGGACTTTCTGACTATATTCTCTCACTCGTTCGTAGTTCACGGGCTCCATCTGAAGGAGACAAGCTAATGGGCCAAATGAAAAGAGAGAAGAGGTAGGAGGGGCTCGTTACACCAGGTTCCACTGGCCAGCTCAAGACAGTACTGAACAGGGTGGTAACAACATTCAGTCAACAAATGCTAAAGTGTCTCCCATATGCCAGACACTCTTCTACACACTGGGGATGCAGCAGTGAATAAAAGCTTCACATATCGGCCAGGTGCAGTGGCTCATGCCTGTAATCCCAGCACTTTGGGAGGCCGAGACGGGTGGATCACCTGAGGTCGGGAGTTCGAGATCAGCCTGACAACATGGAGAAACCCCGTCTCTACTGAAAATAAAAATTAGCCAGGTGTGGTGGCGCATGCCTGTAATCCCAGCTACTCGGGAGGGTGAGGCAAGAGAATCGCTTGGACCTGGGAGACGGAGGTTTCGGTGAGCCGAGATCGTGCCATTGCACTCTAGCCTGGGGAACAAGAGTGAAACTTTGTCTCAAAACAAAACAAAAAATTCATATATCTTGTAATCTACTTCAATATTTACTGATTTTCTGCTACATATTTAGTAGCCAGTTAGGCTTGGCTATAAAGCTGGTAAGAACATACTTTAAAATTTATTTAAAACTCGGCTGAGCATGGTGGCTCATGCTGTAATCCTAGCACTTTGGGAGGCTGAGGTAGGAGATTTGCTTGAGCCCAGGAGTTCAAGACCAGCCTGGGCAACATAGTGAGACCCTCCCCTGTCCCTTTTTTTTGGCAGAGTATTCACTGCAGTGTTATAAGAAGTGTATTCCGAATAACAAATGTATTCTTTTTTTATTATTTTTTTAAGACAGAGTCTCACTCATCAGCTAGGCTGGAGTGCAGTGGCATGATCTTGGCTCACTGCAACCTCCAGGTTCAACCAATTCTTCTGCCTCAGCCTCCCGAGTAGCTGGGATTACCCATGTCCAGCTAATTTTTGTGTTTTCAGTAGAGATGGGGTTTCACCATGTTGGCCAGGCTGTTCTCAAACTCCTGACCTCAAGTGATCTGTCCACCTTGGCCTCCCAAAGTACTGGGATTATAGGCATGAGCCACTATGCCCAGGTGAGACCCTATTTTTTTTTTTGAGATGGAGTCTCGCTCTGTCGCCCAGGCTGGAGTGCAATGGCGCGATCTCAGCTCACGGCAACCTCCGCCTCCTGGGTTCAAGTGATTCTCCTGCCTCAGCTTCCCGAGTAGCTGGGATTACAGGCACACATCACCATGCCCGGCTAATTTTTGTATTTTTGTAGAGATGGGTTTTCGCCATGTTGGCCAGGCTTGTCTTGAACTCCTGACCTCAGGTGATTCGCTGGCCTCAGCCTCCCAATGTACTGGGATTATAGACGTGAACCACCCTGCCCAGCCCCCTCATTATTATTATTATTTTTTGAGATGGAGGTCTCGCTCTGTCGTGCAGGCTGGAGTGCAGTAGCGTGATCTTGGCTCATCGCAACCTCTGCCTCCCAGGTTCAAGTGATTCTTCTGCCTCAGCCTCCTGAGTAACTGGGATTATAGGCGCTCACCACCATGCCTGGCTAATTTTTGTATTTTTAGTACAGACGGGGTTTCACCATGTTGGTCAAGCTGGTCTCGAACTCCTGACCTTGTGATCCACCTGCCTCTGCCTCCCAAAGTGCTGGGATTACAGGCGTGAGTCACTGTGCCCGGCCCCATTAATTTTTTATATAAAATTAGATATGCAGTGAGCCGAGATTGTACCACTGCACTCCAGCCTGGGTTATGGAGCAAGACTCCATCTTAAAAAAAAAAAATTAGATAAATTACAATTTTTTAAAAAACAAACTAACCTTCATTGTATCTCTTCTACCTGAGGCTCTATGTCCTGAATCCCCCATTTCACCACAGTTCTTGTACTGCAGCTTTGTTAATAATGGTTGCCATTAATTGTCAGGAAATGGCAAGCGCTGTGCTATGTGCTTGATATACACTGTCTTGTTTAATCTTCGCATCTACACTATTAAATAGGTGTTACTATCTTCATTTAGTGGATGAAGAAATCAAGACTCAGACAAATAACTTGTCTAAGATCTTACAGGTTCTAGGTGGAATATGAAATTTGAATGAAGTGTTGTCTAACTCCAAAATCATCATTCTCAGTAACAATACAGCATATAACTTCACTATTCTCTTGGATGACTTAATGGGACCTTGAAATACAAACCTGCAGAGGAGTCAATTCAGGCAATTCAGGTCAATGTTCTGCCTTTTTATGATTAAGAAGGGAAACACTCCCTATTTCACAACTGTGGGAATTAAACATAGTATTATTAAATCATGGTGCTGAGAAAGATCAAGAATCAGCAGTGATGAGCACATTAAAGGGCCTGTGCTGATGTCTGTATCCCTTCTACAACATCCCCACCAAGTGGTCAAAAAAAAAAAAAAAAAGTGGAGGAATACAGAAGAAACAAGTAAATGAATTTTTTGTTTGTTTGTTTTTAGACAGAGTCTCCCTCTGTTGCCCAGGCTGGAGTGCACTGGTACGATCTTGGCTGACTGCAACCTCCACATCCCAGGTTCAAGCGATTCTCTTGCCTCAGCTTCCCAAGTAGCTGGGACTACAGGCACCTGCCACCACACCCAGCTAATTTTTAAAATATTTTTAATAGAGATGGAGTTTCACCATATCAGCCAGGATGGTCTCCATCTCCTGACCTCGTGATCTGCCTGTCATGGGCTCCCAAAGGGCTGGGATTACAGGCGTGAGCCACCGCACCTGGCCCAAGTAAATTAATTTTTTTTTTTTTTGAGACGGAGTTTTGCTCTTGTTGCCCAGGCTGGAGTGTGCAATGGCGCGATCTTGGTTCACCACAACCTCCGCCTCCCAGGTTCAAGCAATTCTCCTGCCTCAGCCTCCCTAGTAGATGCGATTACAGGCATGCACCACCACGCCTGGCTAATTTTTTTGTATTTTTAGTGCAGATGGGTTTCTCCATGTTGGTCAGGCTGGTCTTGAACTCCTGACCTCAGGTGATCCGCCCACCTCGGCCTCCCAAAGTGCTGGGATTACAGACATGAGCCACCATGCCCGGCCCAAGTAAATTAATTTTTAAAAGTGCTTTAAGAGGCTGGACGCAGTGGCTCACGCCTGTAATGCCAGCACTTTGGGAGGCTGAGGCAGGCAGATCATGAGGTCAGGAGATCGAGACCATCCTGGCTAACACGGTAAAACCCCGTCTCTACTAAAAATACAAAAAATTAGCCAGGCGTGGTGGCGGGCGCCTGTAGTCCCAGCTACTCGGGAGACTGAGGCAGGGGAATGGTGTGAACCCAGGAGGCAGAGCTTGCAGTGAGCCAGAATTGCGCCACTGACGCCAGCCTGGGCGACAGAGTGAGACTTGGTCTCAAAAAAAAAAAAAAAAAAAAAAAAAGTGCTGACCAGGCGCGGTGGCTCACACCTGTAATCCCAGCACTTTGGGAGGCCAAGGCGGGAGGATCACTAGGTCAGGAGATGGAGACCATCCTGGCTAACAAGGTGAGACCCCGTCTCTACTAAAAATACAAAAAAAAAATTAGCTGGGCGTGGTGGTGGGCGCCTGTAGTCCCAGCTATTCGGGAGGTTGGGGCAGAACGGCATGAACCTGGGAGGCAGAGCTTGCGGTGAGATCACGCCACTGCACTCCAGCCTGGGCGACAGAGCAAGACTCTGTCTCAAAAAAAAAAAAAGTGCTTTAAGAAAAATAAAACTATGTCGGGACAGAGAATGAATGAAGTCAGAGTGCTGTTTGCTTCTGGAAGGCTTTTTGGTGGGAGGAATCGGGGGACAGAGTCTTACTTGCTCTGTCACCCAGGCTGGAGGGCAGTGGCCCAATCTTGGCTCACTGCAGCCCCGGCCTCCCATGCTCAAGACATTGGCCCACCTCAGTTTCCAGAATAGCTGGGACTACCGGCAAGCACAACCATGCCTGGCTAATTTTTGTATTTTTTGTAGAGACCGGGTTGCGCCACATTTCCCAGGCTGGTCTTGAACTCCTCGGCCTACCAAGGTGTTGGGATTACAGTTGTGAGCCACTGCACCAGCTACAGAAGGCTTCTCTAAGGAAGCAACTTTTGAGTCCAAATCTGGATAAGTGTCATTCAAGGGACAGGGCATTCTAGCTGGAAAGACAGCCTACAAAAGTGTGAAGGTGGAAATGTACTTTGGACATTAAGTGTATAAAAGGGCCAGTTTGGGAAGGGCATGGTGGCTCACACCCATAATCCCAGCACTTTGGGAGGCCGAGGTGGGTGGCTCACCTGAGGTCAGGAGCTCGAGACCAGCCTGGCCAACATGGCAAAACCCCGTCTCTACTAAAAATACCAAAATTAGCCAGGCATGGTGGCAGGTGCCTGTGATCCCAGCTACTTGGAAGGCTGAGGCAGGAGAATCGCTTGAACCTGGAAGGCAAAGGTTGCAGTGAGCTGAGATCACGCCACTGCACTCCAGCCTGAGCAACAGAGTGAGACACCGTCTCAAAAAAAAAAATAAATAAATAAAATAAAAAATAAGGCCAGGCGTGGTGGCTCAAGCCTGTAATCCCAGCACTTTGGGAGGCCGAGGTGGGCGGATCACCTGAGGCTGGGAGTTTGAGACCAGTCTGACCAACATGAAGAAATCCCATCTCTACTAAAAATACAAAATTAGCAGGGCATGGTGCCACATGCCTCTAATCCCAGCTACTTGGGAGGCTGAGGAAGGAGAATTGCTTGAACCCGGGAGGCGGAGGTTGCAGTGAGCCAAGATCGTGCCATTGCACTCCAGCCTGGGCAACAAGAGCAAAATTCAGTCTCAAAAAAAATAAAAGAGCTAGTTGGTGCTGGGGCCTCGAGGTGAGTTTGGATTTTCTTCTAAGTGTGATGAGATGCCAATGGGGTGTTTCAGGCAGTGACAGGATCTGATTTCCTTATCTGTAAAATGGTGATAATCCTTGCAGTTTTGTGAAGATGGCAGATATCTGTAAATGACTGCCCAACATGTTATAGGCACTCAATAAATAAAAATTACTGGGCCGGGTGCAGTGGCTCATGCCTGTAATCCCAGCACTTTGCGAGGCCGAGGCGGGCGAATCACCTGAGGTCAGGAATCCAGACTAGCCTGGCTAACATGGTGAAACCCCGTTTCTACTAAAAATACAAAAAATTAGCCAGGCGTGGTGGCACGCGCCTGTATCCCAGCTATTCCAGAGGCTCAGGCAGGAGAATCGCCTGAACCCGGGAGGAGGAGGTTGCAGTGAGCCGAGATCGTGCCATTGCACCCCAGCTTGGGCAACAAGAGCGAAGCTCTTCTCAAAAAAAGAAAAAGGAAAAGAAAAATGAGGAAAAGCTATACGACCCACTGAATATAAGGGATCTAAACTAGCAGCTAAAGAAATGAACGTGTTTCACAAATATTAAATGTCCCTTAAATAAACAATGGCCTGACCTTAAGTATAGTTTTTCCCTATAGCATGCAAAATTACCTAAAGCTATCAACAATACCCAGAAGGCTGTTAGAAATGCAAACTGGGGCTGGGTGCGGTGGCTCACGCATGTAATCCCAGCACCTTGGAAGGTAGAGGCGCGTGGATTACCTGAGGTCAGTAGTTCAAGACCAGCCTGACCAATATTATGAAACCCCGTCTCTACTAAAAATACAAAAATTAGCTGGGCATGGTGGCGCATGCCTGTAATCCCAGCTACTCAGGAAGCTGAGGCAGGAGAATCGCTTGAACTCGGGAGGCAGAGGTTGCGGTGAGCCGAAATCACGCCACTGCACTCCAACCTGGGCAACAAGAGCGAAACTCCGTCTCAAAAAAAAAAAAAAAAAAAAAAATTAGCTGGGCGTGGTGGCTGGCGGGCGCCTGTAATCCCGGCTACTGGGCAGGCTAAGACAGGAGAATTGCTTGAACCCGGGACGGGGAGGCTGCAGTGAGCCCAGACCGCGCCAGTGCACTCCAGCCTGGGAGACAGAGCGAGACTCCATCTCAAAAAAAAATAAAATAAAATAAAATAAAATAAAATAAAATAAAAAAATAAAGAAATGCAAACTGATAGGCCCCACGTCAGACCCATCCGAATCTCTGGGGATGGGGCCGAGGAGGTTGTGTTTTAACAGACTCTCCAGGTGAAGTCTGAGAAGCCCTGCTCTATGGCAACTTAATTACAGCCGCACAGATTGACAGGTTATTCCAATTCATGGCAGAATAAATGGATGACAGTAAAAAAAAAAAAAAGTCAGCGTTTTTTCCCCCAATGTTCACAGATGTTCATGTTCCTGTCTTAATGCTCTCTAGCCACCCTTTAGCCCCGTTCTTACCAGCTAGATTGTTATAGCAGTCTGTCTGGGTGGTATGCAATATGTTTTCTTGTTCAGGCGTGAGGGCCGGGCCCTGAGGTCCGAGATTAGGTAACGGAGAGGGCAGACTCGGATCCAGACCCCGCAGCTGAAGCAGAGCTCGATGGTACCTACTCACAGCATCTCGGTACTTCCCTTCCCGGTAGCGCTGGTTCCCTTCCTCCTTGTACAGCTGAGCCTCCTGCAGACGCTTCTCCATAACTGTCGCCCACGGTTCTTGCGGAACTGGGAAGTGAAGGAGCAAGTGAAGCTCTGGGGTTGGGAGCAAAATAACTGACAGTAGCAGCCAATTTAAGGAGGCAGGAAATTACCCTTCTTCCTGGAGAGTCCCCCCACAGGGACCTGCGGTTTGCTTGTTTCTACTGAAAGCCCCACCTCTCCTTTCTGCAGTCTTTTTCTCAAGAAGTGCAGGCAAGTAGTAAGGAAAGGGATGTGGGAATAATGAAGCCCAACATTAAGTGACTTCCTAAAGAGGCGATGTGGGGGTGGATGAGACTTTCCGAAGAACTCAAGCAAGGCCCTACTCAGGAATTGTTGCGGGCGTGAGAACGCCTGGGACACTGGCTTCCGCCTTTCTATTGGACCCGCCCCCCCCCGACCTGGAAGTAGAAGGGAGTGGGCGGGACTAGTGCTAAAACTCCAGAGGGCTTCAAGCAATTCTAACTCTTCTTCCTTATTCAACATTTATTTGTTGACGTCAATAAATAAACTGGGAAGCCGAGGTGAACCACCAGCGACACTGAGGTGTCCACATAAGCGTCACAGCTGCAAGCCCACCCGGCGCCGTGACCAGTTCCTCGCCCTCTGCAGATGCCCAAACCTGGAAGTCTCCTGGGCTTCGGTTTACCAGCAGGAGCAAGGAGAGGAAAGGGTCAGAGATGCGTACAGTTTGGTATCTTGAGGGTCGCGCGCATTGCGCCACACCACCCAATCAGAAGAGGCTCCGGAAAAATAATCCCGCAGAAACGACCCCGCCTCCTCAGCGGACCAACCTGGGAAAAAAAAAAAAAAAAAATTCCCCTGGCAGCTTCGCCAATTGGAAAAATCCGGACGATCACGGATGACCAATCGGAACGGCAAATGACGATTCAAGTTGTCCAATAAGAGAAAAAGGGCGGGTTCAAGGGCCTCTGTTGCTGGGTAGAAGTTGAGGCGTTGAGGAAAAAGGAGGGCCCGGATTACAGTATTTCTTCGTTCTGGGGAGCCCTTTTGCTTCCTAGCCAGAAAAACAATTGCTACTAGGCTTACATGTTGCAACACATTCTCTAATGACTTTTTTTTTGTCGTTACTGCTGCAAGCACAGACAGTAGGGAAAAGAGGCTAGCGACCCCTAAAACGCCACAGCAAATGGAAGTCAGACGGAAGTAAGGGTGGTGGGAGGGGCATGGCATCGGGGAGCTCCGGGCGGCTGCGCAGAACTCCCCGGCTGGAAGTACTGAAAGACCGGCGCGCACACGCTTCCGTGCTACGAGGCACTTGAGCTGCAGCCAGCCTTGCCCGTCTTGGACTCCACTGCGGCTGCGCGATAAAAGCACCGGCGGCGATTGGCCCGGGGGCGCCAGAGGGCGGGAGGAAGCGGGAGGAACTCCGTCGTCCTCCGCGCGCGCCTGCCCGCGGCTGGGGAACCAAGGGCCTGGAGGGGAAACAGCTCCCTGCTGCGTTGTTTTGGGCTCCGTGAGCCGAAAGGGGGAGGGGAGACGAAGGAGAAGCAAACACTGCGCAGCGGGACCGTGCGCGGCCTCCGCTCCTGCGTGCGTGCGCTCGCTCGCGCGGGCTCAGTGCTGGCGCGTGAGGCGGAGGCGGGCGGCGGCGGCGGCGCCTGCGCGGTCGGACTCGGTCGACGGTTCGCAGGGGAGGAGGCGGCGGGAGGCGGAGGAGGCGGCGGCGGCGATGGAGGTGAAGCGGCTGAAAGTGACCGAGCTGCGGTCGGAGCTGCAGCGGCGGGGCCTGGACTCGCGCGGCCTCAAGGTGGATCTGGCGCAGCGGCTGCAGGAGGCGCTGGACGCCGAGATGCTCGAGGACGAGGCCGGCGGCGGCGGGGCCGGGCCCGGCGGGGCCTGCAAGGCGGAGCCTCGGCCTGTGGCCGCGTCGGGCGGCGGCCCGGGCGGGGACGAGGAGGAGGACGAAGAGGAGGAGGAGGAGGACGAGGAGGCGCTGCTTGAGGACGAGGACGAGGAGCCACCCCCTGCTCAAGCCTTGGGTCAGGCCGCGCAGCCGCCGCCGGAGCCCCCGGAGGCGGCAGCCATGGAGGCCGCGGCCGAGCCAGATGCTTCCGAGAAGCCGGCGGAGGCCACGGCCGGGTCAGGCGGGGTAAATGGTGGCGAAGAGCAGGGCCTCGGCAAGAGGGAGGAAGACGAACCCGAGGAGCGGAGCGGGGACGAGACGCCGGGATCCGAGGTGCCGGGTGACAAGGCCGCCGAGGAACAGGGTGAGGAGCTGGCAGCCGAGCCCGGCTCCAACCTGCCGGCTGCGCCCCTGATCTAGCACCCCGCCCTGCACCGCAGGGTCCGAGTCCTTGTTCTCGCTTGCCTCAAAGTGCCATTTGATGGAACTCCTTTCATTCTCTACCCACCTTTCTGAGGGGTTAGGCCGCCTCTCGTGGCCCTACTCTTTGCAGGAGGAAGGTTCCTGCCTAACTTGGTTCCTTGGTGATAGTGGATGGCAGTGAGTGATTTTGCATGCGAACTACTTGTGAGCTACCTGTGGAACAGTCTCCCACGGTGCTTGTTATATTTTTCTTAGCTGAGAAAGTGCTAAGCAATTGGGGATTACACGGAGAACTAGGCCCACAGTTAGAGGGTCAGGTCTTTGGGCTACCTGACCTAACTTTTTCGCCGTAAAAATGTTAAGCAAAAATCGAAGTCCGTCAAAGTCCGTTCCATTAAAAGCATGTTACCAGAGCTTGAGCCACAGAGAATCTGAAAATCCAACCTTGCTCCTCTTTGAGCTGTAAGGGAGAGCCTCTAGTGTAACAGTGTCGAGTTTAATAGTTAACCAGTGAAGAGAAAAATCTTAATCTAGTTCATTTAGAGTTAGTTAACGTTACTTGGCTAGGGTTTTTATCTTGCTTGGATTATGATTAAATTTTAATTGTCCCACTGAGTCCGTGGATAGGCATATTTGTAGATTTGCTGAACACCTGGTGCTAGTCTTTTACGTTTCAGGTCCCTCGGTTCCTGAATGGTAATGACTGAGGTGCTGTTGGGTCCGTTGAGTAACCTTGTGGAAGAGGTGTGTTGTAGAATCGCCCCAGGGAGTTAGTGACCTTTCTCCTTTCTTTTGAAGTGATTGGATGGTTAGAACTGATCCATAACAGTGTGTGTCCGAGTAGGGAGGATAAGTCTTACTATAAAGTGGGTGGCCTCAGTTCTTTTGTTAGTAATATTTTTAGGCCACTATGGAGAGTCATGGTATAATCGGAACCCATTGTACAACAATCACATGCAACTTGCAGATTGTTTGTCCTGTGTCCCGGAGCAAAAATCCCATTACATAACCTTTGACTTATGTATATCCCAAAGAGCAGATAAAAAAATAATTGAAGGATAGGCTGGGGGTGGTGGCTCACGCCTGTAATCCTGGCACTTTGGGAGGCCAGGCGGGTGGATCACCTGAGGTCAGGAGTTTGAGACCAGCCTGGTCAACATGGTGAAACCCCTGTCTCTAGTAAAAATACAAAATATTAGCCGGGCGTGATGGCGGGTGCCGGTAATCCCAGCTTCTTGGGAGGCTGAGGCGGGAGAATGGCTTGAACCCGGGAGGCGGAGGTTGCGGTGAGCTGAGATCGCGCCACTACACTCCAGCCTGGGCGACAGAACGAGACTCTGTCTCAAAAAAATATATATTGAAGGATAAAAGACTGCTTTAAAGAAATTATTATTAAAAACCTTCCTAGTGTTGCAAAATACAGAAGCCTAGGGAAAAACTCCAAGTTTTTTCCTCTTGCAGAGAAGTTGCTAAATATACAACAACACCTTTCTGCCCCAAATGTGCAGTCTAGATGCGGTATTATTTATGGATCTCTTGTGACTTAGTGGTTTGCTCTTGCAACTTTCAGTAGAAGTCCCTGATAAAAATACAGCTGTGTATAATGCACTTGAGTCCATTTGCCACATGAATAAAGCCATGGATGGCTGTGTATTTCAGTGCAGGAAAGGGAAATAAAAGAAATTGAGGCTTCTCTGTATCATGAAGGTGTGGAAAAGTGTTACAAAATATGTACTAACTGCCTACCTTAAATCTAGATCTGACAAGAGTCAAAATTAAATTAACCTTTGAGGTTTTCTTAGAGACCTAGAGGATATTTTTTATGTCATATTGATGGGGAAATCTGCAAGTTTGACCTGATTTAAGTGGATAAATTTAGAATGCAAAAATTGTCCAATTTTTATCTAGTGCTTGACTGTAATTAGCCCATAATGCCCCTTTTTAAAAAAATTAAATCACAGCCAATGACAGAAAGCTGATCTTTAGAAATAAAATGTTATGTGAATGTAGTGGGAATAACCTGGCTGTTTTGATCAGACAGATTCTCAGATTCCCTGTTAGTGTCTATTAGTTGTGAGCTTATTCTACACTCCAGTATGAAAACTGCTGATTTTCTTTCCCTCGTTTTTGTAGGAGATGACCAGGATAGTGAAAAGTCAAAACCAGCAGGCTCAGATGGTGAGCGGCGGGGGGTAAAGAGACAGCGGGATGAGAAGGATGAACATGGCCGAGCTTACTATGAATTCCGAGAGGAGGCTTACCACAGCCGGTGAGGGAAACAGTCCCTTTCGTTGAAGGGAGTGTCTGCTCTGATTTTGGTATACCTGGTATTGACTGGAGAGACTGGAAGGAGGGTGGATTCAAAATGGAATAGGTTTTTATAGGCATGAGTTTTAGATTGCATCTACCATGGAAACTCCTATTGCCCTTTCTCATTTATTGGAAAAAGCTGTCTGCTGGGATTTGATATTCACTGACAGTTTAAAATGGACATAATGTCATACACACACACCCCTCAAAGAAGAGGGCTTTGTTTACATTGTGTTTCTTTTCTATCTTACATATATAGCTCAAAGTCTCCACTGCCTCCTGAAGAAGAGGCAAAAGATGAGGAGGAGGATCAAACTCTTGTGAACCTGGACACGTGTATGTATAAGGCAGACAGACTGTGGTTTTTAACTAATCTCCTAAAAGTGATTTTGGAGATTAAAACTTCATAGCCTATAAATTCTATGAGACTTTGTATCCACTACAACAACTGGTATACTTATGCTCTGTTGGCGGCTTACAAGTATTGGACATTGGAGTAAACTGATTGCTTCTTTCTTTACAGATACCTCGGATCTGCATTTTCAAGTGAGCAAAGACCGCTATGGAGGGCAGCCACTTTTCTCAGAGAAGTTCCCCACCCTTTGGTCTGGGGCAAGGAGTACTTACGGAGTGACAAAGGGAAAAGTCTGCTTTGAGGCAAAGGTAGCTCATTAAGACCATTCATTCATTCATTCATTTATTACTGGATGCTTACGGTTCTTAGAGGGGGAAAAGAAGATTATTATCTCTTTTTTTTTGAGATGGAGTTTCGCTCTTGTTACCCAGGCTGGAGTCCAGTGGCACCATCTCGGCTCACCACAGCCTCTGCCTCCTGGGTTGAAGCGATTCTCCTGCCTCAGCCTCCCGAGGAGCTGGGATTACAGGCATGCGCCACCACACCTGGCTAATTTTGTATTCTTAGTAGAGATGGGGTTTCTCCATGTTGGTCGGGCTGGTCTTGAACTCCCGACCTCAGGTGATCCGCCCGTCTTGGCCTCCCAAAGTGCTGGGATTACAGGCATGAGCTACCGCACCTGGCTGGGGAAGAAATATTTTTTTAAAAAGACCGTTCATTTATTCATTAAGCTACTACCTATGTATACTGGACTTCTGTCCAATCAGGCTTTTATTAGTGCAGGTAGGTAAAAGCACTGTGCTTTAACAAGAACCTTAGTTTCAGTAACCAAGAAATTGATCCCTGTGGCTTTAAGTTCAGTGATTGTTATTCTGATGTTGAGTTGAGGTAAATGTCGTTTTCAGTTTGTATAAAAATCTTGTCCTTCGAACTCAGAGTTTGCTACTCAGTTGGTCACAATATCTAATAGTTCCCTTTCTGACTTGGCCAGGTAACCCAGAATCTCCCAATGAAAGAAGGCTGCACAGAGGTCTCTCTCCTTCGAGTTGGGTGGTCTGTTGATTTTTCCCGTCCACAGCTTGGTAAAGTTATTTCTTTAAGTTCCTCATTAGTGTTTACTACCATATTGCTTACTCTATGGGAAGTCCGGTTGTAGGTAACTAATTTGTTGACTGTTCTAGGTGAAGATGAATTCTCTTACGGTTTCGATGGACGAGGACTCAAGGCAGAAAATGGACAATTTGAGGAATTTGGCCAGACTTTTGGGGAGAATGATGTTATTGGCTGCTTTGCTGTAAGTGCTCCTGAAAGTTGTGGGTTATAACAAGGAGCGGATAGAGGGCACTGGGAATTCACTTGTGCTTCCCATCAACTGCTGGCTTTTATGCATGTGATGTGTGTGGCTCGCTTAGTTACTTTGTGCAGCAGTCTGTGTGAAAAAAGAATAAATTGTAAAGTTTAATCAACCCAAAGCCTCGTCAGCCAATAAGTGCTCTTGTCCCTTGTCATTGTAGAATTTTGAGACTGAAGAAGTAGAACTTTCCTTCTCCAAGAATGGAGAAGACCTAGGTGTGGCATTCTGGATCAGCAAGGATTCCCTGGCAGACCGGGCCCTTCTACCCCATGTCCTCTGCAAAAATTGTGTTGTAGAATTAAACTTCGGTCAGAAGGAGGAGCCCTTCTTCCCACCACCAGAAGAGTTTGTGTTCATTCATGCTGTGCCTGTTGAGGAGCGTGTACGCACTGCAGTCCCTCCCAAGACCATAGAGGAATGTGAGGTATGCCAAACAGTATACGAACACTGAGGTTGTATGCTTTGCAGAGGTGGGTGCGTATGCTCTCCAGGGTCTCAGAGCGTTACCAAACAGGAATGGGAGGATGTTCTTAAATTGGTTTTGATAAACATGACCCTCATTTATTTTTCATTATATTTCTGGTTCTGTTTTTTGCAGGTGATTCTGATGGTGGGACTACCCGGATCTGGAAAGACCCAGTGGGCACTGAAATATGCAAAAGAAAACCCTGAGAAAAGATACAATGTCCTGGGAGCTGAGACTGTGCTCAATCAAATGAGGGTAAGTTGCTGTTGGGGATTTGTCGGATACAGTATTTGGAGACTCTTATAACCTATCTTTAATGGAGAATTAGTCTCAAGTGTCTGAGAACAAGGGTCCCAGAAATAGAGAAATGAGATTTTTCTCTATGCGTTTTAGGTGGATTGATTTTTTTTTTCTTTGCTGTGTTGTCAAATTTCTGAAAGCAGATGAGATCTGAAATACATCCAGGTTAAGACTAGATAGAAATGACTACTGCAGGAAATGGACAACATTCACAGCACTGAAGAATGGGAATAGAGTGATATCATAGATTCAGTATTTGAAGAGGTGACATTTACCAATAACTCTTGGGCTTTAACTTGCAATATAACTTGTGTTTTGTTTTTTTTTTTCACTTCCTCTCAAACTAATCAGATGAAGGGTCTCGAGGAGCCAGAGATGGACCCCAAAAGCCGAGACCTTTTAGTTCAGCAAGCCTCCCAGTGCCTTAGTAAGCTGGTCCAGATTGCTTCCCGGACAAAGAGGAACTTTATTCTTGATCAGGTATTAATCTGATAAAATTGCCTAGAGTCAAGGTGGGATGTGTATATAAAGAGAGACTGAATTAAGGAGCAGAGTCAGCTTACCTAATTATGACCATCTGGTTGTGTGTTATGGTTGCAATGTTTTTTGAACTCAGAGGTACCCCTAATTAGTGTTTTTACTTGAAAATATATGGACCCAGGCTATAAAACATGTAATAAAGACAATGGAAAGAGTTGGAACTCATTTGAATTCCTGGCTCCACCACATTCTGGTTTGTGATCTTGGATAAGTCCCTTATCCTTTCTGAACCTCAGTTTCCCTGATGAGCAAAACAGGATAATACCTGTCATGTAGTTTGAAAAGTTAAAGAAGATCATGTGTATTGACCCTTTATCTCGTGTCTAAGTTGTCAAAGATACTGAGTCTTTTTTTTTTTTTTTTTTTTTTTTGAGACCGAGTCTCGCTCTGTCGCCCAGGCTGGAGTGCAGTGGCGCTATCTCGGCTCACTGCAAGCTCAGCCTCGTAGGTTCATGCTATTTTCCTGCCTCAGCCTCCCGAGTAGCTGGGACTACAGGTGCCCGCCACCATGCCTGGCTAATTTTTTGTATTTTTAGTAGAGACAGGGTTTCATCGTGTTAGCCAGGATGCTCTTGATCTCCTGACCTCATGATCTACCTGCCTCAGCCTCCCAAAGTGCTGGGATAACAGGATTATAGGCGTGAGCTGTCACGCCCGGCCTTTTTTTTTTTTTTTTTTTTTTTTTTTTGAGATGGAATCTTGCTCAGCCGCCACCCAGGCTGGAGTACAGTGGCGTGATCTCAGCCCACTGCAACCACCATCTCCTGGGTTCAAGCGATTCTTCCGTCTCAGCCTCCCAAATAGCTGGGATTACAGCACCCACCATCATGCCGAGTTAATTTTTGTATTTTAGTATAGATGAGGTTTCACCATGTTGGCCAGGCTGGTCTTGAACTCCTGACCTGAGATGATCTGCCCACCTCGGCCTCCCAAAGTGCTAGGATTACAGGCGTGAGCCACCGTGCCCAGCTGATACTGATTCTTTTGGTTAAATCTGAGTGATAATTTTCTTCCTAAACATCAGTTATTCCTCCTGTTCTTAGTGTAATGTGTACAATTCTGGCCAACGGCGGAAGCTATTGCTGTTCAAGACCTTCTCTCGGAAAGTGGTGGTGGTTGTCCCTAATGAGGAAGATTGGAAGAAGAGGCTGGAGTTGAGGAAGGAAGTAGAGGGAGATGATGTGCCTGAATCTATAATGCTGGAGATGAAAGGTGGGTGTCTTAGTCCATTTTCTGCTGCTATAACAGAATACCATAGACTTCATAATTTGTAAGTAATAGAGGTTTATTTCCCTCATTCTGGAGGCTAGGAAGTCCAAGAGCATAGCATTAGCATCTGGTGAGGTCCTTCTTGCTGCATCATTCCATGTCAGGAGGGCAAAAGGCAAGAGGGCACATGTGAGAGAACTTGCTTTTATAACAAAGCCACTTTCACAATAATGGCATTAATCTATTCATGAGGATGGAATCCTCATGACCAAATCACATTAAAAGTCCCACCCTCTCAATACTGCTCATTGGGGATTAAGTATTCAACACTTGTACTTTGGTGGGACATAACTCAAACCATAGCAGTGGGCTAAAATTGTACAAGTTAAAGAGATCTTATCCCTGGTCAGTGCACACCTTATTGAGGTCTCTTAGCAACTGGAGTGACACTCTACATCTAAAATGTAAATCTGAAGAGGAACTTAATGGTCGTGAGCACTTGTAGATAAATGAATGAACAGAGAGAAGCAATAATTTTGACTCATTGTTTTCTTGGTTTGTTTTGGTTTGGTTTTGAGACAGAGTCTCACCCTGTTGCCCAGCCTGGAGTGCAGTGGTGTGATCTCAGCTCACTGCAACGTCCACCTCCTGGGTTCAAGTGATCCTCTTGCTTCAGCCTCCCAAGTAGCTGAGATTACAAGCATGTGCCACCATGCCTAGCTAATTTTTGTATTTTTAGTAGAGATGGGGTTTCGCCATATTGCCCAGGCTGGTCTTGGAACTCCTGACTTCAGGTGATTTGCCCGCCTTGGTCTCCTAAAGTGCTTAGATTATAGGCATACGCCGCTGTGCCTAGCCGCCTTGGCTCGTTTTGAAAAAGATACAGAAAGGGAAATAGTGAGCCAGGCGCGGTGGCTGACGCCTGTAATCCCAGCACTTTGGGAGGTTGAGGTGGGTGGATTACAAGGTCAGGAGCTCACAACCAGCCTGGCCAAGATGGTGAAACCCTGTCTCTACTAAAAATACAAAAAAAATTAGTCGGGCATGGTGGTGGGCGCTTGTAATCACAGCTACTCGGGAGGCTGAGGCAGAGAATTGCTTGAACCTAGGTGGCAGAGTTTGCGGTGAGCTGGGATTGTGCCACTGCACTCCAGCCTGGACAACAGAGTGAGAAGACTCGGTCTCAAAAAAAAAAAAGTGACCGTAGGGTAATTTAAACTCAAAGGATCAAGGGAGAGGCTTCTGTGAATCAGTTATTTGTTAAGTAAATATTTCTGGTACATCTACTGTTTGTCTACATTTCTTATTCTGCTTTTTTTTTTTTTTTTTTTAAAGACAGAGTCTTGCCCTTGTCGCCCAGGTTGGAGTACAGTGGCGCGATCTCGGCTCACTGCAACCTCCGCCTCCCGGGTTCAAGCGATTCTCCTGCCTCAGCCTCTTGAGTAGCTGGGATTACAGGTGCCCGCCCAGCTAATTTTTGTACTTTTAGTAGAGACAGGGTTTCGCCATGTTGGTCAGGCTGGTCTCGAACTCCTGACCTCAGGTGATCTGCCCGCCTCGGCCTCCCAAAGTGCTGGGATTACAGGTGTGTGCCACTGCGCCTGGCCGCAGGGAGAGATTATTATGGTTCAGATTAAAATATGGCAGTTGGAGTGAATGATCTCATTGGTATAACTTGATTTCTGGTATCACGTTATGTTTGTGTTTTGTTTGTTAATTTGGCTGAAGTCTGTAATGCAATACATAAGACAGAGAGTAATGTCTACATAAGAAATATTAATATTTTGATTGATCCTCCTATTCCCTTAAAACGTGATTTTTTTTCCCATTGCTGCCTTTAGTTCCTGACATCCCACCGAGTCTAGCAACTGCTTGCTCTTCAAATACTGATAATCCCCAGGCATGGGAACTGGTTTGCATATCTATGAGCCAGATCCTCAGAGTTTACTGAGAATGAACTATGCCAGTCCATAACTCTTACTTAGGCACTCAGAGAAATGTAGCTCAGTTTTATAAAATTGAGGGCCAACTGGATTCATCTAAGAATCATGAGAGCCCCATTGAACTGAATTTCCACTGGGACTCAGCTTCTGAAGTTGACGTCCAGAGACTGGCAGATGTGCTGGCCTATCACGGACAGGTGGTAAATGAGAGCCCTTGTACTCTTGTCTTCTCTTCTCCTTGTATAGATGAGCAGATGCCTTTAGGCTTGGGTCAGTTTCTCATTGAGTCTCTCTTCTGTCAGCGAGGCCAGAGTGCAGTGGCACTCAGCCTCCCGAGTAGCTGGGATAACAGGCACCTGCCACCATGCCTGGCTAATTGTTGTATTTTTAGTAGAGACAGGGTTTCACCATGTTGGCCAGGCTGGTCTCGAACTCCTGACCTCAAGCAGTCCGCCTGCCTTGGCCTCCCAAAATGCTGGGATTACAGGCGTGAGCCACCATGCCCGGCCATCTCTGAGTCTCTTTTTAAAATGTTATTTCTTAGCATCTTATCTGACCAACACCAGAACTTTCTCAGTTACTTTTAGCCTCTGGTTACCTGCTTCTGTCCTGATGAGAAACTTTAACCCAGTTCACTCCTAATTTATTATAGATCACTTAAGAACTTGTAAATCTACATAGCCCTTTGCCTGGGTCTGTTACAATTTAGGGAAAACTTAGAGTAGAAAAAGTTAATGTCATTATTTAGATGCGAGTGGGTATAAACGTAGCACATTTTTGTGCAGTAATAGATGAGGCATAGAAAGTCATATGCTTCTTGTAGAGTTTTCATAATGAGTTCTTACCCATCTATGCACTTTTCAGGCCCACAAGCTTCTCTCTTACTCTTATAGCCAACTTCTCTTTGCCTGAAAAATGCGACTATATGGATGAGGTGACATATGGGGAGCTGGAGAAGGAGGAAGCTCAGCCCATTGTCACTAAGTACAAGGAGGAGGCAAGGAAGCTTCTGCCCCCCTCCGAGAAGCGGACAAATCGCCGAAACAACCGAAACAAGCGTAACCGGCAGAACCGAAGCCGGGGCCAAGGCTATGGTGAGTCTTGGGGACCTGCCAGCCCCCTACTTCAGTCCATTCTTTGTGCTTAGTACAGCAAGATGTGCAAGGGAAGGCCAAGGAAACCAAGTCAGGTCATTAACAATACGGAAGTGCCTTCTTCATGGAGCTTATTTCTTCCTGTGTTCTTTATCCCTGCCTTTTTCTTGTGCTTTTTCCATAATTCTTCAACAACAACAAAAATCCTCTTTTTTAAAAAAGAGTTACTTTTCACAAAAGTATTTGTTTCTTTGAAAAGCAATGCTTGGGCTTTCTCATCTATCTAGTTTTCATTTTAACATATGGGTTCCCAGTGTCACTGTTCCTGTCTTATCTGAAGGATTTGTGCAGTGAAATCAAATTCTCATCTTCAGTTTTCTTGCTTCTGTGTCATTTCGATTAACAAGAAAGCGAATGCTTTATTCAGTGTTTTTTGTGGGGGGAAGAACTTAACCAAGCAAGTTAGGCTATTAGTAGAATTAATTTTCCCCCTGAATGTCTAGTTTGTCAGTTAAAACCCCAGTGTGCATTCACTGCTCTTTAAAAATGTGTGTGTATGTGTGTGTGTAACTGTTAAGTCAGCAGAATTTCCGAGTGCCTGCTATGTGCTAGGTACTGTAAATGCTGACAGTTCCCGCCCTTGAGGAGCTGATTACAGAGACTTTGTTTCTTTTGCATAAAATGATAGGTATGGGTTATACGATATCTGAAATCCCTTCCAGGGCTGAAAGTCTGATTCTATGAATGGCAGTTTTTCCTTATGTTTCTAACTCTGCCATGTATCCTTTTGCCATCTTAAATGTTTTGCAGGAATTGGGGAGCTTCAAAAACAAAGTGGCTTGGTTTTCTTGTGTCTCTGTTCCTCTGCCCTCCCCCCTCAGACTTTTTAAAAGTTCCTGGCTGGTGCTTTAATTAACATGTGTGAGCCTGGCCGAAGCAGGCCTCATATTCCCCCAGAATTGCCTTTGGCTCCAAGTTTTTGATTTCCACCCAGATGTGGAGCCAGGACCCCATGCCAGCTGTCTGAGCGCGCTCTCCATTTCTCTTCCAGTGGGCGGGCAGCGCCGAGGCTACGACAACCGGGCCTACGGGCAGCAGTACTGGGGGCAGCCTGGAAACAGAGGGGTGAGTGCAGCTCTCCTTCTGCTCCTCACTCTGGGCTGTGAGAGCCATTCTGTTGGCTTGGGGGAGCAGAGTGGTTTGCCTGTTTTCTTAGGGCTTAGGGTTTTGCCCATTTAATATGTTCTGGAAGATTTACTATGGGAAAATTAAACCAATTTATAATATCGAGCTAAGATGTGTCGCATTTAAAAGGGGGTCACGGTGGGTCATGCTGCCAAAAACCCATAAACCTTCACTCCTTTTTCTTTTCCTTTCTCAGGGTTACCGTAATTTCTATGATCGATACAGGGGAGACTATGATCGATTTTACGGGCGAGATTATGAGTACAACAGATACAGAGACTATTACAGACAATACAATCGGGATGTGAGTATCTTCTTGGGATAGACACAGGGTGAAGGGGGGCAGGAGCAGAAGGATGAGTGTTATGCCTCTTCATCCTCAGCCAGCTCTGGCTCCAAGTGATGGGGTTTCCCTCTCTTCTAGTGGCAGAGTTACTACTACCACCACCCCCAGGACAGAGACCGATACTACAGGAATTACTACGGGTACCAAGGGTATCGGTGAAGCCCCTGCCATGGTCACCTGTCAGCCATGAAGCTGAATCTCTGGGGGTGCCAGGCACCCCCGCAAAACACAACCAAGGAAAACAGGGGCTGTCGGGGTGGGGCTGAGCTGCCGGGGAGGGGTGGTGGGGGGGGAGGGTGCTCAAGCAGGGGTGGGGGAGGGGGGAGGTGGAAACAAACAACAAAACTGTACATTTTTTTTAAAGTTTGTTGAAAAGAATATTGTCTTATTCTATAAAACATTTCAAACCTAGTTAGAGATTTGTAATCAAAAAACATTTGCGCAGAAAGCAGCACTTAGGGCTGCCTGTTCTATACCCTACAGTCAGACAGGAAAAGAACTGAAAATGGCACCCTTCTGACATTCTGAGGCAGCTGGACTGGCAGCCAAGTAAAGGAGAGTGATGAGGTGGTGTGGGGAGGGTGGGGAGGCAGCGCGAGGGTGCTCTCCACAGCAGGTAGGAGCAGGCAGGAGTGGGGACAGAGGGAGAGCTTGTGACTGGGACAGTGAAAATAAACGATTGGCTCTTATCAATCACTTGCACCAACTAACCGTTTGTATTTTCTTTACCGACCTTTCCCTTTTGGGATATGTGGTCTGGTGGGCTGGGAGGCTTACAGTGTCCCAACTCTCCATTTTCCTGTGCCTTTGTGCTGTTTGGCTGAGGCATGGAGACTGCCAGTGGGTGGTTCTATTTTACAGGATTCCCAGGCCAAGAAAGCCTGGGGACTGTCCTTGATGGCAGAGCAGAATAGCCTGCCCCTTCTATAGACCCATTGATTAATTCCTGTAAAATCTTGGGGAGAATGGGATTGCAGCCCTCAGCCTAAAGATTGTGATTTGCCAGTCTCTAGTCTCTGTCTTCCAAGGTTGAGAGAGGTGGGAGGTCTCTGAAATCATCCCTGTTAGAGTGTCTGTCCTCTTACAGTGCGAGAGAAGGAACGTTTCTCAGGGTTTCAGCTCACACGAAAACACAGCAGGATTCTTTTCACTGCAGCGGGATATGTATATAGGTGAATCCTGTGGTGTGGGCTCACAGGCCCAGGTGCTGAGAATAGCAACTAGCAACTATTTTCTACAGTGTGGAGGGCTCGTGCCCTGCTGGTTTTTTTGATACACAGGTAGAGAATGAATAGAAGAGGGGAGGGTGGTGGGGGGGGGTGGGAGGCAGCTCAGTGGGGCTGCTGAACCTTGGGAAGAGTGTGAGTGTGAACGTGTGTAAATGTGCGTGTGAAAGGGAGCACCCCTTCCCGACTTCTAGAAACAAAATTCCTTTTGGGGCGCTTTCCCTGTGTGTCCCCAGAGAGGCCTCTAGCCAGGAGCCTTCAGTTGGGATAGTTTCATTTGTGACTTTACCAATACCCTCCCAGTTCTTGATAGACAGCTGTAGGTTGCTGGGTTCAAGAATATGGGTGGGATATGGAATGCTCTTTCAATGTCTAGCTTCAGTTTTCATTCATCCTCCTGCTCAGCACTGTCAGCCAAGAGCTTACTCAGCAGACACCACATACTGCAGCAGTTCCTAGTGAGAAAATCTGTGCCACTAGAAAATGCTTCACTTCCATTTCCTCACCTGGGCAGTTCTCTGTTTAAAATTGTGGGCTGATTTGGTCTTCCTCTCCTCCTCCCACTGTTACTGCCCTGCAGCCCTTGTTCAGGTGTACAGACCCTTATTCTGGCCTCTAGTGTCCTTGTCTGTCATGACACACCCTTCCGCCCAAATACCTCTGACCCCAAGGCTGGAATGGGGCTGGTAGGAGATAAGTTTGCTTACTCATAGTCATGTCCTTTCTCTTGGCACCTGCTTCCCTGCGGTGTCCTCAAATGGATTTCTGTGTGGCAGTGGAGTGATTGCATGAATTTTTCTGTAACACATTAACTTTGTATTATTATTAAGGGAGTTTGAGAAAGCTTTGCTTATAATGTCAAGGCAAGGAGGTAAAAACTGGAGCCCAAAGAAATTCCCTTAGGGCAAGATTATGTTATAATAGAAAATTGAATTTCCTGAGGCAGTGGCTGCCACCCCTTTTCAGATGTTTAGTCCTGCAAATAGCATCTTTCTTGTAGTCTGTGACATGGATGGGGATGCTAGGGCCCTTAGGGGCAAGGGGACTAAACTAAATCAAGTTGAGTTTTTTTCCAGCAGGGGTTAGGGGAGGTACTCGCTGTTGATATTTGACACTAGAAAGTAATCTTTTTTACAAAACTGTTTTTCTAGGTGGGTGGAAAGTGAAACTGCCACATCCTTGTTGGTTTAGTCCAAGAGATCATTTGCAACAACAGTAGATGTCCGGGTTTTGTTTCTGTCTTTTTATTATGAAAAACTATGTTAAGGGGGAAAATGTGGATTATGGTAACCAGAGGAATCCCTAGCCTTGTTTTCCTTAGAAGACTTGTTTAGTGTTTTATCAGACGTCTGTTGTAGTTGTAGACAGGAAAGCTTGTGAGAAAAACACCACATGGAGCCTGTAAATGTTTTTGCACAACCTGTAAAGCATTCTTGGAAGTGGCCAGTAAAAAGGGGTTTTACCATTTAAAAAAAAAATGTAACTGTGTCATTGTTTACATCTGTAACTTTTTCCTCCCCTGTTCTCATTACACCATTCTGGCGAAAATGTAGGCAAAGTAGCTTCCAGTTTTAGAATAAATAACCATTTGGATTGAATTCACCCTATCTCCTGTGGCTGCACTGACTGGGGCGGAGGGTGTCACTGGGTTATTTATTCATTTTTTAATGCCTCTTTCTCAGGTCGCATGGGCTCCAACCAAGGAGGACTCTCCTCTTGCATGGTGGCTGCCGTTCCCTCCCTATTCTACCATGCCTTCACTTGGGAGCCAGCCATGCAGTCAGTTGACATGGGTGGGTAGTTATTAGTCTATTTAGTGCTTGCTTAGGCCAAGAGTCGAGCCATTGAAGTATAGGAAAATAAATTATAACTCACGACCTCTGTATTTGGCCTATGCAAAAACTAGTTGGATGCTTGAAGTTAAATGTACATTGTGGAGCCAAATAAGTATATTCATGAATAATTACTGCTAGGGGGAAAGCCCACTCATTCAACAGAAGTTTGATGGGGGTTATTTTCCAGTGAATCTGGAGAACGAGACGGTAAATTAAATTTACAACAGCGCCATTGCTTTTTTATTTTTTATTTTTATTTTTATTTTTTTTTTTTGACAGAGCCTCGCTCTGTTACCCAGGCTGGAGTGCAGTGGCACGCTCTCGGCTCACTGCAACTTCCGCCTCCTGGGTTCGAGCGATTTTTCTGCTTCAGCCTCCCGAGTAGCTGGGACTACACATGTGTGCCACCAGGCCCAGCTAATTTTTTTTTTTTTTTTTTCCTAGTAGAGACAGGGTTTCACCATATTGGCCAGGCTGGTCTTGAACTCCTGACCTCGTGATCTGCCTGCCTCAGCCTCCCAAAGTGCTGGGATTACAGGTGTGAGCCTCCGCTCCCAGCCACCATTGCATTATTAGCACTGAAATGATCCTAACGGCAGTTTCTAATAAATGGTCAGGGTCTTAAAGCTGAGATACCACAGGCTCATGACATCCAGTGTTCTGAAGGAGTAGTAGTATTGATGTAGATACTGCTCTAATTCCTACCCTCTGTATGTGACACGGATTCAGATACCCGGGTTTACAGTTTTGTACCCTGAAGGCCACCCTTAATTTTGGTAGCCATCTATTCTTTAGGACATTTAAGTTGCTGTTAGAGCTAATTAATCATTTTTTAAAGTGGTTAATCATAGCTCATGCCTGGTCTCTAGTTACTGCTTAAACCCCATTTTCCCACCTAGCGCTGTAGCCACGCAGTTATAATCTGATGGGTAGGAACATTGAGTGTGCAGAAAAATTGAAGAGAGGCGCTTTGTTTTGTTTCGTTTTGTTTTGAGACGGAGTTTCGCTCTTGTTGCCCAGGCTGGAGTGCAGTGGCACAATCTCGGCTCACCGCAACCTCTGCCTCCCGGGTTCAAGTGATTCTCCTACCTCAGCCTCCCAAGTAGCTGGGATTACAGGTACCCGCCACCACACCGGCTAATTTTTGTATTTTTAGTAGAGACAGTTTTCACCGGGTTGGCCAGGCTGGTCTCGAACTCCTGACCTCAGATGATCCGCCCGCCTCGGCCTCCCAAAGTGCTGGGATTACAGGCATGAGCCACCACGCCCGGCCGGCCAAAAAGAGGCTTTCTTAAAAATCAAGGTTACATTTATTAAACACTCTAATTTTTTTTTTTTTTATTTAACCATGTCTGAGCTGTTGTGGAAAATTTCACTTACTCCCCTGGAACTTGCCCAACACCGTGATACAGTGGGGGTGAGGGAGGCAAGGTGCTTGGTCCCTGCCATGCCACATTTGCCATTTAAGCATGTACAGTACAATCTATTCATTGGGTATTTGGGTGCCTGATATGTGCCATTATCAGGATACAGGGATTAAAACGGACCTGACCTGATTGATCCTTCCTGGAATTTTCACCGTGCCAAGAAGGAACTGAGGCTCCTCCGCAACAGAATGGGGGTAGGGTCCCACTCCAGGAGGGCAAACTTCTCCCGTTTCTTCATCTCTAGGATGAGGGAATTAATTAGAAGATCTCCAGGACTTCTTAGAGCTCAGAAGTTCCATCAACAGTAAAAAGTTGCTTGGGACACCTTAAGGTGACCCAAGTTCACTGGGTGTCCCTGGAATTCATGAAGATATCCTTAGGAGGCTAAGTTCAGTTGCTGGTGATAACAACCTTTCTTCCTTTGGTTTCCTTTATCCACTTTGCTGTCTTCTGTGCAAAGATACCTGGAAGCTGGAGGTAATGAGCTGTCCCTACTATTTCAAAGCAGCCTCCCTTCCCGAAGTATATCCAGGCACAAAACAGGAGCCAGCCTAGGCTTTTCCTGGGGAGGATGCGTCCCTGAGTTTAGGGGACCTCTAGCAGGAGCACACGTACTGGGATTGTTACGTTCTTTGTCTTGTCCCTGGTCCCATCTCGCCTCTGTGCACCCTTGGAAGGAAAAGATTCTAGGAGGCATTCTGGTGTTCGTAAACCTCCGCCATGTTTGAGTCCTGGAGATGACCATGACATGTTAAGCCTTAAGTTTGGTCCCTGCCCAGACAGCATGCTGGACTTTTGCAAGGCACATTAGGGGTGCGGCCACTGCTTTCTGGCTGCTGTGGCTGAATCGGCCTGAGGGGAAAATGAAAGCAAAAACAAGCCCCAGTTCTACTAGGAAACCCAAACTGAGCAACTTCAGGCTTATCCAGCTCCTGGGAAGACCAGGAAGCAACTGAGGAGCGGTGCACCGAGACGGACAGGGTCGGGGGTTAACCCCCTGCCGCTAATATTTCCGCTCCAAAGGGAGCCTCTCCTTTCTTGGCAAAATGTAGAAACCTAGATTCCCTCGCAAGATCCACGCGACCAGCGTCGGCCACGCTGTACTTCCTGGGGTCCCCTTGTTTAGTGATTCTTCGTTATGGCCGCCCGTGTGCCTTCGACTCAATCGGGAGGACACCGAAATCCAGATTTCGGGGTTGCAGGGCGCGGGCCCCGGCTTGGTTAGGGCAGGGGCAGCCATTTTGAGACCAGAAGAGGGCGGAAGGGACCATATTGAGAACGCCGGTTGCCTGGGGGCCGCCATTTTAAGAGAAGCCCTGTACGGTAAACTCCGTGACGTGGGGGCTGCCATGTTGGTACGGCCATCTTGGAATGGGAGTGGCTGTGGGCGCAGCCATCTTAGGTATAAAATCGGCTCCAGTCGCGGTAACTGAAGCCAAGCTCCGCCCCTACCCTCCTAAGAGTTCCTCTGCTGTACGACTGCACTCCCGCACCCTCCCCTAAATCCCCCCTCTTCGGCCTGTTTACCTTTTAACTTGGCTTCGTTGCACGTTTGTGTGTGTGTGTTTGCTCTTCGCAGCCTCTTGAGCGTCTTTTGTACTTAATTCTTACACTGTGGACGCTCTCTCGCGCCCGCCATCCCCCGACCCCTCTGATCTCCGATCCTTGACGATGTCTAGCCTGCATTGATTGGCCCTTTTCCCTGGGTATGGCAGATCTATTGCTTGATGATCCTCTCCCCCCAAGAATTCTAACACAGGAGCTGTCCTGAGGCTCTGGATGACTTTATTCTTCAAATGGCTTTACCCTCCCAGTAGCTCCAGGTGAGACTGAGAGCAAGAACCTGGCCCATCCCTCTCCATTGTCTGAGCAGGTCACCGAGGGAAGCGGGCAGGACGCGCTGGCAGAGTCTGACGGGGCCCTGCTGTGGGTGGAGCAAAGGGTGCCTCATATCTCTGGGGTGCTTGGGGTCGGCCACAAAGGTGGTAGGAAATGGGGTCGACAGATAGGTGAGGGTGGGCCTTGTGCTTCAGATAACCTCACATGGTCAGGCAAGGGTTAGGGATGGGATGCAAGGAGCCTAAGGGGCTCACAACAATTACTGACCTAAGGAAGGGCCCAGGAGAGGGAAAAGGGAGGAGTTGTGAGAAGGGACAGGGGAGCTCAGAGGAGAGCACAGAAGAACTTCTTCTCCCGGAAGGGGTTCTCCGAAGTGGGCACAGGGGTGATGAGGGGATCCTCACAGGCGTGGGCATCACAGTAAGTCATCAGGTCTGCTGCTGCCTTGGACACCTGGGACACAGCCAGGAAGGGTATTGTTAGCCAGGACCTCTGAAGGGGACTGCAGCCTCCCTCCCCAAATGGGTTCTCTTTTGCCATCTCCAGGGCTCCTTACGACTTGTCTTCTCCCTCATCCCCCCCAGAGGCCTGGGGACAGCTCTCTCTACAGAGCCCCAGACTCCTCCCCTGACCTCAGGGAGTGAAGGAAAGAACGCATCTCTTATCTTGAGCTTTGGGAACCTGCAGCACAGCACAGCCTGGCCAACTAATGGGAGCCAGCCAGGGTCCCACCTACCTTTATCCGACACAAGCTGGCTTCAATCTTAAGCTGTTCCACCATCTTGCGTGCTTGCCCAATACTCATAGTGCTGTTCACCGGGGTCTCACCTTTCATCCTGGAAAAAAGAGGGACCTCTCAGAGCACAGTCTCAGCTGGAGGCCCCCCTCCATGCTCACTCCACACCAACCTTTACAAGGCTGTGGTCATACCCCAATATTTTGTTCCCCTCCTATCCTCCTCCTCCTCCTCCAGTGGACTGTCTCATCCCTGTATTCCTCATGGAAAAAAATAGGGTGGGATGAGGTGCTCCCCAAACTCCCTCATGGCCTGGGCCACAGATCATTAAACCTTACACAAATGATTTAAGGCTTTTCAGCCCTTCAAACCATGTGTGTTCCCAGCTCTGAAGACCTCAACCAACCCTGATGAGGAGGGCACATCACCCCTGTCTGCTCCAGTGAGCCCCAACAGGAGAAAAACAGGCCATTACTTACCTGAAGCCACAAGCGGCAGTAGCAGCCCTGGGTGTAGGGTCAGTGGAGGGTACCAAAACCTTCTGCCTGAAATGGGTGCCCCACCCAGTAGGGAGTTGCAGCTGAAAGTATCTGATGCAGAAGCAGTGACTATACGAAAGGAGGCCCCTGGGGAGGGCCAGGCCAGAGGTCTGGTCTCAGTTTCTGCAGCTCAAGCACTGTCTGGATGGCTGGTACCTGAAGGATGAAGGATGCTAGAAGGAGCTGCTCAGATCCTGGAGCATACCAACTGCCTGGCCAGTGGGGGAGCCTAGCTGCCTGCATCCCTGCGCACACCCCCACTGTCGCTAGTTCACTGCCTGCCCCTCCCCCATTGCAGGCATCCTGACTCTGGGCTAGAGACCTCCCCAACAGAGCTGAGGCCAAGGCCGACTCCCCCTCTCAAATGGCGTGGTCTGGGCCTATGACGGCCCCTGCAGTGGAGTCTGTACTGGCTGCGGGGGACCCTGCTCATTTGAAAATCTGACATCAGCTGGGCAGTCGCCCCCCTCCTCCTTTCCTCCCTCTACTCTGACACAGCACTTAGCACCTGAATCTTCGTTTCTCTCCCAGGGACCCTCCATTTTCCATATCCAGGAAAATGTGATGCGCCACAGGTATCAGCGTCTGGATCGCCACTTCACGTTTTAGCCACAAGTGACTCAGTGGAAGATCCAGAGTCAACAGAGGCTCGTCAGGAAGATGTCTACAGAAAAGGTAGACCAAAAGGAGGAAGCTGGGGAAAAAGAGGTGTGCGGAGACCAGATCAAAGGACCGGACAAAGAGGAGGTAGGGGCCCTTGTGGGGACAGTCAGCAGAAATATACTGGAAATAGGTGGGCTGGCGTGAAGGGGGCGGGGGGATGGATTGGTTTTAAGAATTTCATTCATTTTGAATAGATTACTTCCCACGCCCGCAGCAGTGTGCAAAGATGTACACAACACTGGCCTTGCCTCTGAAGGACTTTATCTGGGGTGATTAGACGTCTACAAAATAGAAGACTGC